>NW_021160007.1:0-297568 GCF_000001405.40 Homo sapiens
TCCTGACCTCGTGATCCGCCTGCCTCGGCCTCCTGAAGTGCTGGGATTTCAGGCGTGAGCCACCGCGCCTGGCCCATTTGTCTGTTTTTATTTTTTCTTTTTTCATTAATCAGACTTGCTTGGACTTTATCCATTTTATTTATTTTTCCCAGAGAATCAGTTTTTGGTTTAATTTAGCCTTTCTACTACTTTTGTTTGTTTGTTTCATTTTGTTGTTTTCAGTTTTTGTATACTTTCTTAAATTGAACACTTATTTTCAGCCTTTTATTTTGATAATAAAAATACTGAAAGCTGTAACTTTTTCTTAAAGTACAGCTTTGTTTCCCATAGGTTTTAAAAGAGAAATACTCTATATTTTGTTTGTTTTTTTAACTTTCTAGAGAAGTTCGTAATTTCATGTTTAATTTTTTTTGGTTCAGATATTATTTAGTGGTTTTTAAAAACTTCCAACTACTCTTTGTCATTTTTATGATGAATTTCTAGTTTTATGAATTTGGCATCTAAAATATAATTAATTTGTTATGTATAACCTTCATTTTGGGGACTTAATGCATATTTTATTTATGGCCTATAAAAATTTCACAAGTACAAAGTTGTTTGTTTGTTTGTTTGAGACCGAGTCTCGCTCTGTCACCCAGGCTAGAGTGCAGTGGCGTGATTTCAGCTCACTGCAACCTCCCCCTCCCAGGTTCAAGTGATTCTTCTGCCTCAGCCTCCCGAGTAGCTGGGACTACAGGCATGTGCCACGACGCCCGACTAATTTTTGTGCTTTTAGTAGAGACAGGGTTTCACCATGTTGGCCACGCTGGTCTGGAACTCCTGACCTCATGATCTGCCCACCTCAGCCTCTCAAAGTGCTGGGATTACAGGCGTGAGCCACCGTGCCTGGCCAAGTACAAAGTTTTATAACAAGCATATTACTTATTTTGTTGCGTTGTATTCCATTCTTTATTTTTGTCCGATTTGATCAATCAGGTTTTGAAAGAGGTGTTTTACAGTCGTTCATTCTAAGTGGGTTTTTTTCTTTTTTTTTTTGGTTTTGGTTTCAAAATCAGGTTGTCCTAGGAAATTTTGTTTTCATGCATTTGGTTGCTATAATGTTGGTTTATAAAGATTTATGTATGTCATGTATAATTTGTGAGTTTAAACTTTTTAAAATTGTATTAGTGTATTTTAGAGACAGGGTCTTGCTCCGTCACCCAGGCTGGAGTGCAGTGGCATGATCATAGCTTACAGCAGTCTCCAGCTCCCAGGCTCAAGTGATCTTCCTGCCTCAGCCTCCCAAGTATCTGGGACCACAGGTGCCATCACATGCCCTGCCGAGTTGCAGCTTTAATCGGGACATAAGGCTTCTTTTTGTCCTGTTCTATGTGTTTGCCATGAATTTTGTTTTGCTTAATGTTGACTGTACTACTGTGGCTCTCGGAGAGAGGGGGCAGTTGAAAATCTTGCCAGGTGTCCTTGGGACTGGGTGTGCCTGGCTGGACGCAGAGCTGCTTGAGAGGGGCTGACTGTGGCCGGCGCTTCTGGGCCTGAGTGTGTCCTCTCCAGCTCCCCTGTGCCCACCTTTGTTTCACGCAGAACCTTCCTCAGCGGGTTCCACAGCTGAGGCTGGCCGCCTCCAAACGGGGTCCCCGCCAGTTGCAGGCTTTGAGCCATGCCTCTGCTGCTTGTCCTGGGTTCCCTTCTGCCATCACCCTCAGGAAGCCTCTTCTAGAGGAGTGTTCCAGCTGGCTCTGAGACTCTGTCTCCTGCCTCGCCGACCATCAGGCAGACTTGAGTGCATTCCCTTTACCTATTTTGTTTGGTGGCCCCGGTCTGCAAAAGACCCTCCCCTCCCCCCTCCCCTCCCCTCTCCTCTCTTCTCTTCTTTCTTTTGATGGAGTCTTGCTCTGTCGCCCAGGCTGGAGTGCATTGGCGCTATCTCAGCTCACTGCAACCTCCGCCTCCCAGGTTCAAGCGAATTCTCCTGCCTCAGCCTCCAGAGTAGCTGGGATTACAGGCATATGCTACCACGCCCAGCTAATTTTTGTACTTTTAGTAGAGACTGGGTTTCACCATGTTGGCCAGGCTGGTCTCGAACTCCTGACCTCAAGTGATCCATCCATCTCAGCCTCCCAAAGTGCTGGGATTACAGGTGTGAGCCACCGTGCCCAGCCTTGTTTTTTTCTTTTTCTATCCAACTTATCTTTTAAAAAATTTTATTCAGCCTTTCTCTTCAGGAAACATCTTTTTCTTTTTTCTTTTCTTTTTTTTTTTTTTTTGAGATGGAGTTTTGTTCTTGTTGCCCAGGCTGGAGTGCAGTGGTGCAATCTTGGCTTACTGCAACCTCCACCTCCCAGGTTCAAGTGATTCTTCTGCCTCAGCCTCCTGAGTAGCTGGGATTACAGGCATGCGCCACCACGCCCGGCTAATGTTTTGTATTTTTAGTAGAAACGGGGTTTCTCCGTGTTGGTCAGGCTGGTCTTGAACTTCCGACCTCAGGTGATCCGCCCACCTCGGCCTCCCAGAGTGCTGGGATTACAGGCATGAGCCACCTCGCCTGGCTTTGTTTTTCTTTTTCTATCCAACCTATCTTTTAAAAAATTTTATTCAGCCTTTCTCTTCAGGAAAAATCTCTTTTTATATTTCAATTGGTTTATATTCTGTTAGCCTCATCCTCCCTACCAATCCTGTTCTAACAGTGAGACAGAATCATAGTTTTCAGACTCTCCATTGCATCTTTGATTTTCTGAGCACACTTGATTCCTAGAAATAAAGAGTTCTGTTAAATAGAGTGAACCCCAAGTTTCTCTTCAAAGAATCAGTATGTCAGTCTGTTCAGCTTCCTGTTCTTTGATTCTCCATTTTAAAGTTTAACTTCCTGGTTCTCTTCACCCCCTTGCCTCTAGTTTCAGTAAACAACTTTCCCGCCAGTCCTAATCACTAGTTCACATCTGTTCCCCTGGTCACCTGCTCCATCCTGACTCATCTCGGTCACCTGCTTTGACCGGAGTCACCTTTAGTTACCTCTTCCTAACCGTCCTTCCCACCAAACTGCTCACCCCGCCACTCTGGCTCGTACTCCTGCTCTTTTTAAAATAGCCAGTCGGAATTAGCTTAGACTGTGTGGTCCAACCCTAGCCAATAAGGGAACGACACAGCAGTAGGGACTACCTGCCTCAGGGATAAGACCTCCTGTCCCTCCCGTGTCCAGGTATGCTCTTGCCATGGCTCCACCTGCGAGGGTCACCCTTTATGCAAAAAGTCAAAACTGCCTTGCTGAGAACATTAAATGGATGCTCGAGTGCTATTTCTCTGTGGCACTGGGGAACAAGCATTTTGCATTTCTAACAGTCCAGGCACCAGCCTTTAAAAAAAAAATAGAAAAAAGATAGATAAAATAGTCAATTAAAAATATAAATGCATATTTATCCACTATACTTTAAAAATAGCTTTATTTAGGTATAAGTTACCTACCATAAAATTCACTCACTTTAAGTGTACTCTTCATTGAATCCTAGTAAGTATTCACCACGTGGTTGCAGAGCAGCCTTTTAGGGTGTTTTCCTCACTCTAGGGGGCCCTTGCATCCCTTTGCCATCTTTCCCGCCTCAGGCCCAGCCCCAGGCAAGCGCTGATCTGCTGTCACGTAATTTGCCTTTTCTAGAATTCCTTATAATGGAATTAGGAGCAGTGTCCTCTTTTGTGTCTGGCTTCTTTCACTTAACTTTTTTTTAAAGATTCATTCGTCTTTTTGCATGTATCACCAGTTCATTCCTTTTTATTGCTGAATGATATTCCAAATATATTCCGTGTAGGGATAGATCGTAATTTTTTTATCCATTCACCTGTCAGTGGACATTCGGGTTGTTTCCAGTTTTTGACTCTCACATATAAGCCTAGGAGGAACACGCACTTACAAGACTTTGTGTGGACACATGCTGGCTCTTTTCCTAGGTAAGTACCTAGGAGTGGAACGGCTGGATTGTATGGCAGGTGTTTACCTTTTTAAGAAATTGCCAAACTGTTTCCCAAAGTGTGTGGACCATTTTATATTCCCCCTAGTAGTATATGAATAGGTTCCAGTTTCTCCACATCCTTAGCAGCCAGCACTTGGTATGATCGGTCTTTAGCCATCTTAGGAAGGCCTGTAGGAGCATCTCACTGTGGTTTTAATTGCATTCCCCTAATCACTAATGAAGTTGAGCATCTTTTCATGTGCTTATTTTCTATCCATTTTTCTTTGACAGTGTTTGTTGACATCTTTTGCCTGGTGAAATAAAAAAAAAAAAACCTGAGTTGGAGAATTCTAGATAGAAGTTCTGTATCAGATATGTGATTTGAAAATATTTTCTAGTCTGTGGTTATCTTAACAGTGTCTTTTCAGGAGCAGAAGTTTTAATTTTCATGAAGCCTAATTTACCAGTTTCTTCTTGTATGAATCATGCTATTGTATCTGAAAAGTCTTTGCCTAACCCAGAATTACAAAGATCACACACAAAGATGTTTTTTCTATATTTCCTTCTAGGAAGTTTCTGGTTTTAGATTTCACATTTAGGTCTACAATCCATTTTGAAATTTTTTTGGTCTGTTGTACAAATAATGGATGAGAGTTCATTTTTTTGCATATGGATGTCCAGCTGTTTCAGCATCATTTTTGAACACATTATCCTTTCTCCACTTTATGATCTTCGCCTCTGTTGAAAATTTATTAACCATGTATATGTGAATCTATTTCTGGCATTCTGTAAGATTGTTCCATTTCCACGCTGTCTTAATTGCTGTGGCTTTATAATACACGTTAAAGTCAGGAAATCTAAATCTTTTTGTCTTTTTCATAATTTTGGCTCTTCTAGGTTCTTTGCATTTCCTTATGAACTTTAAAATCTGCTTCTCAATTTCTGTTAAAAGCCTCTTGGGGTTTTGATTGACATTACATTCAATTTTTAGATCAATTTTGGGAGAACTGACATATTAACAATACTGAGTCTTCTGATTCATGAGCACTATTAATGTCTTTAAAATTTTCTCTCTGCAGTGTTTTGTGGTTTTGATGTACAGGTCTTGCACATCTATCAGATTTATTCTTGAGTATTTTATATTTTTTGAAATAATTTTTTTTTGAGACAGGGTCTTACTCTGTCTCCCAGGCTAAAGTACAGTGGCACAATTATAGCTCGCTGCAACCTCTATCTCCTGGGCTCAAGTGATCCTCCCACTATAGTCTCCCAAGTAGCTGGGACTACAGGTGTATACCACCACCCCCAGCTAATTTTTTTTTTTCTGTGGAGATGGGGTCTTACTATGTTTCCCAGGCTGGTCTTGAATTCCTTGGTTCAAGTGATCCTTCTGCCTTGGCCTCCCAAAGTGCTGGGATTGCAGGCGTGAGCCATTGTGCCTGGCAGGATTTTCTCAGAGATGATTATTTTGCCTGAGAATGAAGGGCTTTAATCTTTTTCCCTTACAGTCTGTCTGTGTTTTATTTCTTTTTCTTGACTGACTGTGCTGCTACAATCTCCATGTTGAGTCCAAGTACTGAGAGAGGATGTCCTGTATCAGTTCGTTCTCACACCGCTATAAAGAAATACCTGAGACTGGGTAATTTATAAAGAAAACAGTTTTAATTGGCTCACGGTTCTGCAGGCTGTACAGAAAGCATGATGCTGGCATCTGCTCGGCTTCTGGGGAGGCCTCAGGAACTTACAATCTTGGCAGAAGGCAAAGGGGGAGTGAACACGATATGGCCAGAGCAGGAGTAAGAGAGAGAAGGGGAGGTGATGCACACTTTTTTTGTTTTAGACAGAGTCTCACTCCATCACCCAGGCTGGAGTGCAGTGGTGTGATATTGGCTCACTACAACCTCCGCCTCCCAGGTTCAAGCGATTCTCCTGTCTCAACCTCCTGAGTAGCTAGGATTACAGGCGTGCGCCACCACGCCTGGCTAATTTTGTATTTTTAGTAGAGACGGGGTTTTGCCAAGTTGGCCAGGCTGGTCTCGAACTCCTGACCTCAAGTGATCCACTTGCCTCGGCCTCCCAAACTGCTGGGATTACAGGCGTGAGCCACCACGCCTGGCTGGTGATACACACTTTTAAAATGACCAGATCTCATGAGAATTCACTGTTGCGACCAAGGGGGATGGTGTAACACTATGAGAAACTGCCCCCATGATCCAGTCACCTCCCATCTGGCCCTTCCTCCAACACTGGGGATCACAATTCGACATGAGGTTTGGTGGGGACACAGATCCAAACTGTATTACATCCCTTCCTTGTTTCTGTCTTAAGAGGGAAAGCTTTCAGGCTTTTACCATCGAGTATCATATTAGCTGTTGTAGCCACTGAGATTCTTTATCAGGTCGAGGAAGTTTTCTTCTTCCCAAGTTTACTATATAGAACCAGATTTTCACCTTGGATCTGTTTTCCTTATTCCTAAAGTATGTCCTTCATTTCTTGTACTGCACATCTGCTGGTGGTGAATTCTTTCAGTTTTGTACATTTGGAAAAATCTTTGTCTTTTTTCTTTCTTTTTTTTTTTTTTTTAGACTAGAGTCTCACTCTGTCACTCAGGCTGGAGTGCAGTGGCCTGATCTCAGTTCACTACAACCTCCGCCTCCCAGGGGTTCAAGCAATTCTCCTGCCTCAGCCTCCCAAGTAGCTGGGATTACAGGCGTGTGCCACCACGCCTGGCTAATTTTTGTATTTTTAGTAGAGATGGGGTTTCGCCATGTTGGCCAGGCTGGTCTCAAACTCCCGACCTCAAGTGATCCGCCTGCTTCAGCCTCCCAAAGTGCTGGGATTCACTCTAATACACTAAGTTCACTCTAATACGACGAATACGGATGAACTGCTGGTTGGCCTTCGCCTCCTCCAGCACGCGTTCTGATTGTTGCTGGCCTGCCTGCATGGCCCGGGGAGGGCTCCTCTTCCTTCTCCCTGCTGCAGCTCTGTTGTGCCCCCGGAGTATTCTGAGCCCGTTTTCTAGTTCCAGGCCTGCGTCAGTGTAGGGTGACAGGAAGGGTCCTCTGCTGCACTCCACCTCAGGAAAAGCACCGTCTGTGGAGGAGAATCTGAACTGAGGAGGAAGCCCTGCCCAGCAGCCTGGGGGCTCCCAGGGATGTCTGCTGCATGGAGACTGCAGAAACCTGTGGTGGGGCAGAGAGTTCCAGTTTGGCCGTGTGTTGACTGCCCTCATGCAGACTCTACCAGCGGCCAAAGCGGTGTCTGGAGACGACAGTGTGTGTGCCTAGGGCACACAGGCACGGAGACACCGCCAGCCCTTTGTGTTGTGATCAGGGCTGGCGGGAGGCTCTGACTAGGGCTGTGGGAAGGGGACGTGTGCACTGTCCTCTTTCTGAGCGTTGCTGTGGTGGGAGTCCTGTCACGGGGAGCAGTCATGGAAGAGGACCGGCCCCTCCTCCCAGGTACAAGCACAGGCTCCTGTGCACTCCGACTCGCTGTTCCCCTCATCTGGCCTCCCCAGAGCCCAGGCACTGCCTGCTAACCCCAGACCTTCTGTGGTCCACTTAGGACTCTTGCCCACCATTGGTCCTGCCGGCCGGCCCGCCCAGGCTGGGCTTTCTCAGGGGGACTCCAGCTGCCCTTCTGCCCCATGAGGAGACACTAGCTCCCTTGGCCTCATTCCCTTACTGGCAACTGAGGGTCTGGTTCTTAGAGTCCCTTATGTGTAAACATGTAAAGCTTGTGGCTGTGAGGTGTGTTTGGTAAGAACAGTCCACAGCTTTCACCAGATTCTCAGGAGTGTCAGTGGCCCCTTCCCGGTCAATAAGTTGAAGAGCCGGGGTCAGTCTGGCTGCCACTGAGGGCCAGGCTGCCTCCTTGTGTGCTTGGGTGGCCTGACTGCAAGGAGATGCTCTCACTCAGCCCTGGACACACGGTGCAGATGGTGTGGCGGGTCAGCCCCACAGGGCCACCTCCTCAGTCTTGGGTTCTCAGCCTCAGCTGGTTCACATTTGGGGCCAGAAGATTCCTCCTGGTGGGGCCGTGCTGTGTGTTGTAGGATGGTTAGAGACCTCCAGGCCTCTACCCACCAAATGCCAGCAGTTCTCCCACCCTTATCAGTTGTGACAACCAAAAATGCCTCCAGACATTGCCTGATGTCCCCTGCGGGCACAGTCTTCCGAAGTACAGAGCCACTGATCTATCTGATCTTAGAAAGAGACTGTAGTCATTGCATTTCCGTAGGAAAAGGTGTTCTGAGTTAGAAATAATGTACAAATAGTTTTTTGCCTTGTATCTTCTATGCACCTTCTAATTATTATTTTACTAGATTACAGTCCCTCATGTGCAAACTTTGCACACCTGGAAGAAGAGTTTACTAGTAAGCAAAAGCACTTTTTTTTTTTTTTTTTTTGAGACAGAGTCTCGCTCTGTCGCCAGGCTGGAGTGCAGTGGCACGATCTCGGCTCACTGCAAGCTCCACCTCCCAGGTTCAAGTGATTCTCCTGCCTCAGCCACCCGAGTAGCTGGGACTCCAGGTACCTGCCACCATGCCAGCTACTTTTTGTATTTTTAGTAGAGACGGGCCAACATCACCATGTTGGCCAGATGGTCTTGATCTCTTGACCTCATGATCCGCCTGCCTCGGCCTCCCAAAGTGCTGGGATTACAGGTGTGAGCCACTGCGCCCAGCCAGGAAAACCACTTTTTAAAAAGATGCCTTTTTTTCCGTGTGGATATAAAAATGCCACATAGTAATTAGAGAACATCTAGAAAGCATAAAAAAGTATAAAAAGGGAAAAAATCATTATAATCCACCTAACCCAGAGACCACCACCTGTGGACACATTTTGAGTCTTTTTATTACATCTTTAAAATTACATAATTTTGGATCTTGAATTTTTCCATTTAAAATCAAACATAAAGAGTGTGTTTATCAAGCACTCTTTATAGTGGTTTTGCTGGCAAGCGTCGCTTCGTGCCTGCCTGGCTCGCCACACCTCGTGCTGGATGTGAGCTTGCACCGTTTTCACGTAAGCACTGTCTACTGTGTCCCTGAGCATCAGGCGTTAGGAGAGGCGGCTTCTGTAGTGGGTGGTATCTTTGCAGCTTTTTGAATGTTTCCCTTGAATTTCTATGAAGGTGATGATGGAAAAGACATCAGGTCTAAGCTGTCCATAAAATGCATTTGTCTGTAATACATGTCCTTCATTAAAAAACACGTGGCAGTTGGGGTCTACTGTCATGGTAGGAAGGTGGGAGCTGGACTCTCCTCCCAGCCGGGGTCAGGCCACACCTGGAGTGCCTCAGGTGCACTCTGTGCCCGTGTTTCCAGCCTGTCTCTGGAATGACTACTTCTGAACAGATTCCCTTTGCCTTTTTCTACCAGGCAGTATGCACTGAGTCCTTCAGGACAGATTAAATGATGAAAACCGTCCATCAAGTGTTCAGTCTTCATGCAGGATCACATCCGTGGAACTGATGTTTTAGCACTGGGGTTGATAGTGTCCAAGTCCCAGATTCAGGGGCAGGCTCAGGACCTGTCCACGGTGTTGGCCTATAGTGAGGCCCATGGGCCTCGGAGCCCGTGTGCCTGGAGCTGGACCATGGCTCCACCACTTCGTAGCTTGGCCCGATGTGGGCAAAGGATTACCTAGGTGCCGAGGCAACAGACTGAAGGCACAAACTGTTTCAGTATAATAAAGAAAATAGTTAGAATAAGAATAGTCATAATACGAATCAGATACAGAGCTGATCATGGACAATTATCAATCATTAGTATAAACATTATTAATCATTAACTTTTAATATTACTCTGTTGCATTACTAATATAACCTAGGAATAACCTGCGGGTATAGGGTCAGGTGCTGAAGCGACATTGTGAGAAGTGACCTAGAAGGCAAGAGGTGAGCCCTCTGTCATGCCCGCATAAGGGCCGCTTGAGGGCTCCTTGGTCAAGCGGTAACGCCAGTGTCTGGGAAGGCACCTGTTACTTAGCAGACTGTGGAAGGGAGTCTCCTTTCCTTGGAGGAGTCAGGGAACACTCTGCTCCACCAGCTTCCTGTGGGAGGCTGGATATTCTCCAGGCCTGCCCGCAGTCATCCGGAGGCCTAAACCCCTCCCTGTGGTGCTTCAATGGTCACACTCCTTGTCCACTTTCATGCTCCTCCTGCACTCCTGGTTCCTCTTTGGAGTTCTTAGTAGATAGCAGAAGAAGAAATAGTGGAAGTCTTAAAGTCTTTGATCTTTCTTATAAGTGCATAGAAGAAAACGCTGACATTTGCTGCCTTCCCTCTCTGCTTCAGCTACCTAAAAGGGAAGGGCCCCCTGTCGTGTGATCACGTGACTTGCTTCACCTTGTCAATCACTTAGAAGATTCACCCTCCTTACCCTGCCCCCTCGTCCTGTATGCAATAAATATCAGCGCACCCAGCCGTTCGGGGCCACTACCGGTCTCCGCGTGTTGATGGTAGTGGTCCCCCGGGCACAGCTGCTTTCTCTTTATTTTTTTGTCTTGTGTCTTTATTTCTTACAATCTCTCGTCTCCGCACACGGGGAGAACACCCGCTAAGCCCTGTAGAGCTGGACCTTACAGCCCAGGGAGCTCATTTCTCGCTGCCTCAGTGTCTCTCTGTGTAAATGGGCTATCAATAGGAGTGACCCCATGGCATGACTGTGAAAACTAAATGAGATCACGTAAGGGGCGTAGAGAACCTTTGTGACCCTGAGCCACCGTCTGCCACCCGCTGGGGATGCCCTGCTGTGCTGTACTTCTCTCCCTTCTCCCCCTCCCATGCTCTTCATCGCTAGCACTTTCAGCCCCTTGCGGTAGACTTGGATTAGGCAGGTATGAATACTTCAGTTCGAGAAAAGTGTGAGGCAGGGAAGCTTCCGAGCATCTCTTGCTGAGCAGATATTCTGATCTGAGCCTTTTTTGCCCTGGGTAGCAGTCTCGTGCCTGGGGTTTGCTGGGCCCGCATTGGCCCCTCCTGAGCCACCTTTCCAGACACCTGTGCAGGCTCCGAAAGGCGCCCGGGCATGGAGCTCACCTCACTCAACTCTAACTTTTCTGCATTTGTTTAGGGAGCATTTCCTGAAGACGTAGTCATGCAGCACGTCAGCAGCTCCCAGAGCAGCCAGCGCCATGTCCAGTGGCCTGGGGCCTGCCCCGGCGCGGGCGAGGAGCAGCCAGCGTGCTCCCAGCCGTCCCTGCCCCTCACACTGCCATCCCCCAGCCACCAACTACAGCAGCTGATGGTGAGAGGGGGCCCTGCGGGTGGGCAGAACATGAATGTTGACCTGCAGGGCGTGGGCCCTGGGCTCCAGGGAAGCCCACAGGTCACGCTGGCCCCACTGCCGCTCCCCAGCCCCACCTCTCCAGGCTTCCAGTTCAGCGCTCAGCCTCGGCGGTTTGAGCATGGGTCTCCATCATACATTCAGGTCACGTCCCCCTTGTCCCAGCAGGTCCAGACCCAGAGTCCCACGCAGCCCAGTCCGGGGCCGGGGCAGGCCTTGCAGAATGTGCGTGCAGGTGCCCCTGGCCCTGGGCTGGGCCTCTGCAGCAGCAGCCCTACAGGGGACTTCGTGGATGCCAGCGTGCTGGTGAGGCAGATCAGCTTGAGCCCCTCCAGTGGTGGACACTTTGTGTTTCAGGATGGGTCAGGGCTCACCCAGATCGCCCAGGGAGCCCAGGTTCAGCTCCAGCACCCGGGTACGCCCATCACAGTCCGAGAGCGGAGACCCTCCCAGCCCCACACACAGTCAGGGGGCACCATCCACCACCTGGGACCCCAGAGCCCTGCAGCCGCGGGTGGGGCCGGCCTGCAGCCCCTGGCCAGCCCAAGCCACATCACCACGGCTAACTTGCCACCGCAGATCAGCAGCATCATCCAGGGCCAGCTGGTTCAGCAGCAGCAGGTGCTGCAGGGGCCGCCGCTGCCCCGGCCCCTGGGCTTCGAGAGGACGCCCGGCGTGCTGCTCCCCGGGGCTGGGGGCGCAGCGGGGTTTGGGATGACGTCCCCACCCCCGCCCACCAGCCCTTCCAGGACTGCCGTGCCCCCAGGCCTTTCCAGCCTCCCACTCACGTCTGTGGGGAACACGGGAATGAAGAAGGTTCCCAAGAAGTTAGAGGAGATTCCCCCAGCCTCTCCGGAGATGGCACAGATGAGGAAGCAGTGCCTGGACTATCATCACCAGGAGATGCAGGCTCTGAAGGAGGTCTTCAAGGAGTATTTGATTGAACTGTTTTTCTTGCAACACTTTCAAGGGAACATGATGGATTTCTTAGCTTTCAAGGAGAGACTGTATGGACCATTACAAGCATATCTTAGGCAGAATGATTTGGACATTGAAGAAGAGGAAGAGGAGCACTTTGAAGTCATTAATGATGAGGTAACAGTTCTTTGTTTTGGTGCTTGTCATGGGAGGCAGAGCTCAGGGCTTATGCTGCGTGCAGGTGCAACGCAGAGCTTACCATCTCAGAGCATGCGTTCTAGGCACTTCACTTTAAAGACACACTGTGGCTGTGAATAGTGGTTTAAAGTCCCTCAGAGTCTCCCCACATTTACAGAGGGTGGTTCCAGGGATCCCAGCACATGGCTGAACCCCCAGCAGCATGGAAACTCCAGTGGTGTTCAGTCAGGCACCTCTGTGGCAGGTGCTCACGGCGGCAGCGTCCTGGCACCTTTCTTGGAATGCCACCACATTTGCCTGCTCCTAAACGGTTGTGCCGTGCAAGATGAGAACCCCAGAGTCCACCCTTGCCAGCTGCCTGCAGTCAGGGCTGGCTGGTCTCAAAGCCAAGATTCCAAGTTCCTGAACACACATCTCAATGTCAAGAGTTTCTGAACAAGTTACAGCTCTAACTTAGAATATACAGAGCAAAAATTTATAGAATTTCATTTTCTTTCTTTCTTTCTTTCTTTTTTTTTTGTGACAAAGTCTTGCTCTGTCGCCTAGGCTGGAGTGCAGTGGTGCGATCTCAGCTCACTCACTGCAACCTACGCCTCCCGGATTCAAGCAATTCTCGTGCCTCAGCCTCCCGAGTAGCTAGGATTACAGGCATGTGCCACCACGCCCGGCTAATGTTTTTGTATTTTTAGTAGAGACAGGGTTTCACCATGTTGGCCAGGCTGGTCTTGAACTCCTGGCCTCAAGTGATCAGCCCGCCTCAGCCTCCCAAAGTGCTGGGATGACAGGCATGAGCCACTATGTGTAGCCTATTTAGAGAATTTCAAGGGAGCAGGTTTTTTTTGTTTTGTTTTGTTTTGTTTTTTGCTTTTGAGACGGAGTCTCGCACTGTTGCCCAGGCTGGAGTGCAGTGGCATGATCTCGGCTCACTGCAACCTCCACCTCCCTGGTTCAAGCAATTCTTCTGCTTCAGCCTCCCAAGTAGCTGGGATTACAGGCACCCGCCACCACGCCCAGCTAATTTTTTGTATCTTTAGTAGAGACGGGGTTTCACTATGTTGGCCAGGCTGGTCTCGAAATCCTGACCTTGTGATCTATCCACCTTGGCCTCCTAGGGAGCAGTTTTTAAATCCACAATTATATGAGGAGTTACTAGCTTTTTTCTTAGAAGACAATAAATAATTATAAGTGTAGAACATGAACTATTCAAATTAACACAAATTAGCCTGTTTAAGTGTATAACACACATGTATATGTATGTGTGTGTAAAAACTTTCAACAAAGAATAATTTTTTTAGAGTATACATGGAGACTATTTGTAAATTGACCCCCAAGGGGATCCTCAATAAAATTTATAAAATTAATTTCATATGAACTGTCCTCTCCCTATAATGAAATAAAATTAGAAAGCAATTATTTTAAACATTTACTATGTGTGGAAACTAGGAAACTTGCCCGTAAGGTATTCATAGGTTGAGGAGACTATCTTCATGGAAGCGTCTTGAAGCACGCCACAGCGGAGGTGCCGCAGCCTTCAGGTCTTGTGGGATCAGCTGAAGGTCTCCTTAGAAAGGTCATTATGGCATTCAGTTAAGAAATACTGCAGATAAGCAGTGTAACAGCTTCCATAGTCACATGAAGAGTAAGTTCATCGTTGTATTAAAGTTTACTTCTAAATGATAGAAATAAGTTTTTATAGAACCTGACTAGCGTCTTCGGAATCTATGTTTTATCATCATTTTATAGGAAAATACCGGAAGTTGACTAACATTTGGGTTTTTCGTGAATATTTTCCTCTGTGTAATATTGCTCATCTTCCAGCTGCTCGTTGTGTTGACTCTGTAACATGATCCCTGTTACCAAACTTCATTAGAGCTACAAAATATTTGGGGGCTAGTAACTATAGAATTCATCCAAATTATTTAAACTAATTAGCTACATTTGCCTATGGCTTTTTTACTTGGGGAATTGGTGCTGACCTCGTGATCCACCTGCCTCGGCCTCCCAAAGCGTTGAGATTACAGGCGTGAGCCACCATGCCCAGCCGCTATGTGATTTCTTTAAAACATTTAATTGTGGGCCGGGCGCGGTGGCTCACGCCTGTAATCCCAGCACTTTGGGAGGCCGAGGCAGGTGGATCATGAGGTCAGGAGATCGAGACCGTCTTGGCTAACATGGTGAAACCCCGTCTCTACTGAAAATACAAAAAATTAGCCGGGCGTGGTGGCGGGCACCTGTAGTCCCGGCTACTCGGGAGGCTGAGGCAGGAGAATGGCAGGAACCCGGGAGGCGGAGTTTGCAGTGAGCCGAGGTCGCGCCACCGCACTTCAGCCTGGGCGACAGAGCGAGACTCCGTCTCAAAAAAAAAAAAAAAAAAAGAAAACATTTAATTGTGGTAACATATACAAAACATAAGATTTACTGTCTATCTGATTCATTATTTTTAAAGTTAATTTATTCCAGGGTACTGACAAATATTAAGGTTTGGTTTTGATTATTTATGATGATATGTGCTTGTTTATATTTAGCCTTCTGGACATATTTAGCCAGAAGAACCAGTTTCTTTTTCTTTTCCTTTTTCTTTTTTAGACCTGTCAGCCAGAAGTAAGAACCGGTTTCTATTTTCTTGTATTTCTCTCTATGATTTCAAGCTGTAAAGTGCCATTTGACTTTGAGTTCATTTAATTTCCAGGGTATTCCCATTTGAATACCCTGGACTTGAAGCAGTTAATGTATCTGGAAAGCTTCTTTGGTTTGCTTACTCTAAGAAGCTGTCATTATGGAGATGCAGATTAATTTGTCTTTCTGTTTTATCAGAGTGTGTTTTTAAGAAATGACACATTTTCAATGGGAGTGTTTTTTGTCATTCTTCCCCATGCCATGCCCCACCATGGCCTCCTCAGGCATCTGCAGCCCCTGCCGTGAGGGGTTGGCCACCCTCTGACACTGCCCCTGGGCTCCTGCACGAAGCTGTGTGGACATGGCCTGTGTAGCCTGACCATGGCTACCTGCCGGCCACAGATCGAGGTTTCAACTGGACTTCAAACAAAGCTTCAGTGCCTAGGGCCAGATTTGTTCTTTCCAGCCCTGTGAGGCCTGAAATTGCATCAGCGAGCCAAGTGTCCCCGTGCCCCTCTGTTAGTGGCTGAGGCCGCCAGCTGCATGGGATGTGCAGGCGGTGATCAACTTTGCAAAGCTTAAACATTATTTTCCCTTCTTCCTCCCTTCCCTTTGAATATTCCCTCTCAGGTAAAGGTTGTGGCCAGAAAGCACGGGCAGCCTGGGACTCCTGTTGCCATAGCAACCCAGCTACCGCCGAGGACTTCTGCGGCTTTTCCAGCCCAGCAGCAGCCGCTCCAGGTACTTTCTGATGGCTCCACAGTGCAGCTCCCCAGACTTTCCTCACTCGGATTTGAGGACTCGATGTGCTGAGGCAGGACCCAGAGGGGTCCCAAGAGCCTGTCCTCTTTTGTTCAAAATACATCTTGAAACGTCTTTGTGAAGGCTCTTAGTTTTAATGCATGGATGCTGTTATTTTTCCCTACTGTTACTGAAATTAAAAAGTGTTTGTCTCTGATCATTAGTTCTGTTAACTTTTCTGCTGGAATGTTTTTCATTTGCATTTGCTTTTCTGATATATTTGCAGTTTTCATTGCTTCTGTACGATTGTGGCCTCTTTGGATGTTTCTCTTTTTTTTCCCCCTTTGTCTGCTTTTAAACAAACAGATTTTCTAAATTGTTTTCTTGCTATAGGGAGTTGATTTTGTTCTTTAAACATATTCTAGGGGATGAGTAGCAAAAAACAATGATTTCAGATTTCAGAATACAAGGAAGTTCCTGGAAACTGCAACTCAGTTATCTCTCCTCTCCTCTCCTCTCCCCTCCCCGCCCCTCCCCTCCCCTCTCCTCTCCTCTCTTCCCTTCTTCCTTCCTATCTTTCTTTCCTTTTGATGGAATCCTGCTCTGTTGCCCAGGCTGGAGTGCAGTGGCACAATCTCAGCTCACCGCAACCTCCACCTCCTGGGTTCAAGCAGTTCTCCTGCATCAGCCTCCCGAGTAGCAGGGATTACAGGCACGTGCCACCATACCCGGCTAATTTTTTTGTATTTAGTAGAGATGGGGTTTCACCATGTTGCCCAGGCTGGTCTCGAACTCCTGACCTCAGGTGATCCCCCACCTCAGCCTCCCAAAGTGCTGGGATTATAGGTGTGAGCCACTGCGCCCAGTCAACATTTCTATATACTTAAAAACATGTTTTAAAAATTAGGTTAAAATATACATAAGAGTTCCCATTTTACCCATTTTTAAGTGTACAGTTCCGTGGCATGAAGCACATTCACATTGCTGTGTGGCCATCACCAGCATCCATCTCCAGAACATTTTCATCTTCTCAGACTGAAACTCTGCCCCTATGAAATGCTAACTCCCCATTCCCCCTCCCCCAGCCCCTGGCACCCACCACTGTACTGTCTGTCTCTGCGGATTGGAATGCACTTCTCCAGCGACCTAAGTAAGTGGAATCATACAGTATTTGTCCTTTTCTGTCTGTTGTTGTACTCAGCATCATGTCTTCGGAGTGCATCCACATTGTAGCCTGTAACAGAATTTCCTTCCTTTTGAAGGCTGAGTCACACGCCACGGGATGGGTGGACTGCATGTGTTGATCCATCTCTTGGTGGACACTTGGGTTGCTTCCACATTTCAGCTGCTGTGAACAGTGCTGCCCTGAAGACGGGCGTACAGATATCTCTTCAAGGTCCTGCTTTCAGTTCTCTTGGGCATATACCCAGAGTGGAAGTGCTGGGTCACGCACTAACTCTGTGTTTAACTGTTTAGGAAAGTCCATGCCATTTTCATAGTAGCTGCACCATTTTCCATCCCACCAGCAAGAACGAGGGTTTTCTTTCTCCACATCCTTGTCAACGCTTGTACATTTTTTTAATAGTGGCCACCCTAATAGGTGTGCTGTATGCTTTATAATGTAATAGAAAAATATTACTGACTATGCATGTACATATGGCTAAAGACATTCAGAGTTGGCCGGGCACGGTGGCTCACACCTGTAATCTCAGCACTTTGGGAGGCCGAGGCAGGCAGATCACCTGATGTCAGGAGTTTGAGATCAGCCTGGCCAACATGGTGAAACCCCATCTCTACTAAAAATGCAAAGATTAGCCGGGCTTGGTGGCGGGCACCTGTAATCCCAGCTACTTGGGAGGCTGAGGCAGGAGACTCACTTGAACCCAGGAGGCGGAGGTTGCAGTGAGCCGAGATTGCGCCACTGCACTCCAGCCTGGGCAACAAGAGCGAGACTCCATCTCAGAAAAAAAAAAAAAAGGACATTTAGAGTTTTAATCTGTTAATCAGCTGGCACTGTTGATGGTTCAAAATTGACTAGTGAGGGAGACAGCATTTGAAAAAACAACTTTAACTCAGAGTAGCAAATGGCATTGGTGACATATGCAGAATCCCACAGGAAGAGTGTGGAGGGATGCATGGGCTCCTGGGAGCAGGATGCAGGCTGTGGGGTGGCCCAGTGTGCTGTACCTGTGGCCGGCAGGGCTGGCGCCTCTGGCCTGGCCCCAGCAAGCGTAAGGACCCAGACAGAACACAGGGCTGCTCTACCCTACTCTTCTCATGTCATGTTCTTAATGTTGAGAACACAGGTTGAGTTCAGTGTGATTCTCCAAACAAACTGGCTGTGGGCAGTGTCAATTTTCTTTTCTCCAATTTCTTTATTTATATATTCTTTTGAGACAGAGTCTCCCTCTCTCACCCATGCTGTAGCGTAGTGGTGTGATCTCGGCTCACTGCAATCTCCACCTCCTGGGTTCAAGCAATTCTCATGTCTCAGCCTCCTGAGTAGCTGAGATTATAGGTATGTGCCACCGTGCCTGGCTAATTTTTATATTTTTAGCAGAGAGGGGGTTTTACCATGTTGGCCAGGCTAGTCTCGAACACCTGACCTCAAGTGATCCACCCGCCTCAGCCTCCCAAAGTGCTGGGATTACAGGTGTGAGCCACCACGCCTGGCTCTTTTTTCCAATTTCTTATTGTGAAAAATTTGAATTATTGAAAATGTTGAAAGAGCAGTACAGTGAGTGGTAAACTCACCAGTTGTTAATAGTTTGCCGCATGTATGTGTTCTACCTGTCTGTCTATCTCCACACATTTTAAAGTTGTCACAGTCGTGATTGTTTTTGTTTACCCCTGGATCCTTTGTTGTGTATCTCCCAACAAGAGCATGTCCCACATGACCACAGCCCTCCGGTCACGCTCGCGGGCATCCACACCTCTCGAGGCATGTTCCTGCCTGGGTCTGCTTTTCTTTCTCTCCCGACGCTGATGTTTTGAAGGCCAGTTGCTCTGCAGAGGCCATCACAGCCTGGGTGTTCCGTTTCTCACTGCTGACTTAGGCTGAACATTTCTGGCAAGAATACAATGGAGGCGGACCTCTGCATGCATTTACTTCTCAACCAAGCCGTGCAGGCCAGTTAGGGAGATGCAGATGCAGGTGGGCTGGGTGCCGTGCGTCTCATGGGAGGGTGCCCTCCGGGGACACTCTGGACAGAGGCACTCTCTGTCATGTGCTCAGCTTGGCCCCAGACTGAGGCTTAGCAGTCCTCCAGTTGTTCACCGTATGAAGAGCAGGAGAGGATAAACAACTGGACGACTGCTGAGGAGAGGCCAGCAGTAGGGAGTGGAAACCAAAAACTGAGCTTTTACACGAGGCCACATGTGCAGCGCCCTGCGCCAGGCTGAAACCCCTGTGTGCAGCGCCCCATGCCGGGCTGAAACCCCTGTGCCGATGCCCCTGGAGAGCAGTCGTGGGGCAGGGCCTGCCCTTGTTCAGTAAGAGGATGAACCTGGCCGTCTGCCTGACTCAGCCTCGTATCTCCATGATGAGTTAACATATTGGCTCAAAAAAACAAATTTCCTTTAACATCTTAAATGAGGTAAAGAAAGAAAAGTGGGCTGGGTGCGGTGGCTCACACCTGTAATCCCAGCACTTTGGGAGGCCAGGGCAGGTGGATTGCTTGAAGTCAGGAGTTCAAGACCAGCCTGACCAACATGGTGAAACCCCCGTCTCTACTAAAAATACAAAAATGGTGGATACCTGTAATCCAAGCTACTTGGGAGGCTGAAGCAGAAGAATGGCTTGAACCTGGGAGGCGGAGGTTGCAGTGAGCCGAGATCATGCCACTGCACTCCAGCCTGGGCGACAGAGCGAGACTCTTGTCTCAAAAAAAAAAAAGAAAAGAAAAAAGAAACGAAACTGGTTTTGTTGTTGTTGTTGTTGTTGTTTTAAACAGGGTCTTGCTCTGTCACCCAGGTTGGAGTGCAGTAGTGCGATCTTGGCTCACTGCAACCTCCATCTCCTGGGCTCAAGCAGTCCTCCCACCTCAGCCTCTCTAGTAGCTGTAACTATAAGCACCACACCACCATGCTCAGCTAATTTTTAAAATTTTTAGTTGAGATGGCATCTCATTATGTTGCCCAGGCTGGTCTAGAACTCCTGGCCTTAAGCGATTCTCCCACTTCATCCTCCCAACTAGCTGGAGTTACAGGCGTGAGCTACCATGCCCAGCTAAATTTTCAGCTTTTTATTTAAAAAAATTAATGTTGTCCAGCCTGGTTTTTTGTTTGTTTAAGCATCTTTTCCAGCCTTTTTTGGTATTTCTGAAACTCAGCCTGCTGCAGCATTCTGACAGTCTTTGAAGTAATAGTGCACACTGGTTTTAATTGTGAACCTGTCTGAATCTCTGTTCCTTTTTTTTTTTTTTTTTTTTTTTTGAGAGAGGGTCTTGCTCTGTCTCCCAGGCTGGAGTGCAGTGGCACGATCTCAGCTCACTGCAACTTTGCTCTTCCGGGCTCAAAATGATTCTTCTGCCTCAGCCTCCTGAGTAGCTGGTACTATCAGCATGCACCACCACACCCAGCTAATTTTTGTATTTTTTTTGTAGAGATGGGATTTCACCATGTTGCCCATGCTGGTCTCGAATTCCTGAGCTCAAGTGATCTGCCCACCTCGGCCTCTCGAAGTGCTGGGATTACAGACATGAGCCACCACGCCCAGCCAAATCGCCATTCTATTTTGGTCTCTGAAACTTAACATTTTGCTTGAGGAAGGGCTCATATACAAGGATATTGAAACAAATGTTGTTTTATATGATAATAATGCCTGAGGATCAACACATATACATTTCCTATCCCAATATCCCAAAAATAGCAATCAGTGTATTTACAGATGCTGCAGATCCCTCTGAGGAGTTGATTCTGAGGCTGTCCCTGAGGACCCATGCCAGGAGATGTGTCCCGGAAGTGACTGTCACAGATGCAGTCCCCCAGATGATGAGGCAAGGCCTGAGGGTCTGCGCTTGTTGGGGGAAAGGTTTATTACAACTTCTCCCAAGCAAACAGATGGAAAGCAATACCTAGAGCAGCTCCAGTGCTTGTGTGTGGGACACCTCTGCAGGGGCCTTGTGTGGCTTTGTCCTCATTTCAGTTAGAGTTGAGAGTACAACCCATTTTCATGTATGGTGGACTTTATAAAACCTAAGTCTGCTTTCTACTCAGTAAACGTTTAGACATTTTTCTTTTCACATTATTCTCCAGTTACTAAGATTTTGTCTGTTGTCAAATCCACATAAGCCTTCTGTTTTTTGGTGAAGACATATTATAGACTTAGAGTTTTATTTCTTTCCACAAATACTTTGACATTGTCATTTTTGCCTTAGTTTATACAACTATTTTTCTAAGCTCTAGATTTAGTTTTCACATGGATACCTCTGGTGTTTTAATTCTGGCTTCCGCTTTTGGTTAGCAGTTGTGACTTAGATTTCTTATCTACAAACTACTTCTGAAGCCTGGTTCTGTTGTGCTGCCTTTAGCAAGTGGTACACAGAAAAGTACTAAACGATGAAAAGATTATTTTTGTTCCTTTCTGTCAAATTCAAAGGCTAATATGGAGGGTTTTTTGAGTTTATTTATGATCACTGGCCAATAGCTCTAAGCTGTGATATCATGTTCTTTGTCATAGAAATTGAAGAGACAGTGGAGAAATACTTATTTTAAAATCAGTGTGATATAAATTAACACACATTTCTACTTCCCATAATTTTTGTCTCCTAATAGCAAATACATATGGGGACTCCAGTACCTGGAGATGTGAATTCCATAAAAATGGAAGCATCTAAGAGGCAGTGAACACTGGCGCCCACAGGTATGTAGCAGTCACCCAGCATGAAGCCAGCCTGCAAACAAAAAGGAAACCATGCAGGCCTTCTAGCAGTGTATTTTCCAACTTTTTTCATTTTAAGTAAGTCAACAAATAGCTACCAAATGGCTTCTGTGGGCTCACGGGGTCACCCCTGTGCCTCCTCTCAGTTCTTGCTTGGAGCGAAGTGACTTTACACTCAGCCATCATTTTGGCCACTTAGTGCCTTGAGCTGGAGGCATGGGAGCGGGCCTGGGGAGGCCACGGGCACTCATGTAGTGGCAGGGCCTGGGCCTCAGCTCTGTGCCCAGGAGCTTCCCCATGCCGGCCAGGCACATCAGAATCTGGCATGTGAGTGTCCCCGAACTCACTGTCCAGCCACCCCCCTTGACAGCAGGATCCCTGGGAACAGGCCACTTGGCAGTGGGCATGGACTCAGAGCAAAGCAAGATGGGTGCCTCAAGAGCTTGGTCCCACCCAGGCCTGAGACTGCCTCCCTTCCTGGTGAGGATCAGAGAGAGGATGTCCTGCCCGCAGTGCGTTCTGTGCTATTTCCGTGTTCTGCACCAGGGACAGTGTAGCATGAACTTTGAAGGTGGAACCTGGCTCACTGTGCTGTGATTGGATTTGATGTCACAGATTCTCCTTTGATGTCAGAGGCCTCACCTACAAGTGGGCCATCCTGGGATGGGTTTACAGCACCTGGAGGTGACATCAGGTGTTCCTCTCCAGCAGTTAATGCCAACAGCACAAAGCATCTGTGTGCCGAAGAACCTGGCAGGTACTAGTCCAGGAGTAGGCTGTGGGAGCCGGGAGCCAACAGCTCTGAAGCTCTGAGCTCTGAGGCTTTGAAGCTACCGCACACTCTGTCATCTGTTGATTGTTCCTGGGCAGAGTGGGCCCTTGCATCTGTTTATTGACCCAGACCTGGGCACAGGCTGGTGGTGTCTGTGCAGACTCACAGTTTCCCCTACAGGTGATTAAAAACCAAACTATCAAGAGTTTTCATGTATTTTCCTAACTTTTTCCAAGTAGAAGCATTCTCTTTTTCTCTATGATGATCTCAGGCTGTCTTCACATGCACTGTTGTTTGCTCTGTGGGGCCCGTGCTGTGACGCTTGGAGTGCGGGCTGCAGTGTGGTCAGCCGTGCCCTCGCTGGCTCTGGGGATGTGGCCAATGTGGTGTCACCTCACCCCTCTCAGTTGTCTCATCTGTAAAATGGGAGCAACAGCGATAATTACACTTCTCAAGTGTGTTCTGGGGACTAACACTGTTACGTCTGTAAGGCGCTGAGCACAGCACCATGTTGTAAGCACGTGTCAGTTAATACCACACTAAAAAATTAATATTCTATAGATTTAATGGCAAGCTTTAATTTTTTTTAACATATCCAACTTTTTCGCTATAAACTTATGGGGTACAGGAGCAGTTTTGTTGCATGGACATACTTCGTGGTGGCAAAGTCTGGGCTTTCAGTGCAGCCGTTATGGGAATAATGTAATCACACCCACTGAGCATCTACCCTCCCCTCACCCTGTACCCTTCCAAGTTTCCAGTGTCTCTCATTCCACACATCTGTGTGGACGTGTGAGTTAGCTCCCGCTTACGGGTGAGAATGTGCGGTGTTTGTCTTTCTGTGTCCGAGTTGTTTCGCTTAGGATGATGGCCTCTGTTTGCATCCATGTTGCTGCAAAGGACAGTTTCATTCTTTTTTATGGCTGGACAGTATTCCATTGTGTATATATGCACCACATCTTCTTATCCAACTGTCTGTTGATGGGCACTTAGGTTGATTCCGTGTCTTTGCTGTTGTGAACTGTGTTGCAGTAAACATGCGAGCGCAGGTATGACTTCAAGAGAATGATTTATTTCCCTCTGGATACACACCCAGGAGTGGGACTACTGGATTGGACGGTAGTTGTATTTTTAGTTTTCGGAGGAACCTCCATTCTATTTTCCATAGAGGCTATGCTAATTTACACTCCCCCCAACAGTGTGCAGTGTTCCCTGTTCTCCACGTCCTCGCCAGCATCTACTGTTTTTTGTCTTTCTTTAATTTTTGCAAGTTTGCATTGCTTATAGAGTACACCGTAGTTTTCAAGGAAAACACACCAGCAAATACCGGTACTAGGATATGCATACGTACGTGCGCATCAGTGTGTGCCTAGAGACCCGGGAAACCGGTCCATGATGATAAGTCACATCGATGCGCTCCTTCAGCAGATATTTACAGAGACTGGCGAGTGGCGAGGCCCGAGTACGCAGAGATGCGTGACCGCCACCCCCTGCCTTTGCCCGGACCGGCTCCCGACTGCTCCCTTCTCTTTATTCAGGTCTTGGCTCCACGGCCCACCTTGGAGAGGCCTTTGCCGCCCCGGCGCCCGCCCTGCGCCGTCATGTTTGCTCTCCCTGGTCCTCAGAGCGCCCACTCCCGTCAGGTCGCCTGTGTCTGTGCCTCGCTGGGGAAGGCAGGGCCTGGCGTGCCCTGCGCTCCTCTCTGCCCTCGGGACAGGAGGTGGTCAGGGAAGGTGGTCCCGTGTCCTCAAGGCGGAGTCCCTCGCAGATGGTGCTGAGGTGGAGAAGCTGCGCTGCTGCTAGAACAGAGTGGGCGCTGCTGACCGCGCCCGCCTGAGGAGGGTTGGTGGCAGAGGCTGCGCCACGTGCACGCCCCGAGGCAGGTGGTCGTCGAGGCCTTCAGGCTGCAGCTGCTGGGCAGGGTGTGAGCCAGGAGCGTTGCAGCTGCGGGGCGGGCAGGTGGGCCGGGCCTGGGGAGTCACCATCCAGGAGCACGGAGCCCCCGGAGCAGAGGGCACGGCCATCGCCTTCTCCCAGCGTGGGGGCTGTGAGGCGAGTTGTGCGGTTGCAGATCACCAGAGGAGGAAAAGCGCGCCCAGAGGCGGGAGCCCTCCAATCACAGGGCAGTGCAGAGGCTGGCACCCTCCAGTCACAGGCCAGCGCAGGGGAGGGCGCCCTCCAGTCACAGGCTGACGCCCTCCAATCACAGGGCAGCTAGAGGCAGTCACCCTCCAATCACAGTCCAGCACAGGGGAGGGCACCCTCCAGTCACAGGCCAGCGCAGGGCAGGGCGCCCTCCAGTCACAGGCCGGCGCCCTCCAATCAAAGGCCAGCACAGAGGCGGGCACCCTCCAGTCACAGGCCAACGCCCTCCAATCACAGAGCAGCCAGGGGCTGGCGCCCTCCAATCACAGGGCAGCCAGAGGCTGGCACCCTCCAATCACAGGCCGTGGCATTGGCCGCCCTCATCTGCTGCTGAGAGTTCTGTCGAGTAGGAGGAAGGAGGTCCCTTCAGGACCATGGGCCTGAAAAGGAATGATGGGGCCAAATTGATAGTTTAGCCACTGCCTAGATTCTAGAGATTTCCATCTTTTTTGGTTGTAAAATGTAAAATCAAATCTTTTATATTGGCTATGTTTAGGACTGGAACAACTACTGTAAAAATGATTTTTTTAAAACCTGTGCTTGAAGGTTGCGGCGGCTCAGCCTGGAATCCCAGCACTTTGGGAGGCCGAGGTGGGCGGATCACCTGAGGTCAGGAGTTTGAGACCAGCCTGGCCAACATGCAGAAATCCCGTCTCTACAAAACATACAAAAATTAGCCGGGCGTGATGGCGCACGCCTGTGATCCCAGCTACTCGGGAGGCTGAGGCACAAGGATCGCTTTGAGCGCAGGGGTCAAGGCTGCAGAGACAAGGCTGTGATTGCTCCACTGCATGCCAGCCTGGGTGACGGGGCGAGCCCTTATTTCGAAAATAATAATAACGATTCAAACGTTACTCCTTGGAGTTCTTCCGGTTGGCTTTTGTTTTACCATTTGAAGCCACAGCTCAGTGGCATGAAGCACGTTCACGTTGCTGTGCAGCTGTCACCTGCGTCCACCTACAGAAGATTTCCACCCTCCCAAACAGAAACGCTGCCCCCGTGAAACACGGATGCCCCGCCCCTCCCCTGGGCAGCCCCGCTCCGCTTGCTGTCCCCATGGCTTTGAGTGCTCTAGGGACCCCATGTCAGTGGGACAGACAGGATCTGCCTGCCCCTCTGTGCCTGGCTCGTGTCACTCAGCGGAAGGTCCTCGGGGCTCATACACGCGGTGGCACGTGGCAGGATTTCCTTCCTCGCTAAGGCCTTATTCTCTTTACGCATCATCTGTCAATGGACACCTGGGACATTATTCGGTTTGGGGAGCAGTGGGCTCCCTAATTTCTTAAGGTCGCGTCTCTGTTTTGCTGTCAGATACTGGGAGAGCTGGGCTTGACTTTCTTTGCGTTTGCGGGAGGAATGCCCCCCACGCCGCACGCCGCGCAGCTCGCTGGGCAGAGGCAGAGGCAGAGGCAGCAGCAGTACGACCCCTCCACGGGGCCTCCCGTGCAGAACGCCTCCAGCTTGCACACGCCGGGAGGCTGCCCCAGCCGGGGTCCGCGCTGCAGCGTCTTTGCAGGTCTCCCAGCAGCAGGCGACAGAGCCACAAGCACAGCTCTCAGTCCAGGGAAGGACCCAGCAGCCAATCGCAGCGCCGCCACCTTTCCTGCCAGGCCGGCGCTCGCCACCAGGCAGGCTGTTTAGCTTGCGCTCCACCTCCCCACCCAGGAGCAGGCAGCTCCCCAGGCCCGCCAGCCTCTGCCTGCGGCACCATCCCAGGTACCCAAAGGGGCTGCCCTCCAAACCCGGGCACGGGATGAGTCCTGACCCACATGGGCTGCAGTACCAGAATATTCTCGGTGGTCTGTGCTTCCCCAGGAATCTGTGTTTCCAGTGAGTGTAAAGGACTAGGTCTAACTTGTTCAATGTTTTTCCCCTACTAAGCACTTCTGATGAAATGGTGAGGGCCGTAAGTCAGCGTTCCGGGTAAAGGTTTTAGTGGAATTGAGAACCGAATGCGTTAATGACGGGTTGCTTGCTGCCCTTGAGGGTAACCAGTTATTGCAAACACTCTGCCTCTGTCACCTCGTCTGCCCTCGGCTCCTGCGGGGAGCACCTCTTTCTTTTTTTTCTTTTCTTTTTTTTTTTTTTTTTTTGTTAGACGGAGTCTCGCTCTGTCGCCCAGGCTGGAGTGCAGTGGCGCGATCTCGGCTCACTGCAAGCTCGGCCTCCCGGGTTCACACCATTCTCCTGCCTCAGCCTCCCGAGTAGCTGGGACTACAGGCACCCGCCACCACGCCTGGCTAATTTTTTTTGTATAGAGACGGGGTTTCACCGTGTTAGCCAGAATGGTCTCTATCTTCTGACCTCGTGATCCGCCCACCTCAGCCTCCCAAAGTGCTGGGATTACAGGTGTGAGCCACCGCGCCCGGCCAGCAGCACCCCTTTCCATCGGCTCCATGCAGACAAGCAGCACCCCCCCAGCAAGTCACAAAGCTGCCTCTCCAGGTGCATTCAGACTTGCAGGTGTGGCTGTGGCCATGGCGTCCAGAGCCCAGAGTACAGCACCACCTGCCCCGCCCCATCCCCCACCAGGCCCTATGGCCATAGAGAGCCCTTAGGACAAGATTGCAGAGCAGATGAAGCTGGTGAGAGAGCTCAGTTATCTGTGAAAGAAGTTGCTTTTGCTACAAGCTGTTTAAATTAGAAGTTGAAATGTTTCTCAATATAATATGGCAGACGGTAAAGGCATCTGAAAAACTGGCCATGGCTGCTTCTCTAGTGATTCTTTGGCACCAGCCTACTCAGATTCTAGAGCAGGGGGCATCTGGGGTGTGTGCACAGCATCTGGGAACTGCAGGTTCCCCCACCAGCACCCAGTGTGGGCTGTACTGGGGACCGCCGGGAAACCGCCTTCCCTCATTCAGGTCCTTCATCTGAGCCTGTGACAAAGGGGCTGGAGTCTCTGTCTTCACAGTTGATGGGCTGCTCCTGTCTTTCAGGAGAACCAGGTGCATCAGCGCATTGCGGAGCTGAGGAAAGCAGGTCTGTGGTCCCAGAGGCGTCTGCTGAAGCTGCAGGAGGCCCACGACCCAAGTCCCACTGGGACTATCTGCTGGAGGAGATGCAGTGGATGGCCACAGACTTTGCCCAGGAGAGGTGGAAGGTGGCCTCTGTGAAGAAGGTGGGTTGGAATAGTACTTTGTGGAAATCACATCGTGAAAGAGAATTGAAGAAGTAATTATATTATGTAAAAGAAAATTTCTAAATTTAATATGGCCAATTTAATGTTTGAGTTTTCATCACTAACTCTAAGACTTTACCTGACTGTAAGTCTTTTTTTTTTTTTTTGAGACGGAGTCTCACTCTGTCACTCAAGCTGGAGTTCAGTGGCTCAATCTCGGCTCACTACAACTTCCGCCTCCCAGGTTAAATGGACTCTCCTGCCTCAGCCTCCTGAGTAGTGAGGATTACCGGCACCTGCCACCATGCCCAGCTAATTTTTTGTATTTTTAGTAGAGATGGGGTTTTGCCATGTTGGCCAGGCTGATCTCGAACTTCTGACCTCAAAGTGATCCATCTGCCTCGGCCTCCCAAAGTGCTGGGATTACAGGCATGACCCACCACCCCCGGCCATGTGGACAATTTCATACCAACTGGCATTTCATGTCTGGCCATGGCACCGTCTAAATTGAGAAGGATTATCTCGAATTATGTTTGCATAGAAAGCGCTGTGATAATTGTGGTTCATGTTTCATCTGGACTTTATTGCCCATTAACATAAGTGTCTTTGACTGACAGTAAAGGGATATTTTCTAGGGGAATATTCATTTTACTTTTTATTATTGAATATTATTAGAATTGTTGCTTGAAGCAGTATCATGAATGGATACTAAAAATGGAAAAATAGACTTTCTTTGGAATTCTCCAGAATTAAATATGTATATCTAGTAAAAAACAAGATGTTTCCATATTACTGTGTGCGTGGAGACCCTCACAGACAATGTGGCGATTGTCTTCAGATGGTCAGAGCTGTGGCCCGGCAGCTGCAGGACAGGACGCGCAGGGAGGCCGGGGCCAGGAGGGAGGAGCCGAGCAGGCTGAGGCAGACGTCACCTGTACTACCAGAGAAATCGAGCGTCCCTGGTCTAGTACTGCGCAGGTAAACACACGTTTCCTCTACAATTTGCCCTCAAGTTTTCACTCGGGAGCTAATGATTTTATATTTTAATTCATGATTTTCTTTTAGATCGTAGATTATCTTTTAGATAGTAGAAATAAAGCTGCAAATTGAATTTCAAGAGAAACAAAAAAAGACATTAAATTTGAATAAATATTCAAAAAGAGGTAACCAAGTAAGTTAATATAGTGTACTTATTCAAAGAGTCGTCATGTTATAGCCCACTGCCAAGGTGAACTGTGAGAATTCATTGTTATGCTCCTGTGCTTTGTGACATGGCATAATGAGGCTGAAGCCCTGAAAACATTATGAATTATGCCTTTGTAGGTAAAGATTCCAGCATCTTGGAAGCAAGTGCTCCACTGGAAAATAAAAGCCACGTGGTGAGTGTTTTCTTTGTGATATCAGAACTTCATGTTCCGGGTGAGGGGCTTCAGGGTGCCCGTGTCCTTGCCGGGGGGCTCCGGTCTCCAGTCTCCTCAGCATTTCCCTCTGGTCTCCCTCCAGAGAGGACAGATCTACTCACGATCTTTGGGACCACCCAGAAAGGGTCAATTTCAAAATCGAATTTTCTCAGGATGACTTCAAATCAAAACAGAAACGTGTGGTCTTGCCTTTGGTTTTTCCGCCCAAACTGCCTTTTGGCTTTGCCGTGTGGGGACCGGGCACCTCGACTGTCCTCTGTGTCCTGTGATGGGGCAGGTTACGCCATGTCTGATCAGTAGGACAGCGTCCCTTGGGTTCATACCCTTTATCTGCAGTTCTAAAACTCTGAAAGCTCAGACAGCAGAAAGGTTTTGCCCACTCAGTGTTGCTCACTCATTTTGCAGCAAACCTGACCCACACCGAGGCCAGGCCAGCCCCGCGGTCCTGGTGGGTGAGTGTGTCTGGGTGCTATTGCTGTGGAAACGTCGGCGTGTTTGGTCATGGCTGCCAGATGCCGTCCCTAACACTTTCCCATGCTTATTTGACTTATGTCATTACCTTACTTCTCTGAAACAGTCTGAATTCCAAACCCTGTGTGGCCCTAAGGATTTTGGATAAGGGACTATGTACCTATAATATAAATAAGCCATATTATTTACAATCATGAGTTTCTGAATGTTCACTTTTTTTATTTTTGGAGACAGAGTCTTGTTCTGTCACCCAGGCTTTAGAGTACCACAGTGTGATCTCGGCTCACCGCAGCCTCCGCCTCCTGGGTTCAAGCGATTCTCCTGCCTTAGCCTCCTCGGTAGCTGGGACTACGGGCATGAGCCACCAGATCCAACTAATTTTTTGTATTTTTAGTAGAGACGGGGTTTCACCATGTTGGCCAGGCTGGTCTTGAGCTCCTGATCTCAGGTGATCTGCCCGTCTCACCCTCCCAAAGGGCTGGGATTACAGGTGTGAGCCACTGTGCCCAGCCAGAATATTCACTTCTAAATGTGGGTGTGTATTCAGGTGACTTGGGATTAAAAAAAAAAGAAAAAACCCTTATGGGATTTTATATTTAGAAGTTCTGTTGTTGAAATATGAACCTGTATCTGTTGTTGCAGTGGCAGAAGGCTGCAGCACAATGAATGATTATTGTGAAAGCTGGTAATTTTGTGCCCACAAATAATTGTCAAGAACTTTCTAATAATAAAATACAGAAATAGATTAATAGTTGCTACAAACATAAAGAGAGACTCCATGGTAGAACACTTTAGGAAGCACATTTTATCTTTTTTGAACCAACATGTATTTCCAAACATGTAAGTAATAATATCAAGCGTGGTGGGAAGATTGGATTGGAGGCTGATTCTGATCTGTGTGTTGGGATGAACTGTGGCATTCACAGCATTGAGCAAAATCATCTTCAAGGACAGCGTTTAATTCTGTTGTTGACAAGTCTTTTAAGAAAAAGTACTAGTTTGGGAATTTTTCACAGATACAAATAAGCTTGACCCCTAAATTTAAAATATTATTTAAAAAATAAAATGTCAGATTTATTCATCTGTCACAGAGTTTATTCTGTTGATGGTAATATTGGCTTTGGCTAATCAGAGATTTCGACATGCAGGCATCCAGCTGAAATGTGACTTGGTGCACCCCTATGATGTGAGTTTGTGCTGTATTTAAGAAAAAGATTTTACCCCATCTCTACTAAAAATAAACTTAGTCGGGCATGGTGGCATGCACCTGTAGTCCCAGCTACTCGGGAGGCTGAGGCAGGAGAATCGCTTGAACCCGGGAGGTGGAGGTTGCAGTGAGCTGAGATCGCACCAGTGCACTCCAGCCTGGGTGACAGAGTGAGACTCTGTCTCAAAAAAAAAAAGAAAGAAAAGAAAAAGATTTTAAACATCCACTTTATATGCTTTATCTTTCAAATTTAATGGCTAAATTTAAAATACATATACCGGGTGCAGTGGCTCATACCTATAGTCCCAGTGCTTTTCTACCCATTCACTCACCCACCCACCCATTCATCCATCCATCTACCCACCTGTCTGTCCATCCATCCATCCATTCACCCACCTACCTGTCTACCTACTCATCTGTCCCTCCATTCATCCACTCACCCACCCATCCACTGATCCACCTACCAACTTGTCTATCCACCCACCCACCTATCCATCCACTCATCCATCTATCCATTCATTTACCCATCTACTTTTCCATCCATCTATTCATTCATCCATCCATCCACCTATCCTTCTGTCTACTCATCCATTCACCCACCGACCCACCCATCCATATATCCATCCATCCACCCACACACCCATCCACTCAGCCAGCCATCCCGTCCATTCATTCATCCATCCATCCACCCCATCCGGCCATCCATCTATCCATCTACTCATCTGTCCATCCATCTACCCATCCATCCACCCATCTTCTTATCTACCCATCCATCCATCCGTCCATTTTTAATCACCTACTCAAAGTGGAAAACCAACACATGCCCCTAGGAACTCACAGTCCTGGTGGTGAGTATCGGAAAGCACAGGGAAAGGAGTGCCTGACCTGGGAGAACGGAGGTCATGCTGAGTCTTCAGAGCAAATAGGAAGTTCCTGGATGGTTACGGGGGAGGGAAAGTCACGGCAGCAGGAGTAGCGCACACATCACATGCATGTGACAGGGAGCAGTGCAGTGCATTCAGGAAGCTCGGGGCTGTGTGGTGAGGACTCAGAACGCAGGGAGAAGGCGGCACAGGCCCAGAGGATGAGGGGCTGTGGGTCAGAGAATGGTGGGAACCTCCCCAAATCCCAAGTTCCCTGAGGCCAGCCCAGGGCCAGCCTTGTGTGCGGGTGTTTCTGAGGATGGCGCGTCTCTGCATGAGCCTTGTGTGTCATGTGCAAGAGTGTGTGTTGTGTCCTATGTGTGGGAGGGAGCTGCCGGCGGTGCATTTGTGGGGGCCGAGGGCCAGTCAGGATGTGCCATTAGAACCACGTGGCTCCTGAAAGCAAGCCCGTGATACCAGAGATACCTGGTAGTAGCATCTATATCTGATTAGCTGTACATCTCTTGACAGTCTTTTTAAAAGCATGAGTGAAGAAAGACATAAACTTCCGGATTTGCGTAAGTGAGCTTGCCAACTAAGGAAACACATGAGTATTATCTGTATCTTCAGGAGCACTTGATTAGACTCCAGAAACAGAAACTGCAGCTGCTCCCACCACCCCCACCACCACAGGCCCTGCCCGGGGCACAGCCAACCACACAAGTGCAAGTGCAGCCGTCACCCGCCTACCACAGCAGAGCCCCCAGCTCACCACAGTCACGGCCCCGAGACCCAGAGCCCTGTTGATGGGCACCACCATGGCCAACCTCCAGGTAGCCCGGCTTGTAAGCGTTCGGTCATCATTGCTTTTTTTTTGCTTTTTTTTTTTTTTTTTTTTTGAGAAGGAGTTTCACTCTTGTTACCTGGGCTGGAGTGCAATGGCCCAATCTTGGCTCATTGCAACCTTCCCCTCCTGGGTTCAAGTGATTCTCCTGCATCAGCCTCCCCATTAGCTGGGATTACAGGCATGCACCACCACGCCCGGCTAATTTTGTATTTTTAGTAGAGACCGGGTTTCACCATGTTGGCCAGGCTGGTCTCGAACTCCTGACCTCAGGTGATCCACCCACTTCAGCCTCCCAAAGTGCTGGGATTACAGGTGTGAACCACCACGCCTGGCCTCATCATTGTTTTTAATACCTGATGGGGGCTGATGATTTCAACCCCTGAGGAAGGATAACGCAGTGTGACAGGGCAGGGCATATGTGATCCTTGTTTCTTGTTATTTAGACTCGAGTTTCCACCTCCCACCTGCAAGGCCCAAGACTGACGTCAGCGCTGACGTACCAGATGGCCCAGGTTGCTGTGGCCACGCCCCCTGTGGTGTCTGTCCTGGCAGTTGTGGTGCTGTCAGCCAGGGTCACAGTGCTTCCATCAACGCAACGGGATCAGTGTTGTGATAAGGCAGCTGCAAAAAGCGGCAGGTAGGCAGCCACCTTCGCCTCACCAAACTCGAAACAACTCACTTGAGTGAGTTGCATCAAACCTTTCTAAATTTCTCATTCTAGAAGTTGCTGAGTTGTTCTGCCATGTGTTAACTTTTTTTTCTTATCAGTAAAATCTTTTATTTGGTTTATATTTCAAATGTAATTTAAAAAGTCTATAAGACAGGAAATTCGATAATATGAAAGCAGGGAGAAACTAAGTCGCACCATTTAGCTAAGCTCAGGGACAACGTTCATTTATAATAAATCAAACATTTGATTTTTTTCATGCCATCAGTTGTACTTAAACATATCCATCATATTTCAGTTGCAAAAGATGGTGAAGAACTCAAGCTGAAGAGGTGTCTGCTGAATTTTGTTGCTTCGGTAGGAGCTTTTCACCATCAGTTTTTAGAAAGTACGCATGACTCTCCTTCTGTTGATATCTCTCTTGATTTGGCAAAGAGTACAAGGAGGACCGCAAAGGGTTGCCATATAATCATCACAAATAGATCCAGGGATGCCATATCACGTCCTGTAGAGAGTCCTCATTGCGACGCTTGCTCCACACAGCATTCATTCATATCAGCTGCAACTTGACACCCAAGGCACGGGAAACAAAACGTGCCACAGAGGCAGACTCCACAGTCGCTGAAGCAGTCACACATGCCTGTCTGCCAGTTGGAGTTCTGGGGTGCCGGACCGAGACCGACTCCCACAACGACCATCGGCGCCTCATGTGTTAATTTTTTAAGACACCTAATTAGAGCCTCATTCCTTGCACCTCCCCCTTTTAAGCAAATGGAGCAGAGGCCGCTGTACCCCCCAGCAAGAGCTGCTTGCCTCTATTAAGGGGAGATGCGGCATGGGCGTTATTTCTCCTTTTTAAGGCAGCAGGCATTTCCTTTACCATCATTGCCAGGCAGGTTACTCCTCTGAGCAAATCAGCGGCAATGATGAGTGTGAGATGCAGATCCTTGTCCATGCGCACTTCGTGTGTCCTGCGTGCTGTCTCTCTGCTGTCACCACAGGGGGCCAGATTGGCTGTGCAGCCTCTGCACATGCAGCAGCTCCGAAAGCTGAAACACCACCAGCAGTAAAAAGCTGTGCAGCCCTCAGCCGCTCCAGGCCTGCTGCTGCACAGCGGAAGGTAAGTGGCCGCTGGGCTTTGTGGGAGCTGCATCTCACACTCATCATTCAGGGCCCTTAGGCCAGAGTGGGGCTGGACTGAGCCCCTTCCTTTTGGAGGCAGCCGTTAAACAGAGCTGAGGAGGCTCCCTGCATGGGCTTCTGGAGGTGGGGAGGGGCCGAGTGTCAAGGAACTCTGACCCTGTAATTTTTACATATATTTGCTCTCTAGGGGAGAGCTTGCTTTGCTGTATAGTATAATTTTTCAAAAATATTTACAATGATTTCTGTGAAAAATCACTCTGACAAGGACTTCTATTTCTGGTAATATGGTAGATGAGAGAACCTGAAAATCTATCTCAACAAAACATCTAAAAATGCCAGATTTTCAAAAAGTGCCAGATAAAATATATAAAACCGTGAATGAGTCTGCAGGATAGTGAGTCTAGAAACCAGGCGAGGGCTGAAGTCTAAGGAGGTAGTTCTGTGCTAAAGACACTCTATGGCCTGGGTCCCCATGGACCCAGATGACCTAGAACTTTGAGGTAAGTTTGGGGAGCAGTCTGGAGAAGCCTTGGGCCCAGGGAGGGGCAGAACCAAATTGGAGACCCCCATATAAGGCTGGGCTCACAGAGGGATACAGCAAACACTACCAGGAAATGATGAAGTGGGCAAACTACTACTCTAAGCTTCACTGCAGAAACAGTATCTCACTTGGCCATGGCTGTGGATGGAACATCTTTAAAAAGTCTCTCCTATAAATTTATGGCCCCTGGCTAGCACTCTCCATCACAGGTATAGGGCCAAAGTTCATATTATTTACATGTTCAAAAGAACTGCAAACTGTGACTTTTAATTGCAAGCATATCTGGAGCTATAGTGCCCCCAGGCCTCTGGTAGAAAGAAATGTATGTCCTTGCAGGAGGAACCCCCAACCCAGGCCTCAAGGAATTCCAGCCAGCAGGATCCCTAGACTATAAGCTCATAGTGGAAAATCACAGCACACACAAGAGAAGGGGCCTCAGAAGTTATGGCCAAAAGAAGCACACCTGCAAAGACTCAGATGTTAGAATAGGAAATGCAAATATGTTTAATGTGTTTGAAGAAACAAAGGAGAAGCTAAAAAGCATAAATAAGCAAGAGAGTATCAGAGGCTAAGCAGATAATAAATGAACCAAATAGAACCTCTAAAAATGAAAAATGTAATAATTGAAATTCAAAACTTAATGGAAGTAATCTTGATCCCTACCTCACACCCCATAGAAAATTAACTCAATGAATCATAGACCCAAACATGAAATTCAAAACTATGAAACATAGGAAAAAAGTTTTGTGACTATAGGTTAAGTAAACATTTCTTAGATATGACACCAAAAATAGAGCCTATAAAAGGAAAAAAATTGGCAAGTCATACTTTAATAAAATTAAACCTTCTTGCTATGTGAAAACCATTGTTTAGAGAATGAAAAGACAAGTTACCAGGAGAAAACCTTTGCCAGTCATGTAGCTGATTAAGGACGTGTAACCAGAACATACAAAAAACTGTCAAAGCTCACTAATACAAAAACAACTTATTTTGTACAGTGGGCAACAGATTTGAGCAGACACTCCACCAAAGAAGCTCTCTAGGTGGCAAATAAGCACTGTCCTCTGGGAAATGCAAATAAAAATCACAATGAGAAACTACTGCACACCCGTGAGAATGCCTTAAAAAAAAAAAAGACAAGACCAAAACCAAGTGTTAGTGAGGGTGTGGAACAACAGAAATTCTCATACCTTGTTGGTGGGACTACAAGATAGTGGAGCCCTCTGGAATCAGTTTGGCAGTTTCTTATAAAATAAAACAATCATTTACTGTATGACCCAGCAATCCTGCCCCTCATTCTTTATACCAGAGAAATGAAGACATATGTCCACACAATAACCAAATACTGTAACCACAATGAAAAATGATGCAAGTGTTCACAGAAGCTTTATTCATTTACCTAAAACTGAAAGCAACCCAGACACTCTTCAACTGGCCAATGGGTAAACAAACGGCAGCCCACCGGTTCCATAAAACAGCACTCAGCAGGAGACAGGACTGGGCCACTGATGCTGGGGGCAGCGGGGATAAGCCTGAAATGTCTTATGCAGAGTGAAAGAGGCCACACTTAGAAGGCTGCAGTTTTTGTTTTTATATGACATTCTGGAAAAGACAACACTATAGCAACAGAGAAGAGCTCTGCAGTCACGAGGGGCTGGGGCAGTGGAAGGACTGACTTTCAGAGGGACAAGAGGGAATTCTGGGGGGCTGTGGAAAGATTCTGTATCTTGATGCTGATGGTTGTTACATGGCTGTGTGCATTGATCAAAACTGAAGTATGCATCAGAAACAGCGACTTGGACTGTATGTAAATTATACTGCAGTTTTTTTGTTTGTTTGTTTGTTTGTTTGTTTGTTTTTGAGACGGAGTCTGGCTGTGTTGCCCAGGCTGGAGTGAAGTGATATTGGCTCACTGCAAGCTCCGCCTCCCAGGTTCACATCATTTTCTTGCCTCAGCCTCCCAAGTAGCTGGGACCACAGGTGTCCACCACCATGCCTGGCTAATTTTTTTGTATTTTTAATAGAGACAAGGTTTCACCATGTTAGCCAGGGTGGTCTCGATCTCCTGACCTTGTGATCTGCCCGCCTCGGCCTCCCAAAGTGCTGGGATTACAGGCGTGAGCCACCGTGCCCAGCCTATACTGCAGTTTTAAAAAAGTTAATGGAAGGGTTAAACAATACATTAGAGAATTTGCGAGCTACAGAGAGATCTGGAGAAATAATCATGATAGCATGAGACTAGCAAACAAGACAAAGAAGACAGGCTGGCTGCAGTGCTCAGGCCTGTAACCCCAGCACTTTGGGAGGCCAGTGTGGGTGGATTGTTTGAGCCAAGCAGTTCAAGACCAGTCTGAGCAACAGAGTGAGGCCCCGTCTCTGCAAAAAAAATAAGAAAAGAAGAGGGAGGGGTGAGAAGATCTCACATTCAACTGAGTTCCAGAAGAGAATGAAAAAAGAAAATATTCAAAGAGTGGATGGCTGAGAATTTTCCAGAATGGGTTTAATTTACCAGTCTAAAGACTGAAGAAATACAACAAGTCCCTAGCAGGATACAGACAAAGATACCTGTGCCTGACACATCTGGGCAAACTGTGGCACTCAAAGCAGATGAGAAAACCATGAAAGAATCCAGGAGGAAAACAGATTTCTCACGAAGGAAAGGCGATTCCATGGACAGCTCCCTTCTTAGTAGGAACTGTGGAAACCAGAAGTAGCTTTAAAGTGCTGGGATAAAACTGTCTTTCAAGGATAAGAGTGAAAACAAAGACATACTCAGACAAAAACTGAAAACATTTACCACAAACAAACTCACCTTAAGCAGGCAAATGGCCCTCGATGTGGAAAGCAAAGCTCAGGGGACAGAGGGTGTACTGAAGAGTTGGCGGTGATGATCCCTGGAGGGTCCCCCCAGGGCCAAGAAGGGGGCTGGGAGCCATGCATGGTGAGACTGGAGTGTGAGCTTGAGGACAGCAAGAATCAGACGACCACCCCAGGCTGCCAGGGTGTGGCTCAGCCTATCTGCCCCTCACGCTGAGCTGCACAGATGCAAACACCTTCCAAACACAGTCACGAGGCCTTAGGAACGTCTCCAGAGCTTCCGTCATCATCCGGGTCTCCTCGTCAGCTGCTGCCTGGTGAGGGCTCTGCCAGAGGACAGCCCGCCATCAAGGCTGAGGAGGCCGCCCCCACGTGCCACCCACGAAGCTGCCTGCAGGCCGGGAGGCTTCTCTTTTGGCTTCAGCCACATGTGAAGGAGAACCTGTCAAGCTCCGGCTGATGAAGTCTTCAGAAGGGCTCAGAGTCAAGCGGCAGAACTCCTGGTGCCATCTGCTTAATTACAGGCGCGGGTTTTCCTCGGTGTTTTGATCTATAAATACGAAAAATAAGAACAGCACCGGTGCTGAATCTATGTCATCCCATGAATGGATGAACTGGTTGAAAAAAAAATAGCCTGATACTGGGAGCCAAAAAGGCCGAAGGGATCGTGACCAACTCAGCATTCCACTGGAGGCTATATGATCAATCAGCAAACTGTTTATCCTGAATGTAGGATGTGAGTAAAACTCACAGCTGCGCCTGCTGCCAGAAGGTTTGCTGAGGGCGGTCACTCCCTGGCACTGGGGTCCTTGAAGTTATCTACTGGGAAATCTAGCGCCTGTTGTTCGAAGGATGCAGTCTCGCAAGCCTGCTGTGAACCAAACGGCGGACTGCCGATTACCCGACAATCACTGCACTTTGTCGCGATCTCTTTTACCAATAAATACGGAGGGCTGTGTAAAGCTCTATCTCTTTTACCAATAAATATGGAGGGCTGTGTAAAGCTCAGGGCCCTTGTCCACTAGAGGCAAGGTGCCCCCTGACCCCTTCTTTCAAATATACTCTCTTGTCTCTTGTCTTTTATTCCCACGTTCGCCCCCTTTGTTCAGTCCACCAGGGATTGAGGGTGGTTACACGTGGCGCCCTGAACAGCGACAGAATCGGGCAGTTTACAGCCTGATCCATCTCACTGGGGTTAAATTTCACTTTTTGTATTTAGTTATTACCATAGTTTGTAATATGCTTATGTTATGTTGACTATTTGCATACCAATACTAATTGTAATGATCTCTCAGTCGGGATCATTGTTTTTGAACGCCTAGAGCCTTGTGATCAATTTTCGTACACATTTCTGTTGCACAGAAGTCTGTGGGAGCTGTCAAAGGATTCCAAGCATAAAATACATTAGGACTAAGTCTGCGGGAGAACGGAATGGAAATACAAAACCAGAATAAGGAGCGTTGTGGAACGTGGGTTGTTAAAGAGCAGCTTGGTTGTGTGGCATTGAGGCGAGGAGGCGGGGAGTGGCCGCCCACGGAGGGTCGGGCTCCTCGGAAGCAGTTTCCTGACTTGCATGGTAGTCCCTGCGGGCTCTGTTCTCATAGCCCAAGGCACAGTTTTGAACAGGAGGCACATGGTGTTCAAAAGCCACTGGTTCGGAATATGAGCAGGGCTTTCCCCTTTTGCCTGCTGGCCCCAGAGCTATGGGCTTGGTGGGCGGTGATTCTCTCCCACCTGATGGGAAGCGCTGTGACCTGGACCAGGAGCTGTAGGCCCCACCAAGAAGAGAACTGCGAGCAGCAGCAGGTGCATTTTAGAAGGTTCCTTGAGCGGGAGCAAGACCTCCTTTTCTGCCCAGTCACAGGACAGTGGTACAGAGGCCTTTTCCCTGTCATTTTTGCTGATGGTAGAGTCTCCAGGTGTGGTCCAGGGGAGCTGCTCCCCCAGGGCCGCAGCCCAGAGCAGCCGCCACCCCCGGATGCCTTCCATGAGCCCCGCAACCCCCAGGCCTTCCTGGAGTGGGCGCCTGGTGTTGCCTCCCACCCCTGCCCGGCGCAGCCCCTGGGAGCAGGAGCCGTGGGGAGGGCTGGACTGCAGTAAGGACGCCTCGTGGGATGTGCCAAACCGCTGCGTGGAGCCTGGGCTGACTTCTCTGGATCTTGGTGCAACTGGCGTGGCCCTTCCAGGAAGCCGGGCCACCTGGCTCAGAGACGCCAGACCCTGGCCGGCAATGGGGCTGCCAGGGGCGGGGACGCTGGAGGAGCTAGGGGTGTGGGCCACTGTGCTGCCTGCCCCGGCCTGGCGGCCTCTCCGTAGCAGAGCTGAGGCTGGGACGCAGGTGGGGGAGCCTGGATGCGCCTCCTTCCTCAGCCACGGGAGGATGAGGTCCAGGAGCGCAGCGGGGCCCACGGGGGAGCGCCTTCGGGTGCGGCTCGTCGCTGCCACCCGTACAGTGGTTTCTTTTTATTTCCCACGCCTCCCCACAATGATGTGGACGCCATCAGTGTCATTGGCAAGGGAGGGCCTTGTGCCACCCTCCAGAGACGTGGCTGCCACCCTGACCTGGGCGGAGTGTGGGGGTGGTTCTGCCCCCCTCCCCCCCGCCTGACGGGGGCTCCTCCTGCGGAGACCGGGCCCAGCTGAGCCTGTGGGTCCACCTCTTGATTGCCCAAGTTTGCATCTACCCAGTGACAAGGACCATCTCCTTGGAGCCGGGGCTGATGGGGGGGGCTATGACAGTTTGAGTGGGGGTGGCTGTGGGCCTTCCAGACCCGGGACCCTGCCTGTTACCTGGCAGGTGGACTCACTCTGCCTTCCTTTTTTGTTTTTTTTTTTTGAGACAGAGTCTCGTTCTGTCACCCAGGCGGGAGTACAGTGGTGCAATCTTGGCTCACTGCAATCTCCACCTCCCAGGTTCAAGCAATTCTCCCACCTCAGGCTCCGGAGTAGCTGGGATTACAGGCATCTGCCACCACACCTAGCTAATTTTTGTATTTTTAGTAGACATGGGGTTTCAGCATGTTGGCCAAGCTGGTCTCGAACTCCTGACCTCAAGTGATCCACCTGCCTCGGTCTCCCAAAGTGCTGGGATTACAGGCATGAGCCACTTGCGGCCAGCCTTGCTCTGCCTTCCTGACAGTGCAGACCTCGCTCCTGGAGGGCCAGACCCGTCCGACTCGCCCTAGAGTCTCTCAGCAACTAGAATGCACAGGGCCATGCGCAACACTCATGTCTGGAAAGGTGAAGGAGGGGTTGGCCGCCCCTCCATGGCTCTGCCGTCTTCCAGCTCTTTCTCTAAGGCCTGTCCTTTGAGTTCATAGATGAATACCCAGCAAGTCACAGTTCAGGCCTAGCAGCCAACCGGCCAACAGCCAAGAGCAGCCTACCACTGCAGCCCGCCAGGAGAGTGGCCTAGCCTCCGTGGCCCACCGTCCGCGGCCCACCAGGAAAGCACTGTTTCTGCCATCCCCCATGTCTCAGGTTCCCAAGGCCACGGGGACCGCGCCAGTGCAGGCCTACATGCAGGTAGGGGCAGCTCACACTGTGCCCCTCCCACATGGCCACACGGGGTCAGGCCAGTGGCTGCTGTGCTCCTTGCTGTCATTATCCTACTTTCAAGACCTACCCCCTTCCTCCGTAGAGGTAAGGAGACGGGAATGTGTGGACAGCTCAGGCCCACACTGCACATTGAAGGTCCCTCCTCCCTATTCTGTGCTCCGTGAAGGTCGCAAAGAGCCCTCGAGGCCCAGCCACGGACGCCTGCCTGAGCCCTCAGCAGCTGGTGGCCCAGCAGGTGAGTGCCCACCATCCTGCCGCCGGCATGGCCCCGGCACACCCCTCAGCCCCCACCCCACCCCCTCTCGCCTGGTCCCCACCGTCACCAACAGCTCTGTCCTCCTCTTGCCCCTCCCACCTCTTCCTTTGTGTGCTCAGCTGCTGTCCCTCCCGCTCCTCTCCCCTCTCACATCTCGAAACTCTGGGGAAGGATCCAGGCCCCCGTGCCACTGTGGAAGGGCCGGGACGGGCCTGCCCAATGCACTGCAGATGCCCCGGTGCCCACTCCTCCTACCTCCCCGAGTGTGCCCACGGTGCCCGCTCCTCCCACCTCCCGAGTGTGCCCACGGTGCCCGCTCCTCCCACCTCCCGAGTGTGCCCACGGTGCCCACTCCTCCCACCTCCCCGAGTGTGCCCACGGTGCCCCTCCTCCCACCTCCCGAGTGTGCCCACGGTGCCCACTCCTCCCACCTCCCCGAGTGTGCCCACGGTGCCCACTCCTCCCACCTCCCGAGTGTGCCCACGGTGCCCGCTCCTCCCACCTCCCGAGTGTGCCCCGGTGCCCGCTCCTCCCACCTCCCCGAGTGTGCCCACGGTGCCCGCTACCTCCCACCTCCCGAGTGTGCCCACGGTGCCCACTCCTCCCACCTCTCCGAGTGTGCCCACGGTGCCCACTCCTCCCACCTCCCCGAGTGTGCCCACGGTGCCCACTCCTCCCACCTCCCGAGTGTGCCCACGGTGCCCGCTCCTCCCACCTCCCGAGTGTGCCCACGGTGCCCGCTCCTCCCACCTCCCGAGTGTGCCCACGGTGCCCGCTCCTCCCACCTCCCGAGTATGCCCCGGTGCCCGCTCCTCCCACCTCCCGAGTGTGCCCACGGTGCCCACTCCTCCCACCTCCCCGAGTGTGCCCACGGTGCCCACTCCTCCCACCTCCCGAGTGTGCCCACGGTGCCCGCTCCTCCCACCTCCCGAGTGTGCCCCGGTGCCCGCTCCTCCCACCTCCCGAGTGTGCCCACGGTGCCCGCTACCTCCCACCTCCCCGAGTGTGCCCACGGTGCCCGCTACCTCCCACCTCCCGAGTGTGCCCACGGTGCCCGCTACCTCCCACCTCCCGAGTGTGCCCACGGTGCCCACTCCTCCCACCTCCCCGAGTGTGCCCACGGTGCCCGCTCCTCCCACCTCCCGAGTGTGCCCCGGTGCCCGCTCCTCCCACCTCCCGAGTGTGCCCACGGTGCCCACTCCTCCCACCTCCCGAGTGTGCCCACGGTGCCCGCTCCTCCCACCTCCCCGAGTGTGCCCACGGTGCCCGCTCCTCCCACCTCCCCGAGTGTGCCCACGGTGCCCGCTCCTCCCACCTCCCCGAGTGTGCCCACGGTGCCCGCTCCTCCCACCTCCCGAGTGTGCCCCGGTGCCCGCTCCTCCCACCTCCCGAGTGTGCCCCGGTGCCCGCTCCTCCCACCTCCCGAGTGTGCCCCGGTGCCCGCTCCTCCCACCTCCCGAGTGTGCCCACGGTGCCCGCTCCTCCCACCTCCCGAGTGTGCCCCGGTGCCCGCTCCTCCCACCTCCCGAGTGTGCCCCGGTGCCCGCTCCTCCCACCTCCCGAGTGTGCCCACGGTGCCCGCTCCTCCCACCTCCCCGAGTGTGCCCACGGTGCCCGCTCCTCCCACCTCCCGAGTGTGCCCCGGTGCCCGCTCCTCCCACCTCCCCGAGTGTGCCCACGGTGCCCGCTCCTCCCACCTCCCCGAGTGTGCCCACGGTGCCCGCTCCTCCCACCTCCCCGAGTGTGCCCACGGTGCCCGCTCCTCCCACCTCCCCGAGTGTGCCCACGGTGCCCGCTCCTCCCACCTCCCGAGTGTGCCCCGGTGCCCGCTCCTCCCACCTCCCGAGTGTGCCCACGGTGCCCGCTCCTCCCACCTCCCCGAGTGTGCCCACGGTGCCCGCTACCTCCCACCTCCCGAGTGTGCCCACGGTGCCCGCTCCTCCCACCTCCCGAGTGTGCCCACGGTGCCCGCTCCTCCCACCTCCCCGAGTGTGCCCACGGTGCCCGCTCCTCCCACCTCCCGAGTGTGTGGCCAGGCCCACATCTTATGTCTGCGAACCCAGCAGCACTGAGCCACTATCAATCCCCGATAAATGGCAATCATCGTGAAGCAGCCTTGTGGTCTGGGGTAAATACCAAGGTTCTTGGTCTCATGGCCAAGGAGATCGAGGTCGCAGACAGACACACACACACACAGTGAGTTTGGAGCAGAAGTTTAATAAGCAAAAAGGAAGAAGAGCTCTCCGTTGCAGAGGGGGCCTGAGCGGGTTGCTAAGTTGTAGTAAAGATGTCAAGGTTTCTTTTTTTTCTGTCGCCAGGCTGCAGTGCAGTGGGCTGATCTTGGCCCACTGCAACCTCCACCTCCCGGGCAAGTGATTCTCCTGCCTCAGCCTCTTGAGTAGTTGGGACTCCAGGCACACGCCACCACGCTCAGCTAAGTTTTGTATTTTTAGTAGAGATGGGGTTTCACCATGTTGGCCAGGATGGTCTCGATCTCCTGACCTCAGGTGATGCGCCTGCCTCAGCCTCCCAAAGTGCTGGGATTACAGGTGTGAGCCACCGTGCCCGGCCTGTCAAGGTTTTTACAAATGGGCTAGTGACGAGGGGTTAGAGGAGGGATGTCTTGTCCTCCCAGGGCCCAGGGTTTTAGCTGGGACAAGGTGTGCTATTTGTATAGAGAGTTTCTGTCAGACTCAGTCTGTGCTGCTCTGTGACACTTTTCTGCGAGGGTCTCTGGGTCTGCTCCCAGACATCTTCTTGGGGTTACAGGCACCCCTCAGTCTGCTTTTAGCTTCCCTTAGTGCACCTAAGGGGACGGGAATGTGCTTATTAGGGTCCACTGTTTTACTGGGGCCCATTGTGGAAGTGTGAAGTTTGGTGATCACCCAGGAGACACCCCCCGCACTCCTGTGCCCGAGCTGTCTCATCTGTGATTCACAGTCTGCTCTTTCTGGCTGCTTGTCGTGAGAAGTGATTTTGAACCCCGAGGTTAGAAAGGGAGCTATTTTTGAGCTGCTTTTTGTTAAAAGGCAAATTTTCTGCTGGGGACTGGCTTTACCCCGTCTACCTAAATCATTTCTTTCTGCCTCCTGTAACAGTCGCCTTTTGTGTTCTGCTGGCATTTGTTTGAACACAGTCCACAGGTTCAGTGGTTGCATCTCTAATCAGCTGCCAGTCCCCATCCCAGACATTCTTTGCATCTAAGCTGAGGTCTGAACTGAGTGGGGTGGGCTGGTGTTTCCATCCTCACAACTCCAGTGAGCCGGGTGTGGCCGTGGCCTGCGTCTCCCTGGCGGTTAGTGATGTTGGCATCATCCACCTTTTTCAAACAAAGCACTGGACTGAGAGAATTCACACACTGTATCCACCCAGTCCATGGTTTTTAGTAAAAGGTTTATAGAGGTGAGCAGCCATCACCACACACAACCTAAGAACATTTTCATCATCCCCAAAACAAACCCACACACTGGCCACTGTGTCCCCAGCCCCAACCCCCACCAACTCCCGGCCCCGGCACCCTTCAATCTCTGGCTGTGCCTGGGACACTCCCTATAGCCGGAGCCTTCCTTCAGTTAGCGTCAGGTTCCGGGTTCATCCACGGGGTGCCTATGCTGGTGCCTCACTCCTTTTTCTCTCCTGGTGTGGATTTCCCACGTTTTATTCTCCATTCATCAGCTGACGGACATGTGGTTTCTAGTTTTTGGCTACTGTGAACAGTGCTGCTGAGAGATTTGTGTACGTTTCTGTGTGGATGTAGGTTTCATTGATCTGGGGTGTACAAGGTGCATAGGAGAGGAAGTGCTGGGTCATGAGTGACTCTGTGTTTAACGCCCCAAGGCTTTGCCCAGCTGTCTCCACGTGACCTTCCCACCAGCAATATGTGAGGTGTCCACTGAACAGTCACAAGGTTCACAAATCTGGGGAGGAGAGCTTTTTTTTTGACGGAGTCTCACTCTGTTGCCCAGGCTGGAGTGCAGTGGCGCAGTCTCCGCTCACTGCAAGCTCCGCCTCCCGGGTTCACGCCATTCTCCTGCCTCAGCCTCCCGAGTAGCTGGGACTATAGGTGCCCGCCACCACGCCCGGCTAGTTGTTTTTTTTTTTTTTTTGTATTTTTAGTAGAGACGGGGTTTCACCATGTTAGCAATGATGGTCTCTATCTCCTGACCTTGTGATCCACCTGCCTCGGCCTCCCAAAGTGCTGGGATTACAGGCATTTGCCACCGCGCCCGGCAATTTTTTTTTTTGAGACGGAGTTTTGCTCTTGTTGCCCAGGCTGGAGTGCAGTGGCGCAATCTCAGCTCACTGCAACCTCCACCTCCCGGGTTCAAGCCATTTTCCTGCCTCAGCCTCCCAAGTAGCTGGATTACAGGCATGCACCACCACGCCTGGCTAATTTTGTATTTTTAGTAGAGACAGGGTTTCTCCATGTTGGTCAGGCTGGTCTCGAACTCGTGACCTCAGGTGATCCACCCGCCTTGGCCTCCCAAAGTGCTGGAATTACAGGCATGAGCCACCATGCCTGGCCAAGAGCTTGATTTTTAACATTAGCTCAAGGTTAATGCCCCCAACTCTCAGCAAAAGCATGACGGGTGCCCGCGTCCGTCTGGGAGTACTTTTCACCGTTTTACTAAGGCTTCATTGCCCGCAGCCATCCTGACCTCCACACTCTGAAAGTGACAAGCCCTGAAGTCTCCAGTCGGGGCAGGTGCTTGAGCTCTGACGCCCGGGCTGCCTGGCGCAGAGACCACGTGCTTGGGGAGGAAGGCTGTGTCCACTGGGGGATTCCTTTCCTCACATACAGGATCCAGTGATCAGCACTGCTCTGGAAGGAGGGTCAGGGTGGTGAGCGTTCAGTCCCTCCGGCCCTCTGAGCCCCAGCCTAGGCCGCCCTCTGCTTGCGCTCTTCCTGTGGAGGAAAGGGGAGGGCTCAGCACCACACACTCTGTCCCCTCATCGTCTGTGGGGCCCCGGGCTCTGCCCCTGGAACCCTGAGGACAGGAAGCCCTGTGCATGCAGAAACCAGGCCCTGGCCCCGCTGACAGCCCTCCCTGGTGCCACGTGTTTCCACCACTGGTGCCCAGGGGCTCCCCGCCCTTGGGCCAGAAGCTCGAGGACAACCTGTGTGACCCTCTGTTGCCTTCTCGCTTTCCTCTTTTTCCCTCTTTTCTCCACGTGTGGTGACGACGCCCTCTCTGCAAACGCCCTCCCCAGAGGGTTTCATGCCGGACTCTGGTGCCCTTACCTTGACAGACTCCTCCAGCTGGGACAGGGCCTCCTCGTACCGAGGAACCAGCGGCTGCAGCAGCTTGCTGGAGAGCTCGTGCCGCTGCAACTCAGGTGCCCCAGCTTCAGTTAGCATTCGGAGGAATCTCCTCTCCTGGAGAGAAGCTCATGGTGGAAGGGGGTTCTTGGGCCAGCCCCTTAACACCCACCAACAGCAGAAACTCCCAAGACCCTCGCAGCCTCACCTGCACTTTCAGGAGCAGTGTGAAGGCCTGTCCAGTTTTCCCAGCGCGAGCTGTCCTCCCAACCCTGGAATCAAACGCAGCTATCTCCAGACTGGCCCCTGAGCCTTCAAGAGTCTGACGGAACGACAGCTTCTCTCCACACCAACCCCACCCCACGCCAGTCAAGACGGTCCCACATCAACGCCCAGGAGCTCACAAAGCCCCAGACCCCCCAGTGGCCGCTGCGCCAGCGCTCACCGGTGCACGTAGGTTCTCAGGTACTGGGGGGCGTCGTAGTTCACCACCAGCTCCACACCCTGCACGTCGATGCCTCGCGCGGTGGCGTCCGTGCTGATGAGCCTGCCGGGACACGCAGCATTGTGGGCCCGACGTGCCAGGAGCAGGGGCCGTGGCAGCACCGGCCCTGCGGGGGGCAGCTCAGGCCTTTCTGGGAACTGGCTGCCATGGGGCTGGGGCACAGGAAGCCAATTTGCAGAAGGAAGCACCTTTTAGAGAGCCCCAGGCTGACCCTGGAGTGGGCACCCCCACCCCACAGAGGCCTTGCCCCTGCCCAGGAACTCACAGCTGGATCTTCCCCTGTTCAAACTGCTTCAGGATCATCCTCCTCTGGCCAGGCCCGTAGCGCGAGGAGAACTCAGCCACGTCCACACCCCCAAAAGCTTGCACCAGCAGGAAGAGCCTAGGCAGAGAGAAGGCTGCGGCCAAGTGATGCTGGGACCAGAGGCCACCTCTGCCACCCCCGCCCAGCCGGGGCCTCACCTGTGGGAGTTCTCTCGGGAGTTAGTGAAGCAGAGAACCCTCGAGAAGCCCATCTCCAGGACCAGGTGCAGGACGACCAGCGGCTTAGAGCTGAGGCTGCAGGGCACGTAGTGGTGCTACAGGGACGGCAGGGGGTCGGGGTGGAGGTGAGGGTTGGTTAGGGGCCCCAGGTTCCCAGTGCAACCCTCTGCCCACACGGTATCCCACTCACCGTGAGCCCAACAGGAAAGGCATACTTCCCCGAATCCCCGTCCCCATCTGTATCTTCCAGGCCCCTGTGTGCTAGCCCTGTGGAGAAAAGCCGGGGCTGGTGGAGGCCCAGCTGCTGCAGCTTTTCAGGGTTCTGGGTCAGAGTAGCTGAGAAGAGCAGCTTCTGCAGGGGCATCTGGGGACAGCAGGTGCTGGAAGAGAAGGGGGTGTTGCTGGCACCCTACCAGTGGCTGCCCCGAACCTCCAGGGAACAGGATTCCTCATGCTACGCACTGTAGAGACTGCCGCAGACCAGGAGCAAGGTGGGTCCAGCTCACGTGACAGTACGATGCGGTTCTGTGCACCAGAGCTCAAGCCACCCTTATCTCTGGGCATTAAGGAAGGAGAGCTGTGTGCAGAGGACTCTGCTCAGGGGAGGCCAGCACCTGGGCGTGCTGCTGGATACCTGGCGGCTGTCACAGCCTGGGCCTGCCTTCGCTGGAGCAGGGCACAGGGGTCCGCGGGGTCCTCGCTCTGGAAGGCGGCCGCCACCACCCGCGGCAGCCAGGACTGATGCATGCTGTCAATCATCCGGTCAGCCTCGTCGATAATCTGCAGGAGACAGGGAGCCCGGGACTGGGTGGCGCGGCCCTGAGCTCAAAGCCCAGGCCCCTGGGGCGGGGACCTACCAGGAAGCGGAGCTGCTGGAGGCTGAATCCTGGGGTCTGGTCGATGTGGTCCACCAGGCGGCCGGGGGTGGCTACCACGATGTCAGCCAAGCAGCGGTACCCATCAGCTCTACAGACCAGAGAGCAGCTCGAGAGAAGGAAGCTTTCTCAAGGGCTTCCGGATAGCAAGACGCTGCCTCACCCCACAGCCCCGACTCCACCCCACATGGGAAGGGGGCCGGTGGGAGCTCCTCCTCTTCACGGGAACAGGTGGTTAAAGATGGTGGCCCCTCCTCTGCTCCCACGGTGCCTCAGGCCACCTGCAGGGCTGAGCAGGGACCCCCTGAAAAACCCGCACCCTGACACAACCTACGTTTTCTGGACGAGGCTCTCCTGCTCCTTGGCCAGAGACTTCTGTCCCGTAACCAGGGAGACTCTCAGAGGTGTGGCATCTGTGTAGATGTTGAAAACTTTGCTCACCTGCAGGAGAAGTCTGTCACTGGCCTGGAGGTAGCTGGTGTCCACCTACTGCAGCAAAAAGGACCCCAGATCTAATCTGGGTCCCCCAGGGGCTGATCGCTGTGCACTCAGCAGGGAAGCTGAGGCGGGCGGTGCCACGCTCCAGGTCTAGGGTCCACATACCTGCTGGGCCAGCTCCTTGGTGGGCAGCACAACCAGGGCACGGATGTGGCAGACCACTCTCGAAAGCAGGGCCTGAGGGGGAAGGAGCGCCTGCGTCAGCAAGGCTGTTACCTGTCCTCTGCACACCCGCTGTAGAGAAAGGGGACCCTCACACAGACCTGCACCACAGGGATGACGAAGGCCAGTGTCTTCCCACTGCCTGTTGGGGCAGAAACACAGAGGTCGCTAGGCCGGTAGCCACCTCTGCCCACCAGAAACCCACAGGCTGCGCTCTCCAGGAGGGCAGGAATCACAGCTGCCTGGACTGGATGAGGAAAGGCGAGAGAGAAGTCGTGTTTACGCCTAGGCCTAGGCCTGCCGCTTCCCTGCCTGTGACCTCTGGGCTGGGCTGCTCTGCTGGAGGCCTGGGAACCGCTCCCCAGAGGGATGGCACCAAGGCCCAGAGGAACGCCAGCCTCAGGAGACCCAAGTGGGAACCATGAGCTTGAGAGTGCTGAGACCACACTTGGCACCGATGTGGCAGGGACGCCTGACCCACGGCCACTCACAGCCTTGTGTGTGGGTGCCCAGGGAGGTGTTCCCTCAGCTGCCTGCCCGGGGCTGGGGCACCTGGAAAGTAGGACGAGATGCCGTGTGCCCGCAGCTGCTTCTGCAGGTCAGGATGGACGTCAGGGATGTCCTCGATAGGAACCAGGTCTTCGGTGACATTCCTTCTGACACAGTTAGGCTCAGCCAGCCACCTTGGCAGGAAAGGCTGGACCTGCCATCAAAAAGAAAGAGAGGCCAGGTGAGCGCTTTCCAGGCTCTCGCGCAGAAGCCCACGGTGGAAAAAGCTAGGGGAGGGAGGCTGGGGAAACCTCTGTCGTCTTCAGCTCCTTCTCAGCCCCAGGATGCGCTTTCCATACAGCCTTCAGAAGTTAAACAGTAAAAGCAGATGCCACTCCCTGAGCAAACTCACTCTGTAGCCTCCCATCAACCCACAGTGGCACCCACCCTCCCGCAGCCAGGAGGTCCTGTGACCTGGCGCTCGCCTGCCCCAGCCACGCCGGCGTCCCTGCCTCGAGGCCTCTGCCTGGCACCCCCAACCCCCAACCTTGACCTGGCTTCAAGTCTTTGCATCCCAACTCAAAGAGAACCTCCTCCACCTGCCCTACCTAAGGTGCCCGAGCACTCTGTCAAACTTCTCGCTTTCTTCACCTGTCTCGCCGGAAATCTCTTTACCGAAAACCACACGTGCTAAGCAAAAACACCAACGGTCAGGAGCTTGCAGAACGGCCTCTGACTTACTCCTGAGGCGGTGAGCGCACAGCAGGAAACCCCGCACGTTCACGCAAACACATCTTGCAGAACTGGCGCGGCGCGGCGGGAGGACAGGGGCAAGCCTAGCAGAGGAAACGGGAGCTCTGCACGTGCAGGATCCAGACCCCTAGGCGATGAAACTGCAGACCTGGCAGCGAGGCGCGGCTGTGACCCGGGAACATTCGCTGAACGAAATCTTCCGGGGCGACCGCCGCACTTAAGAATCCGCGCAGCCTACCCTCTCACGCCGACCACCCTCCCGCCCGCCGAGGCTCACCTTCGGCGCCTTCCTCTTCCCGAACCCCCCCAGCACCAGGCCGGGGACCAGGGGTCCGGCCGCCTCCTCCAGGGCCGGTCCATCTGGGGCCGCCTCGGCGCTGGCGCTGGTGCTGCGCTCCCCCGGCGCCTCCTCGCTGCTCCCTGCGCTGGGCTCCCCTGGCGCCTCCTCGCTGCTCCCTGCGCTGGGCTCCCCTGGCGCCTCCTCGTTGCTTTCTGCGAGGCAGACACCCACCCGGCAGCGCGTCAGCACCGAGTCGCCGGCGCCCCAGAGGGAGCCCGCTCGCCCCGCGGCCCACCTGCGCCCGCGTCCTCGCCGTCCGCCTTCCGTCGCTTTCCCTGCGGCGCCTCCGGGCTCCCCGGCTCCGCGTCGTTCACCCGCCGCCGCCGCCGGGGCCGCCGTCGCCTCCTGGTCGCCGGCTCGGTCGATGCAGCCGCCTCGGTCTGCGCGGGCTCCCGCTGCTGCTGCCGTTCGCGGGCCCGGCTCTGCAGCCGCTCGAGCAGCGCGCGGGCCCTGCCGTGCGCCCCGGCCTCCGCGCCCTCCGGCCCCGCCGCAGCTGCCGCATCGGGGCCCGGGTACCGCGCGACGTAGAACAGCGCCATGGCCAGCCGCACGCCTGGGACTCGGGCGTGGCGCGCTGCGATGACGTCGGCGGCACGCCTGCGACTCGGGCTCCGCGCAAAAGATGGGGTTGGGGTACGGCGCGTAGAGATGACGTCGGGTTCTACGCGCAGTGGTGACGTCACGGGAGCGCCGGCGGCTGAGAATCCGCGTTGTTCCGTGTTGGGGGCGGCATGGAGCGGGAGCCGGGCGCCGCGGGAGTTCGCCGGGCTCTGGGCCGCCGGCTGGAGGCGGTGCTGGCGAGCCGCAGTGAGGCCAACGCCGTGTTCGACATCCTGGCCGTGCTGCAGGTGGGCCTGGCGGCGTCGCAGGGCCGGAGTCGCGGCACGGGAGCGGGACTTGAATGGGGGGCTGCGGCGGCAGGTCCCCAGGAGGTTCCGAGACGGCGTTGGGGGGTCAGGGTGGGAGGCGTGTGGGTCACGGGTCGGGGGTGACGGGGCTGGCGTCCCGAGGGGGAAGGGAACGGGTTGGGGGCAGCCTAGGCAGGGGCGAAGGTGACAGTTGGCGGCCGGGCACCCTGCCGCCGCCTCTCCTGCAGTCTGAGGACCAGGAGGAGATCCAGGAAGCAGTCCGCACGTGCAGCCGTCTTTTCGGGGCCTTGCTGGAGCGGGGAGAGCTGTTTGTGGGCCAGCTGCCCTCTGAGGAGATGGTCATGACAGGTGAGCCCTGGAGGGCCCCGGGGCTGCTCTTCTCTTTCCGTGGGTCGGAGGGAGGCTTTGTCACCATGGGATGAGCGCCCCCAACCCTGGCACAGGCCGTGCAGGCTGGTGGGAGGACGCACCAAGCCCACCGTGGAAGATGGATGGTGGCGTTGGGGCAGGGGTGACATGGGTGCCCTGCAGCTGAGTGTAGATGAACACTGGACAAGGTACGACTTTTTGTGTGCTTTGCACCCCTTTTGTAATTTGATGTTGACTGATCCTGACACGGTCGCTTAAACTCGGAGCTTCCTTTATGTCCCCATCCTGGGGACGTCAGGTCTTGGAGTAAAGAGAGGGGATGTGGATCCTGCTCCTGGCAGCTTGGCTGGGGCAGTCCTGGGGTAGGAGGTGCTCTTCCTGTTTGCAGGGCTCAGGGAATGTGCTGGTCTCAGCACAGGTCTGGGGGCCTTAGCGACCTGTTTCCACCTGCGGAGGCTGAGTAGAAGACAATGGGAGGGTGGAGCCAGGCCTGAGATTTTGGGCTGGGCCCAGGGTGGCGTATGTGGGCCTCACGTGGGCTGACCACCCTAACCTGTCTGCAGGGTCCCAGGGAGCCACACGGAAGTACAAGGTGTGGATGAGACACCGCTATCACAGCTGCTGCAATCGCTTGGGAGAGCTCCTGGGCCACCCCTCCTTTCAGGTCAAGGTGGGTCATTGGGCTGGCCTCATCCTTGTCCATCCCCTGCACCCCAACTCCCAGGTTATCCACAAAGCAGAGGTCTGGGGCTCCCACAATTGTCCAGGCAAAGCTGCTTCCTTCATGGGAGCATCACCCTGTGGGTGTTCAGTCCCATTCAGAAACATGGCTATCGAGTCCTGTAGTGAATATTGAAGACGCAGAATCCGTGTTCATTTCCAGTGGCATCCACGGGGATCTCTGTGTTTGCATAGAGCACGCACACCAAGCCTCGTGCCAGTCCACAGATGTGTTTGCTCAGATCACACTGTGGTCTGCAGCCATGGGAATGCATTATGAGCTTTCTTAAAATCTGTAGTGAGGAATAACTGAGGCACAGTTTACCGTTTAAAGCTGAGAAGTTAGCATCTGTTACTGTGTTGTGCAGTGGTTGCCGCTATCCCAGAACATCTTTATCGCCCCGAAAAGAAATCCTGTACCAGTTACCATCGCTTCCATATCCCGCCCCTTTCCACCCCCAGCCCCAGGCAGCCACTCCTGGATCAGTGGTTACTTCCTGGATCAATGGGTTTGCTTTTTTTAGACGCTCCTCATAAGGGGGATCATACGGTATGTGGCTTCTTCCACTCATCGGCGTGTTCGAAGTTCGTTCTCTTTGTGGCTGAGTAGCAGCGCGTCGTATAGCACAGCACGTATCGTTCAGCCGCTCGTAGGTTGCTGGGCATTTGCGTCGTTTCCACCTTTGGCTGTTACGAACAGCGGACTGTGAACGTTCGCGTACAAACTCTTGTGTGATGTTTCTTTTGCTTGAATATGCCTTATCAGTGGAATTACAAGGCCACACAGCAGCTGTGTTTTTAATGTTCTGAGGAACTACAAGACTGTTTTCCATAGTAGCTGCGCTATCTTACCCTCCCCCTGGCAGCATTTGAGAGTTCCATACTCCACATCCTCGCCAACACGTCTGTCTATAATTATAGCCGAGCTGCAGACTTTTAAATGTTGGGGAGATACCACGTGAAAATAACCAGTTTCCACCTTCTCAGAAAGAAATAATCAGTTCTGTCAACACGGGGTCTAAGTTTGTTCATGGCTGCGATTGGCTGGAGGGAGAGTCAGAGACAGCTCTGAGACAGCCGTGTGCTCCTGTCATCCCGCACGAGGCTCTTTTGCTTTGTGGTGTCATTTGCCTGGGCCCTGAAAGCACTGAGTTTGCCACCCCGAGATGAGAGCTTCCAAGCCTGGGTCTGAGTTGGGCACCATGCTGGCATCACACGCCTGTGTTTTCACAGCTGTTCCCAAGGGTTATGGTGGCATTCCCGTGACACAGGTGACGAGAGAGCAGTCAGGTGGCCCATAAAGCAGACCTGGGCTGTGTACCCTTCCCCCGCCAGACTCTGTCGTGAGCACTGGATCTCTTTAACTAGAGATCTTGTCATCTCTACGTCATGGGTGGGACACGGAAGCCCAGAGTGGCATCTGGTGGCGTGTGGAGCAAGAGAAGGCCCGGCCGCCCTTTTCTCAGCTCTGGGCCTAGATGGGAGGGGCTCCCTGACTGGGCTGAGCTCTGGGCCCATCCGTGGGGTGAGGGCATCACAGCCACCCTGCACTGCCCCCTTCCCAGGAGCTGGCCCTCAGCGCACTCCTGAAGTTCGTGCAGCTGGAAGGAGCGCACCCCCTGGAGAAGTCCAAGTGGGAAGGCAACTACCTGTTCCCCCGAGAGCTCTTCAAGGTGAGGGCCTTGCTGGGGACTCCCAGAGGGCCTGGCTGGCTGGCCAGATCCCAGGATGGCCCCGTAGTGGGGGCGGGGCCTGCTGAGCTGAGCCTGGCTGTTGGCTGGGACACTCCTGTGGCTCCTGTGGCCCACCCAACCAGGAGGAGTCTGCCTGGGGGGCTCGATGGGGCAGGGCTGCCTGCCTGGACCTTGCTGGCGTATGCTGGGCCGGGCAGGGCTGCTCACTGGTCCTTGCCCCTAGTTGGTGGTGGGAGGCCTGCTGTCTCCTGAGGAGGACCAGAGCCTGCTCCTGTCCCAGTTCCGGGAGTACCTGGACTACGACGACACCCGCTACCACACCATGCAGGCAGCCGTGGATGCCGTGGCCCGGGTCACTGGCCAGCACCCCGAGGTGGGTGATGGGGTCCTGTCGCCAGCATCATGCTGTTGCCTCCCAGGGAGGCAGGGACTGGGGGGCGGCGTCCAGGCACTCAGGCCAGGCTCCGCAGGTGCCCCCCGCCTTTTGGAACAATGCCTTCACGCTGCTGTCTGCCGTGAGCCTGCCCCGCCGGGAGCCCACCGTCTCCAGCTTCTATGTGAAGCGGGCGGGTGAGTGTGCTGAGAGTCAGGGGCGGACAGGGCTGAGCCTTGGTCTGCCTCCCCTGCGGGTCAGGTGACCTTTGCCCTCGCTTTCCCTGCAGAGCTGTGGGACACCTGGAAGGTTGCTCACCTGAAGGTGAGTTGCTTCTGGAGAGCCGGGCACCCTCCCGGGTTTGGGGGTGTGTGTGGGGTGCATGTGAGACCCCATGGAGGCTGCCGCCTTCCTCACCAGAGGAAACTCCCAGGGTACAGGTGGCAGCTTGCACGGCCACCAGGTCACTCGAAGTGTGGGAGGTGACGAGACCTGTGAACTCGGGACCCTCCCTTGGGTCAGAGGCCACCGCCGCCTCTTGGAGTCAAGCCTCTGGTGCCACCTGTGGGCCCCGTGGGCTGTTTTGGGCGCAGCCCCCCTCTTGGCCATGGTCTTGCCAAAGCTGCTTTCTTGGCTGTTCTGAGACTCCAGCCTCGAGGGCAAGGCGTACCTGACTTGAATGGGGACAGGAAGAAGGAAGGCAGGGTCAGAAAAGTGGAGAGCAGGCTTGTGTTGGCTCAGGCTGGGCTTCGGGGTGCCCTGGCAGCTGCTCGGGCTCTGGTCTGGGGTGGGGAGGGCGGCGAGTGCAGTCTGGACCCCGTTGCAGGAGCACAGGAGGGTTTTCCAGGCCATGTGGCTCAGCTTCCTCAAGCACAAGGTAGGGGCCAGGCCGGGGAGGGGGCGGGGGCGGCATCCGGGTCTCCCCCAGGGCGGAGGCCTCACCCCGACCCGCCGGCCCCCGCCCACCCGCCCCTCACCCCCACCTGCCGGCCCCCGCCCAGCTGCCCCTCAGCCTCTACAAGAAGGTGCTGCTGATTGTGCATGACGCCATCCTGCCGCAGCTGGCGCAGCCCACGCTCATGATCGACTTCCTCACCCGCGCCTGCGACCTCGGTGAGTGCCGCCGCCTCGCTCACACCACACCCCTAATCCCCTCGGTGAGTGCCGCCGCCTCACTCCTACCACACCCCTAATCCCCTCGGTGAGTGCCGCCGCCTCACTCCTACCACACCCCTAATCCCCTCGGTGAGTGCCGCCGCCTCACTCACACCACACCCCTAATCCCCTCGGTGAGTGCCGCCGCCTCACTCCTACCACACCCCTAATCCCCTCGGTGAGTGCCGCCGCCTCACTCCTACCACACCCCTAATCCCCTCGGTGAGTGCCGCCGCCTCGCTCACACCACACCCCTAATCCCCTCGGTGAGTGCCGCCGCCTCGCTCACACCACACCCCTAATCCCCTCGGTGAGTGCCGCCGCCTCGCTCACACCACACCCCTAATCCCCTCGGTGAGTGCCGCCGCCTCGCTCACACCACACCCCTAATCCCCTCGGTGAGTGCCGCCGCCTCGCTCACACCACACCCCTAATCCCCTCGGTGAGTGCCGCCGCCTCGCTCACACCACACCCCTAATCCCCTCGGTGAGTGCCGCCGCCTCGCTCACACCACACCCCTAATCCCCTCGGTGAGTGCCGCCGCCTCGCTCACACCACACCCCTAATCCCCTCGGTGAGTGCCGCCGCCTCACTCACACCACACCCCTAATCCCCTCGGTGAGTGCCGCCGCCTCACTCACACCACACCCCTAATCCCCTCGGTGAGTGCCGCCGCCTCGCTCACACCACACCCCTAATCCCCTCGGTGAGTGCCGCCGCCTCACTCCTACCACACCCCTAATCCCCTCGGTGAGTGCGGCCGCCTCACTCACACCACACCCCTAATCCCCTCGGTGAGTGCGGCCGCCTCGCTCACACCACACCCCTAATCCCCTCGGTGAGTGCCGCCGCCTCGCTCACACCACACCCCTAATCCCCTCGGTGAGTGCCGCCGCCTCGCTCACACCACACCCCTAATCCCCTCGGTGAGTGCCGCCGCCTCACTCCTACCACACCCCTAATCCCCTCGGTGAGTGCCGCCGCCTCGCTCATACCACACCCCTAATCCCCTCGGTGAGTGCCGCCGCCTCACTCACACCACACCCCTAATCCCCTCGGTGAGTGCCGCCGCCTCGCTCACACCCCTAATCCCCTCGGTGAGTGCCGCCGCCTCGCTCACACCACACCCCTAATCCCCTCGGTGAGTGCCGCCGCCTCGCTCACACCACACCCCTAATCCCCTCGGTGAGTGCCGCCGCCTCGCTCACACCACACCCCTAATCCCCTCGGTGAGTGCCGCCGCCTCGCTCACACCACACCCCTAATCCCCTCGGTGAGTGCCGCCGCCTCGCTCACACCACACCCCTAATCCCCTCGGTGAGTGCCGCCGCCTCGCTCACACCACACCCCTAATCCCCTCGGTGAGTGCCGCCGCCTCGCTCACACCACACCCCTAATCCCCTCGGTGAGTGCCGCCGCCTCGCTCACACCACACCCCTAATCCCCTCGGTGAGTGCCGCCGCCTCGCTCACACCACACCCCTAATCCCCTCGGTGAGTGCCGCCGCCTCGCTCACACCACACCCCTAATCCCCTCGGTGAGTGCCGCCGCCTCGCTCACACCACACCCCTAATCCCCTCGGTGAGTGCCGCCGCCTCGCTCACACCACACCCCTAATCCCCTCGGTGAGTGCCGCCGCCTCGCTCATACCACACCCCTAATCCCCTCGGTGAGTGCCGCCGCCTCGCTCATACCACACCCCTAATCCCCTCGGTGAGTGCCGCCGCCTCGCTCATACCACACCCCTAATCCCCTCGGTGAGTGCCGCCGCCTCGCTCACACCACACCCCTAATCCCCTCGGTGAGTGCCGCCGCCTCGCTCACACCCCCAACCCCCACCCCGCAGCACCTCTTCCCCGATCCCACTGCCTCCACCCCCCACTCCCCTGCCCTGCATGTGGTCTCCAGCTTTGTGTCCGTGGGGGCTGTGGGAGGGGACAGCAGGGGCAGAGGCCACACTCCACAGACTTACACTCAGTGTGGGCAGGGGGTAGGGTGGGAGCGAGGTCACTGCAGCTCCAGCCTGTGTCTGTCTGTCTGCAGGGGGGGCCCTCAGCCTCTTGGCCTTGAACGGGCTGTTCATCTTGATTCACAAACACAACCTGTGAGTGTCACCAGGGGTGCAGGTCTTCTTCCCAGTCTGCCCAGCCCTGCTCCTCTGTCCCCTTCCCACCCTGCCCCACGGGGTCCCCGCTTTCCTCACAGGCCATGGTGTTGGAGTCCCTGGGCGGGAGGAAGGGGCGCCGAGTGAGACCCTGGCCTTGGAGGCCTCAGTTCCCGGGCCCTGCTCCATCCGCTGCTCCTTCCCCCCGGCCCGCAGGGAGTACCCTGACTTCTACCGGAAGCTCTACGGCCTCTTGGACCCCTCTGTCTTTCACGTCAAGTACCGCGCCCGCTTCTTCCACCTGGCTGACCTCTTCCTGTCCTCCTCGTGAGTACCAGGGCACCTGGCTCTGCCCTGCTCTGTGCGGCTGCAGCCTGGGGCCAGGGGAGGGTGGTGGGGGCTAGCAGTCCGGGCCCTGTCTCACAACCACTGCCCTGCCCAGCCACCTCCCCGCCTACCTGGTGGCCGCCTTCGCCAAGCGGCTGGCCCGCCTGGCCCTGACGGCTCCCCCTGAGGCCCTGCTCATGGTCCTGCCTTTCATCTGTAACCTGCTGCGCCGGCACCCTGCCTGCCGGGTCCTCGTGCACCGTCCACACGGCCCTGGTGAGTTGCGGGGCCCTCGGAGGCTGGGCTGGAGCTGGGGCGGGGGTGCCTGGTGCTGTGGACGGCAGACAAGGGCCCACGTCTCATTCCTAGAGTTGGACGCCGACCCCTACGACCCTGGAGAGGAGGACCCAGCCCAGAGCCGGGCCTTGGAGAGCTCCCTGTGGGAGCTTCAGGTGAGGGCGCTGCTGCCACACCCTGGGGCCTCCCGAGCCATCCTTCGGCCCCTCAGAAAGCCCAGCTCCCCGTGCCACCTCCCGCATAGCCTCATGTTGCGTCCCCAGCTGGCCACCTGGGTTTGTGGGTGCTGGGTGCTTGGCCTTCTCACGTGGCTCCGTCCCGACCCCGCCCACTCTGGTTGGGAGCACAGGGAGGCCATGGCTGGGGGCACAGGGCGGGGGCCTGGGGCAGCTGCCTCTTAACGGCCCTACTGCCCCAGGCCCTCCAGCGCCACTACCACCCTGAGGTGTCCAAAGCCGCCAGCGTCATCAACCAGGCCCTGTCCATGCCTGAGGTCAGCATCGCGCCACTGCTGGAGCTCACGGCCTACGAGGTGCGGAACTGGGCCAGGGTGCGAGGGTCTGGGCCACGGGGCGCTGAGCCAAGCCTGAGAGCCGCCGTGCTTTGTGCTTTGCAGATCTTTGAGCGGGACCTGAAGAAGAAGGGGCCCGAGCCGGTGCCACTGGAGTTTATCCCAGCCCAGGGCCTGCTGGGACGGCCGGGTGAACTCTGTGCCCAGCACTTCACGCTCAGCTGACCCTGGCCCACCTGTGAATAAATCTCAGCTGACCCCAGCCCACCTGTGAATAAATGTTTTTGCAGGAGAAAGGCTCAGGGAGTGTGGACTGGGGCGGCTGGATGCCTCTGCCAGGCCGAGGGCCTCACATCTGCCTGAGCCCACCAGGCACATGGCAAAGCGAGGCCCCTGCCGACTCCACAGCCTGGGAGGGGATGGTGGGGAACCTGAGGCGTGGTCTTTCCCAGGGCCTCCGGCCCACCAGTGTCACCGGTCACCCAGCCTCCCTCATCCCCTGGCCCCAGTGACCTCCCTGTTGGCAGAGCTCGGGGCCTCTGCTGAGGTTACACTCCAGACACCTGGGAGGGAGCAGGGTTGGGGGGGTTCTCTCTGCCTGGGTCAGTTGTGGTGGGAGGTGTATGGTGGTGTAGACGGGTATGGTGTGTGTGGGAGTGAGGGGAGGTGGTGTGAGTGGGGGGTCAGTGTGACTGGGGGGAGTTTGGTTGTGAGTGGGGGTGTTGGTGTGAGGGGAGAGTTGGTGTGAATGGGGGGGTGGTGTGTGTGGGGGGTGGGTTAGGATTAGTGTGAATGGGAGGTTGGTTTGAGTGGGGGGTGTTGGTGTCAGTGGGGGGTTGGTGTGAGTCGGGGGTTCCTGTGAGTGTCAGCATCCCACGCTGGCTGTGTCCTGCCGATCTGGCCTTCGTTCTGGGAGCCCCGCGAGGCCCCGGGTGGATGCCGCGTGGAGTTCTGGGTGGATGGTGCGTAGAATTCCGGGTGGGTGCTGTGTAGAGGCCCCGGGTGGATACTGCGTAGAGTTCCGGGTAGATGCTGCGTAGAGTTACAGGCAGTGCCTGGGCCCCTCTGGAGTTCCCTGCCCCCACCCCCGTGGGAGGCCCTGGTCCAGCTGCAGTGGAGTTTCCCCCGCTGTGGGAGGCGCTGGTCCGGCTGCAGCACAGCCTTGTTATCGGGGTGTTTATTTTTAGGGAACCAAATTTATACCAAACAAACTAGGTTTTCTGTCTACACAGTGACCCCCAGTTTCCTTTTGACAGTCTGCTTATTCGAGGACAGGGTGGGATGGGGCACTGGAACAGAGCTTGGTGCGCGTGGGTGTGGCTGGGGAGGGCGGGGAGTGCCTTGGCCGTGGCTTGGGGGTGTCACCCTGCCGGCCCAGCATTGGCCGGGACCCTCCGTGTGCCCAGCGGGGTTTTGGGGGGCAGAGTGATGGTGGAGATGTTGCCTCTGCTCCCAGCATCCCCCTGGCTGCTTCCCTCTGCCCCAGCGGGCTCCTCAAGTGAACTGGCTCCTGCCCCAGGGCCTTTGCACCAGCCACAGCTGTGGCCTCTGCCGCTTTTCCCTGTGTTGCCCTGGTTTGAACGTCCCGTCCCCGTCCCCCCGGGAGGCCTTCCCTGGTACCCCGTGCGTGGTAGTCCTGCACAGGCGCCCCTCCTTCCCCACTCTTCATGCTGTCCCGCCCGAGCCCTCTCAGCACTCCCGCTGCAGCAGGGCAGACAGGGCCCGTCCTCTTGCTGTGTCCCAGGCAGCCTGTCACACCGGGTACGCTCCAGAGCCCTGGCCCCCCTCCCCGCCCTCCTTGGGCTCCTGGGGCAGGGCTGGGCCTAGGTGCTGGCATCCTGAGCTCATGCGGCCACCAGAGGCCGCTGCAGCCTTGCCCAGGCCTGCAGCGCCCGAGCTGCCCTGCTAGGTTTCACCTCGCCGGGGTCTGCAGTATTTCCTGCTCGGATTCAGCCAGGGCCTCCCTCCTGACATCACGGAGGGTTTGTGCTGGGCTGTTAGGCGGATCTCGGATGATGGGCGAGGCCAGGAGGAGAGTGAAAGCGCCTCCGAGTCAGCCAGGCTTGGATTCTGTCGTCAGAGGGGCTCTGTGTCTAGCAACCTCCACGTAACCGTGTTCGGTCCTCTGCTCCCTGTGTTCCCCGCATGAGCCGGGCATGAACAGGGACCTCCTTCACCGCCTGAGGTCCCCTCTCCCTGGCTGGTGACCCCCATCTCTGAGAGCACGGGGACGTCCCCTGTGCTGTGGAGGAGCGTGTGCTCTCCGAGATCCAGGTGCTGCCCCCGAGGAGCGCATGCCCTCTGAAATACAGGTGTTGCCGCCATCCCCGAGAGCACGGGGACGTCCCCTGTGCTGTGGAGGAGCGCCTGCCCTCCCAGATCCAGGTGCTGCCCACCAGGCGGTGTTAGGAGTGCCTCGTCCGCAAGGGCGCCATCCTTGTTAATGGGATTCAGGCCTTTGTAAAAGTGGATTCTTCACGTGGTGCTGAGCCGGCTGCTCTCTGGCCTTTGGCCTCCTGTCAGGTTGGGCGCAGCCAGGAGGCCCTCGCTAGAGGCTGGTGCCTTCATCCTGGACTTCCCGGCCTGCGGAACTGGAGAGAAGACAGTGTCACTTTTTAGAAGTTACCTGCTCTCAGGTAACCTGTAACAGTGGTGCAGACGGACTGAGACACCGTCAGTTCCAGAATCTTAGAGAAATTCCAGGGGCCCCTTCAATCACCTATGAGGCCAATACCCAGCCGGCACCTGCGTGTACCCGGCGGTGTCCTCACTGCACACGGAGAACAGCGCCGCACCAGTGGGGCCTCTCTCCCCCTGTGCTTCCCCCGCTCCCTCTCTGTCTTGTCTCTCCCTCTCCTCCCGTCCCCCGATTCCGGGTCTCCCTTCAGGAAATGAACGCGGCTGCCGGACAGTGAAGTCACAGCTACATCCGTAATGAGGGATAGCTGAAGAGCTGTGGAGCGCGCGTTCCGGCGATAAGGGACGCTGGAGCGTTTAATTGGCGTTGAGGAAATCAGCTGCGGAGAATCAGCAGTCGTTTCCCGAGCGTCGGTCGTGCTGGGAGCTGTGGCGAAGGCCCCGGCGGTAAGCGATTCCCGCTGGACAGCGAGGAGCGTGTCCGTTCCCTGCGGTGTCTGGGTCTTCCCCCACTGGGGCCAGCAGCCCACGGTGAAGGCCATGCCGGTCTCCAACGGCGCGGGCTCCACTCCCGGCTGGGAGGGTGGCACGGCCCCAGGCCTCAGTTGTCCCATCTGCAGAGTGTGCTGCCAGGGTCTATGCTCAGAAAGTGACTTCAGAACGTAGCGGTGTGGAACTGCAGCAGCACTGATTTCGCTCGTGAACCTGCAGTGTGGACTTGGTGGGGACGGCTCGCCTGCACTCCGGGTGGCAGGAGGTAGAGTTGGGTGTTGGGGGCTGGGGTCGTTAGAGCTCACCATGCAACATGACACACACCGCTACATACACACCACTACACACACTAGATACACCACTACACACACCACTACACACACTACACACACCACTACACACACACACTACACACACTACACCACTACACACACCACTACACACACTACACGCACACAGTACACACACCACTACACACACTACACGCACACAGTACACACACCACTACACACACTACACACACCACTACACACACACACCACTACACACACTAGATACACCACTACACACACCACTACTCACACTACACGCACAGTACACACACCACTACACACTACATACAAACCACTACACACACTACACACACACACCACTACACGCACACACTACACACACCACTACACACACACTACATACACCACTACACACACCACTACACATACTACACACACAGTACACACACCACTACACACTACATACAAACCACTACACACACTACACACACACACCACTACACGCACACTACACACACCACTACATATACCACTACACACACCACTACACACACACTACATACAAACCACTACACACACCACTACACACTACATACCACTACACACACCACTACACACACTACACGCACACACTACACACACCACTACACACACACACTGCATACACCACTACACACACACCGCTACACACTACACGCACACAGTACACACACCACTACACACACACTACATACAAACCACTACACGCACACTACACACACCACACACACACCACACACACCATTACACACACTACACTACACACACCACTACACACACACCACTGCATACACACTACATACACCACTACACACACTACACACACTACACACACTACACACACAACCACTACACACACACTACACGCACACACTACACACACAACCACTACACGTACCACTACACACTACACACAACCACTACACACACCACTACACACACACCACTACATACACCACTACACACACCACTACACACACCACTACACACACTACACGCACAGTACACACACTACACACACAACATACAAACCACTACACACACTACACACACCACTACACACACACTACACACACCACTACACACACACACTACACACACTACACACACACCACTACACACCACTGCATACACACCACTGCATACACCACTACACACACCACTACACGCCACTACACACTACACACACCACTACACACAACACACAACCACTACACACACACTACACACACCACTACACGCACACACTACACACACCACTACACACACTACACACAACCACTACACACACCACTACACACGCACCACTACACACACGCACCACTACACACTACACACACACCACTACACACACACCATTACACACTACACACACCACTATGCACACACATACACACCACTACACACACATTACGCTACACACACACTACACACACTACAGGCACACACTACACCACTACACACACACTACACACATTACACACACTACACACTCCACTATGCACACACTACACATACACCACTACACACACACCATTACACACACTACACACACCACTACACGCACACACTACACACACCACTACACACACACAGCATTACACACACTACACACACCACTACACGCACACACCATTACACACACACTACACACACCACTGCACACACTACACATACACACCACTACACACACCATTACACACACACTACAAACACCACTACACACACACTACACACACACCACTACACTACACACACCACTATGCACACTACATACACACACCACTACACTCACACACCATTACACACACACTACACACACCACTACACACCACTACACACACACCATTACACACACACTACACACACCACTACACACCACTACACACACACCATTACACACACACTACACACACCACTACACACCACTATGCACACACTACACACACACCATTACACACACACTACACACACCACTACACACACACTACACACACACACCACTATGCACACACTACACATACACACCACTACACACACACCATTACACACACACTACACACACCACTACACACACATTACACTACACACACCACTACACACTACACACACACCACTATGTACACACTACACATACACACCACTACACACACCATTAGACACCACTACACACACACTACACACCACTACACACTACACACACACCACTATGCACACACTACACATACCACTACACACACACCATTACACACACACTACACACACTACACACTACACACACACCACTACACACTACACACACCACTATGCACACACTACACATACACGCCACTACACACACCACTACACACACGCAACACACACCACTATGCACACACCACTACACACACTACACACACCACTACACTACACACACACCACTATGCACACTACACATACACACCACTACACACACACACCATTACACTACACACACCACTACACATCACTACACCCACACCATTACACACACACTACACACACACTACACACACACTATGCACACTACACATACATACCACTACACGCACACACCATTACACACACACTACGCACACGACTACACACACTACACACACACTACTACACACACTACACACATCACTATGCACACACTATACATACAGACCACTACACACTACACACACACACCACTACACACACTACACACACACACCACTATGCACACACTACACATACACACCACTACACACACACCATTACACACACACTACACACACCACTACACACACACTACACACACACACACCACTACACGCACACCACTACATACACCACTACGTACACACACCACTACATGCACACACCACTACACACACACACCATTACACACACACACCACTACATGCGCACACACACACGCGCACACGCAGGCCCTGGGCCCCCACCCACCTTCCTCAGCGCCCTCCCTGCACGTGTGACGCGGTGGCCCCCAAAATGCCTCTGACCCTGCCTGGTCTTCCTAGATGTTCTGCACCAGCTTTGCTGGTGTTTTCAGGGTGCCTACGGGGACCCCTCATCCCGCAGCCTTCACAGGGGGTGGGGTTCACTCCTCGGATCTCACGGGGGCTAACGTGTCCCCCGGAAAGAGATGTCCCCGTCCTGGCCCCCAGCATCGGCGAGTGGACCTTATTTGGAAATAGGGTCTTTGCAGATTAAGGAGCCAGCTGAGATCATCCTGCATTCAGGGTGGGCCATCAGTCCGGTGGCCGGTGTCCTAGTCAGAGGCGTGAAGAGGAGGGCGGAGGCCGGAACTATCCATCGGCTCCGAGGGTGGAGCAGGGGCCTCTGGGAGCTGGAAAAGGCAGGAATGGGTCCTCCCTGAGTCTCTGAGGGCCCCGCCTGCCCACACCTGCCCATATTTGCCCCAACCTGCCCACACCTGCCTCAGGACAGCATCTCGGTCTCCTGGCTGCCAGACTGTGATGAAGATGCATGGTTCTAGGCCACTGGCTTGTGGTGACTTGTTGCATCAGCTGTGGGGAGCTCACACGGTAGCGCCTGTCTTGGGGGGTGCTGGGCGGGTGACCTTCAGGAGACCCCTGGGGCCCCGCTGCCCTCCCAATGCCTCCAGTCCCAGTGTCTCTGTGGTGGCATCCTGTGCTGAGGATGGTGCCTCGCGGAGCCTCCACTGCCCCTGTGTGCTCCGCACCACGTCTGTCTCGATGGCGCCCCTCGAAGACCTCGGGAAGCTCCCCGTTCGCTGTGGCCCCCCGGGGTCTGTCCCCTGCAGCACTGTTCTCTGGGGGCTCGTGGTCCGAGTTCTGATACTGCAGGTGGCAGGTCCCCTGAAGGCATAGTCAGAGGCTTTGCTCTGGGCTGGCATGGAGGTATGGGCGTGGCGGGGTGTGGCTGGGCGTGGAGGGGCATGGAGGTGTGGGCAGGGCATGGAGATGTGGGCGGGGCTGGGCGTGGAAGGGCGGGGTGTGGAGGTGTGGGCGGGTTGGGCACCTCTGGGGGTTCTGGGAAGACTCGTTGCTGACTTCTTTGGGCTCCAGAGTCTGCTGTGCTCCTGGGCTCTGGCATGGTCCCTTGCTTGTCACCCCGACCTCTGCTGCTGCGGCCACTGCTCCCTCTGCCTCTCCTGCCTCCATCCTGTAAGGACCATGTGATGAACTGGGCCGGGGTCATCCAGGAGGACCCCCTGCTAGACCCTCAGCCGGTCTCACCTGCAGAGTCTCTTCTGCCCCGTGGGGGACACAGCCACGGGCTCTGGGGAATGAGATGTGAACAGATGGGGCTGGCAGCAGGTGTGATTGGACCTGGGACTGAAACAGCATTGTTCTCTTCTCGCCTCTCTCGGCCCCTTTTCCTTCTTTCATTCGTTTCCCCAGAGCTTGGGCAGTGCTCACGTGGGTGTCTAGGCAGCCGCCCATGCCCACGCTGGGCGAGCCCTCTTCACCCCAGCTGGGGAGTGCTCTGCCAGGTCCACCCTGCTCCCAGCTCTGCTCAGCATGCTGGCCGATTGCTGTCTGGGCCACTCAGGCACGTGACAGTGTCGGGGAAGGAGCTGTGAACTGCCACAGACAGTGCTCCCCGAGGCCCGACGGGCTTTGCTGCTTGGGACAGCTGGTGAGTGGCTGAAGCCCTACTGGCTGGCAGGCAGACGGGGAGGCGGTGGCGCGGTGCTGGGCTGATCCTGCTGTCATTCTAGTCCAGTGGTTCCGGCTGCATGAGAGAATGGAAACTGGGTAGATAAGAGGAAAAAGTAATGAAGAGATAACGGTGCGGGGGCCACGGGACCAGGCATCCTCTTCCAGATCTGCAGGCCCTGAGCCCAATGGAACCGGCAGAAAGCGAGGGGGTGGAGTGGGTGGGCTCGGGGGGCTCTGTCGGGGTCTCCTGGAAACCAGGGGACAGAGGGTCCAGCCCAGGGTTGCAGCACCCTCAGGACAGGCTGGGAGCTTCTTCACAGAGGTGGTGGGGGGACTGTCCCTGGTGGGACAGCCTCGTCCCCTTCCCTGTCAGCCCTTCAGGAAGTCCGGAGAGGCAGTGTCCACTGTCCCAGTGCGTGCGGCACGGTGGCGTGAGAGTTCACAGCCCAGTGCCCTCCGCCTGTCCTTGCAATACCTGTGCAAGGTGTGATCAAGAAGGAAGAGCCGGGTGCTGGCAGGTTCCCCCAGCTGGTGTCGGAGGACAGCCAGGCTCAGGAGCCCTGCGTGCCCATGTGGGAAGTGCCTGACAGCCCCACAGACGGGGCGGTGGAAGCAAGGCAGGCTGGATGGTGGCAGGACCTGGTGGCAGGACCTGGTGGCCAGAGGGGCCCGGAGACAGGGAGTGATCTTGGGACCGACTGTCCTCCTCCCACATTCCCCCAGCTCCTGGCCCCCTCTGGCCGAAGCCCCCGCCCTTCCCGTTCCCTGGGCCCTCATCTCTTCTCCTGCTGGCCGCCTCCCACCAGGCCTGCTCCACCGCAGGCCCTCCCCTGAGAGCTTCCCGCAGTCTCCAGCCTCAGATCCCGGCAAAAAGATTCCGTGTGGTGACCCCTGACCCCACCGATAAAGATGCTGCGGCCTCCAGCATCCTGGCTCTGCCCTGGACCCAGCTCCTCCCCACTCAGTTCCTCCCCACTCAGCTCCTCCTCCCTTAGCTCCTCCTCCCTCAGCTCCTCCTCGCTCAGCTCCTCCCCACTCAGTTCCTCCTTCCTCAGCTCCTCCCCACTCAGCTCCTCCTCCCTCAGCTCCTCCTCCCTCAGCTCCTCCTCCCTCAGCTCCTCGTCCCTCACCTCCTCCTCCCTCACCTCCTCCTCCCTCAGCTCCTCCTCCCTCAGCTCCTCCTCCCTCAGCTCCTCAGCTCCTCCTCCGTCACCTCCTCCTTCCTCAGCTCCTCCTCCCTCAGCTCCTCCTCCCTCAGCTCCTCCTCACTCAGCTCCTCCGCCCTCAGCTCCTCCCCACTCAGCTCCTCCTCACTCAGCTCCTCCTCCCTCAGCTCCTCCTCCCTCAGCTCCTCCTCTCTCAGCTCCTCCTCAGCTTCTCCTCCGTCACCTCCTCCTTCCTCAGCTCCTCCTCCCTCAGCTCCTCCTCCCTCAGCTCCTCCTCCCTCAGCTCCTCCTCCCTCAGCTCCTCCTCACTCAGCTCCTCCCCACTCAGCTCCTCCCCACTCAGCTCCTACTCCCTCAGCTCCTCCGCCCTCAGCTCCTCCTCACTCAGCTCCTCCCCACTCAGCCCCTCCTCACTGAGCTGTTCCTCGCACTGGACTCTGCGGCTGGGTCATCACTCCTCCCCACTCAGCCCCTCCCCACTCAGCCCCTCTTCCCTCAGCTCCTCTCCACTCAGCCCCTCCTCACTGAGCTGTTCCTCGCACTGGACTCTGCGGCTGGGTCATCAGAGGCCCTGCCCTGCCCTGCCCTCCACTGCGTGGAGACGCCACATCGTGAGAAAGCCGAAGCCCCACCATGGCTCATGACACCTGCCTCGGTTTTCTCAGCCTGGCTGTCTTGGGACCCCAGCAGCCACCTGAAGCCCCCATTTGGTGGGGCTGCATCCAGCCACCGCCAACCCACAGCATCAAGGAGGGAAGAAAACAGCGTTCCACAGCTCTGCCCTGGGGGCTGTCCTTCCCTGCCCTGGGACGGGAAACATGTGCCCTGCACAGATCCTCTCCTCTCTCCCCTCTCCTCTCTCCCCTCTCCCCTCCCCTCTCTTGTCTCCTCTCCCCTCTCCCCTCATCTTTTCTTTCTTTTTGGCAGACATAGGACACATTCCTCTCTGCTACTCTCAAATCCCCCTCGTCACACATTATTTTGTCACCTGCAGCTTCTGGCCTCCAGAACGACCCCCAGGATGCCCCCGGGCTCACACCGCCTGGCCCTCCCTCATGCCTGGGCTTGGTCGGAACTGCCAACACCTGGCACGAGAGGGTGCAGTGTATCCAGAATCCGGTCCTGAGGTGCTGTCCTGTCCTCCATGCTGTCCCCAGCCACCCCTCTCGGGTCACCAGCCGCCCTGCCGTGAGGAGGCTCGGGGAGGCCCGTGGGGAGGTGGGAGGCAGGTAGGAGCCAGGGAAGCAGCCTCCTGGGCCAGCCTGTGCTCTGCCTGCTTCCTGAGCTGTGGCCACTACAGAGCTGTTTATTTTTATTGATGTGGCAACTGCACTCTGAGGGAAATTACTGTGTTAGGAAATATTTCCCCGCTACCGCAGTCAATTTTGGTTTCATTTAAAATTCAAAAGCGGTGTTGGCCGCCTTCCCAGGCAGTGGGGGCACACAGAGTCCGAGTTGTCCCTGCCCTCCCAGCCCAGCTGGCTCCCGGGCAATGCAGCCACAGCAGACGCCTCATGGAGAGTGGGATCAGCCACCGAAGTCATGGGCAGGGCGGGGGCAGGGGCCCTTCTGAAATTCCTTCCCCAAACCCTCCCATTTGGGCCATGAGGGTGGATGTCGCCTTTTCTGGAAGGCGGGAAGCCCTTGCTGAGCATCCCCTCCATCCCGGTGCTTGGCTGCTGGTGAGCCCTGGCTCCGGAGCCATTGGGAGCTTCCCTGGGCCCTGACCTCACCCATGGCCGCGTCACCTCCCTCACTGTCCCTCCTGCATGTCTGTTCCTCCCCTGACCCTGTCGTTCTGTTTCTAGCCCCAGGTGGCTCCATCCCTAGCTGCCGGGTCCTCCCCACCTGTGGGACCTCGACTCCGCCCTGTGCTGGGCACAGCTCCATCCTGCAGGTCCGAGCCACTTCGACTCCGCCCTGTACTGGGCGCAGCTCCATCCTGCAGGTCCGAGCCACTCCAATGCCTTTTAGTTTCCTTCCCCCAGAAGCATTCTCAGTTGATGCTGGGTCAGAGCTGTCATGCACTGAGCTGCCCGTGGGGAGGGCAGGTGCCCCGCAGGAAGGTGGGGCCCTGCTGCTCTGGCAGAATGGGGGCTGCTCAGGCCAGGGGGTATAGGGGCTGCAGGACGCCCCCCAGGACGGGTGCCTGGCCTGCCCCAGAGGAGCAGCATCACCTGAGCTCGCACCTGTGCCCTTGCCACCCTGCGTGGGCTGCCCCTGCCATGTGAGCTCCTCTCCCTGCTCTACACATATTTTAAAGGACAGGTGAGTAACCAAAAACCAGGTAGGTGCTGTGCAGAGCCAGGATGTGTGGCCCAGCCCTGAACCACGCTCACTTGCAGGCTGCCCAGGGTCCCCTGGGCGCAGGTCACCCACATAATGGGGCCCGCATCGGGGCGCAGAGGGTGACACCCCAGCCTCCAGGAAGGTGCCTCATGGGTGGCTCAGCCCTGGTTAGCCCCATGGCTAACAAAGCCAGGAATTACCGCAGAGCCTGGGCGTGCAGGTGGCACGGCCTCTGGAATTTGGTTTTGTCCTGTCACTAACTGGATAAATGGCCCAGCAGTCTCACCGTGTTCGTACTGTTAAAGAAGAGTCGCTGGGCTCCCGGCTGCTCAGGGACGTGCCGCGTGGCTGCCATCCTGTGGTAATTCCACATCTAATGTGTTCAGGACTCTCCAGACAGTTTTCCACAGTGGGTGCACCATTGACATCCCACCAGCAGGGCACAAGGGTCCAAGTTCTCCACATCCCCGCCAGCACTGGTCCCTTCCATCTCTCTCTGTCTCTCTCAATCATCTCTCTCCCCTATCTCTCTATCTCTGTGATCTCTCTATCATATCTGCTATCTATTCTATCTCTCTACCTATCTCTATTTGTCTATTTCAATCTATTACTTACCTGTCTGCCACATCTATCTATATTGATGATCTCTATCCTATGTCTATCATCTATATTCATTGATCAATCATATATATCTGTATCATTTATCTATCTGTATCTGCCACTTAGCTAATCTATCACTTACCCATCCATCCACCCATCCGTCCATCAACCACTCATCCATCCGTTGACCCATCCATCATCCGTCCACCCACCCACCCATCCACCCAGCCATCCATCCATCATCCGTCTACCTAGCCATCCATCTATCCACCCATCCATCATCCATCCAGCCATCCATCCATCATCCATTCATCCACCCATCATCCACACATCCATCCATCTACCCATCCATCTGTTCTGTGCAGGAGATGCGTGAGGGGAGAAGAAAAGACACACAATACCTGTAACGGTAAACAACCTTTATTCCACGTAAATGGCAGTGGAGATATATAATAAGCAAATTGCAATGGGAAGGGGAAAAGGGAAAAAATATATATATATTTATATTATATATTATATATTATATAAATATATATAATGTATGTTATAAATATATAATATATAAATATAGTACATATTTAAATATATATCATATATTTACATATTTAAATATATATCATATATTTACATATTTAAATATATATCATATATTTACATATTTAAATATATATCATATTTACATATATAATATATTTATATATTTATATATATAATGTATATTATATATAATATATAAATATATATTATATATAATATACATTATATATATAAATATATAAATATATGTATTTATATATAAATGTATATTATGTATATTTATATATATAAATGTATATTATGTATATTTATATATATAAATGTATATTATATACATTTATATATATTTATATATGAATGTATATTATACATTCATATATAAATGTATATTATATATGTTTATATATAAATGTATATTATATATATTTATGTATAAATATATAATATATATTATATATTTATATATAAATATATTTAAATATATGTTTATATATAAATATATTTAAATATATATTTATATATATTTAAATACATAAATATATTTAAATATATATTATATATTCATATACATAAATAAATATATTTAAATATATATTATATATATTCATATACATAAATAAATATATTTAAATATATATTATATATATTCATATACATAAATAAATATATTTAAATATATATTATATATATTTATATACATAAATAAATATATTATATATGTTTATATATTTAAATATATTTAAATATATTTAAATATGTATATTTAAATATATATATTTATATATATGTATATTTAAATATATATTTATATATAAATATATAAATATATATAAATATATTTAAATATACATATTTATATATATATTTAAATATATATATATGTATACTCACCAGACTATGGAGGATTCACCACCAGACTGGGAAGCAACAGCCTGGGCTCCAGAGTCGGCTGCCTGTCTGTGCACAGATGGGGAGAGGTCTCATGAATCTTTGGCACGGTCTGGGACCTGAGCTCTTTTTGTAACGAGTTGTTTTTTCATGAGGCCTAGTCACAAGGGCCCTTCGCGACCAGGCTCAAGGAACGCAAAAAGGTCAACTTGTTCTTGCAATTGTCTGTTGTTTTTCAATAACTAATGTATAGGAATAGATTGAAATAGAGATTTCTCTGAAACAGCACTGGATGAATGCCTCAAGGGACTCACACGACCTGTTCCAGGACTTGGTGACCATTGTTAGTTTCCACGTTGAATTTAGTTCAAATTTAATATTTAACTTTTCCTGCACACTATCACCTACCCATCCATCCATTCATTCACCCATCCATGCATCCATCATCCAGCCACCCACCCACCCATCCATTATCCATCCAGCCACCATTCATCCACTCATCCATCCATCCACCCATCACCCACCCATCCATCCATCATCCATCCACCCAGCCATCCGTCATACATTCATTCATCCATCCATCACCCATTCATCCATCCATCCACCCATCAATCCATCCACCCACCCATCCTTCATCCACCCAGCCATCCATCATACATTCTTCCATCTATTCATCCATCCACCCATCCATCCATCCAGCCAGCCAGCCATCCATACATCCACCCACCCACCCACCCATCATCCATCCATCCATCATCCATCCACCCAGCCATCCATCCACCCACCCATCCCTCATCCACCCAGCCATCCATCATACATTCATTCATCCATCCATCCATCCAGCCATCCATACATCCACCCACCCACCCACCCATCATCCATCCATCCACCCACCCACCCATCATCCATCCATTCACCCATCCATCCATCCACCCACCCATCCATCATACATTCATCCATCCATCCATTCACCCATCCATCCATCCACCCACCCATCCATCATCCACCCAGCCATCCATCCATCATACATTCATTCATCCATCCATCCATCCCTTCCATCCATTCACCCATCCATCCATCCACCCACCCATCCATCATCCATCCGTCCATCCACCCAGCCATCCATCCATTCACCCATCCATCCATCCACCCATCCATCCATCCACCCACCCATCCACCCATCCATCCATCATCCACCTACCCATCCATCATCCATCACCCACCCATCCATCCATTCACCCATCCATCCATTATCCATTCACCCAGCCATCCATCATACATTCATTCATCCTTCCATCCACCCATCACCCACCCATCCATCCATTTACCTATCCATCCATCCACCCCCCCATCCATCATCCATCCACCCACCCATCCCTTATCCATCCATTCATCCACCCAGCCGTCCATCCATCATACATTCATTCATCCATCCATCCATCCATCCATCCATCCATCACCCATTCACCCATCCATCCACTCATCATCCATCTGCGCCATCCCTTGGTGGTGAAGTGCAGTCTCCCTGTGGTTTGAGTGGGTCTCTCTGATGGCTGGTGAGGCGGAACCTCGTTTCTGCCTGTGCGTGCTGAGGCTGTTGGGCACAGCCATGCATTGTTTGCAGGTGTGTCTGGGGACTCCCTCCTCCAGAGTCCCAGGCCACCGAGCAGCACAGGCACCCGAAGCTGCCATGCTGAAATGGCAACGCAGAGAGACCTCTGGGCCCTACTCTTCCTCTCCTTGAGCCAGACACTCCGACCACAGAATCCAAGGGAGGAGATAAAGTGATTGGCATTGCTTAAGCCACTCAGCTGTGGGGTTCTTGTTAGAAGGCAGTAGGCGGCCGCAGCTGTGAGCCTGAAGGGGTCACTCCTCCACCTAGGGTGGGCACCCAAGCGAGGAGCTTTTGGGAAAACACCCGGCTCGGGGCCACCCTCCCTCTCTGCAGCCTCTTCCCTGCCCGGAGCCCTGAGCCTCTCAAGGGCAAGCTGGAAGGAGAGTGGCCGGTGGCAGGGAGGCAGAGCTGGCATTGGGATTTGCTGGGGCGGTAAGTGTGCAGGACGGGGGCCATTCACACAGCAGCAGAGGAGGTCACGTGGGCCAGAACCCAGGCGGAAATCGGTAGGTTTAATAACAACACACGAGGCCGAAACAGCGTCCCCAAGGGTTGCCCACGATGGCTTTGTTCTCGCCAGATGTGCACGCCCACAGCACGTGCGGTTTCCGAGGTGAATCAGCATTTCTGGAAACCTGGCAGGGATTGAAACCTGGGGATCCCGAGACACAGCTGAGTGTAGGGGTCGGGGAGGCGCTGGAGTGGCTGTGGAGGGCAGGATGTGGGGGCAGTCACTTTCTGGCCTGGGGGCTGAGCCTTCTGGGCTCTTCCCAGGTCAGAGCTGGTCTGGCGGCAGCGTCAGCGGGGCTGGACGAGGGTCCCCAGGAACGCTGCTGAGCCTCAGGCCCACGGGGCTTCCCAGCTGTGGCCTTTGGTTGGGCTGGACTGGAGGAGATGAACAAGCTGGGAGGAGGGGCTCTGCAGCCAGCCCTCTTGCTCGCCACTGAGGTCCTGAGCCTCAGTTTCCCCTGAGTGAAACGGGTTGGGAACAGCCTTCTCCATGGGCTTTCTGCAAGTCACAGTGAGGCCGGCCACACGTCCCAGCACAGTGAGCTTGTGGGGAGGGGGGCCCACTGGGGTCCTCTGGGGGCCGATGCTGAGACGGGGTCTAGGCCGGGATAACGGGATAGTCCATTGCTGGGCCAGGGCTGCTGAGCGTGGGTGGGGACTGCCGACTGCAGTACAGACCCAGACGGCAGGAGCCCGGCAAAGCCTGCCCTTCCGAGGAGCCTCACGTCGGAGGAGCTGCCTGGGCTGTGCTGGCGCCAGGCTTAGAAGCCGGGGCCCCAACTCCGATGGTGCCGGGGCTGAGGCTGTCCCTGGCTCTGGGGGTACATCCTTTCTTGATGCCAGGGAGCAGGATGCGGGGTTGGGAAGGAGTTGGGTTGTGGGCCAGGGACCCCGTGGGCCTTTCATGGGGCCAGCAGGGAGGGCGTCTGCTCCCACGGCGGGTGGTGGGATGGCTCCACGTGGTCACAGGGCCAGGAGCACCAGCACCGGCTGAGCCTTCTTAGAAATGCAGAGTCCCGGGTGCACCCTGCCTGCTGTGCCGCACCGGCTCCCTTTCTGGTGGGGTCCCGGCCCTCTGGCGGAGTGCACTGAGGGATCTGGGGGATAGGAGCCCCTGTGGTGGCCAGCACCCTGCCCCTCCCGGCTGGCCCTGGCGTCTGTGCACCGAGCTGGGGGCCACTGAGTCCTGGGTGTGACTCCCACGTGCCAGGGGCCCCTGGTCCTGGCCCCACCCCAAGGTGCTTTCTGGGGAAGGTGGGCCGTGTGGCAGGGGGAGACAGCGGGGAGGGTGGGCCACGTGGCAGGGGGAGAAGCAGGGAGGGCGGGCCACGTGGCAGGGGGGAGACAGCGGGGAGGGTGGGCCACGTGGCAGGGGGAGAAGCAGGGAGGGCGGGCCACGTGGCAGGGGGGAGACAGCGGGGAGGGTGGGCCACGTGGCAGGGGGGAGACCTCAGGGAGGGTGGGCTGCGTGGCAGGGGGAGACCTCGGGGAGGGTGGGCTGCGTGGCAGGGGGAGACAGCGGGGAGCCAGGGCCGGAGCCGGCCAGTGTTCTTTAGGGAACACAGCCCCTGCCCGTGGCAGGCACCCCAGGGCGGGGACGCTGAGGGGTCTCAGCTCCTCTGAGCAGCTCCCACCTGCCCCTCCTGGCTGCTGGCCTGAGTTCCTCCCTGAGCCTGGGCCACCGCCAGAATCACGTGTCCAGCACGGGCAGTGGCAGGTGAGACTGGCAGGTGGCCCCAAACCCCGGATGTCGGCCAGGACGTCTGCGGCATAACCTCTGTCCATCTGACACGGGGGCCCCTGAGGCTGCTGGCCCCCCACCTCCCATGGCACCTGGGTCCTGGTAGGAGAGCTGACCTGAGTGGGGCGTGGGCTTGAGGGGCATGGGTGGAAGGACCCTGGGTCTCATGAGGGCGCTCTCTCTGCACTCCCACCACGCCCCAAAAGAAGGGCAAAGGCAGAGGGGATCCTGTGAGTCTCTGCAGGGTGGACATGTTCCCTGGTGGGGAGGGCAGCTGGAGGTCTGATGCCCCTAGCCTGGACCAAGAACTCGCAGACTGGCCTGGTGGCTTCTGAGCACACACAACTGAGGTCAATTTTATGCTCTGGAATTGATTTCAAATTAAATTTTGTTTCTTTCGACCCAGTCAATACTTGGAACAAGTTCTAATCAGGAGAGCGATTCGGGGCTCACACCCTCCTTCTGTAGGCTGGGCTCAGGCCTCATTCTCAGTAAGGAACGTTGTGATGTCAGCCCTCTTCCTGCACTAGCAAAAGTGCCATTAATCAGCCTTTCTGACGGTTACAGGAATTCTTAATGATGCATTTATTTACACAGATTTCTCTGCTCTGGGTAAATTCTTTTCTCCCCGTGCCAGACCACAAAGTACATGGCAGTCGATAGCAGAATTATGAGAAACGCAATTTACTTTGCGGATCTAATGAGCAGATGAGTAGAAAGTCGCCAGCCCCAGCCTTGGCCGCCACACACATCCTGGCCCGCTCCTCCTGGGAAACGGGTCTGTACTGCCTGGTGCTGGGCGGGGGCGGCCTCGTCATCCTCCAGTCACATTTTTCCAAGCACACTGTGGTCGAGCCATGGCCCCAGCCCCTTTCTGTCCCCATCCCCCAATGTCCCCGGGGCAGGTCCCTTTAATACACAGGGGTGCCTTGGGCAGGCCCTGGCTGGGCCCTCTCCATCCTGGCAGACACTCCCAGGTTCTGTCCCGTGCTGGAGGTGAACACGCTTGTCACTGGCCAAAGAGTGAGCTGGAGACAGTTTGCACGGCAGGGGACCCTGTGGCCACAAATGAAGTCCCCCGGTGTGTGTGTGGAGAGGGGGGGAACAAGAGGACATTGGCTGCCCTGCAGCCCCATGAGGACGAGGACCATGCCCCGTCCAGCGGGAGGCTGGTGGACCCCGGGTTCCGATGACGCTGAGCCAGAGAGCCAACGCGACCACGTTTTGGGGAGGGAACCCCGGCACCTTGGGGCGTCAGCAAGGGGCATTGACTTTTGGCCACCTAAGGAGTACTGGACATCACACATGTGCACACCCATGAGACCAGCACACACAGGCAGGCACAGGTGCACTCACACCCTCCAACACCAGGCAGAACGCGCGTGCAGACACCGGTGTGGCCTCAGTTTCTGTCCCTGGGGCCCGTGGAGCTGTTGCCAGATCAGGCTGTGCAGTGCTGCGTGGGACCCACCGAGGAACTTGCCCAGCCGCGTGCATGGTAGCTACGATGTGGAGACGTTGACGGTTTCCATCTGCCTTGAATTGTGATGCTGCCGGTCAGGGAGCAGCTCTGGGGGACCAGGCCTGGCCACCTATGATGGTGTTGGTGGAGACGGCTTCCGACGAGGTCGGGTTCGTGCCTAGGCGTGTCCTGCACATTCGAGGCCACAGACGTGGGGATGTGTGGGGTGTCGGGGGTGGGGACCGGGAAGACCTGGCAGGGGGTGAGGGGGCACCAGGGACACTGGAAGCCCTTCCAAAGCATCCGAAAGTCCCCGAAGGGCCACATTTTTCAGCCGTTCTGGGCCTGTAGCCAAGAGGCCCCTGCCCTGCCCACTGTCACCTCCCCAGGGGGCCAGGCCAGGAGCTCGGAGCCACCCGGGCCCTCCCAGGTGCAGCCCTGGGAAGGCAGCCCCACTCCTCGGAAGCTGTGTTTGCTCATCTGCAAAGGGGCGAGTAGAGCAGGGCCCTCCCAGGGCCGATGGAGGCTCAGGCGCTTTCTTGGCCCTGTGGGGCTCAGAGCGAAGGTATCACGGGTGGGAGTGGAGGTTATTTTCCTACCCTTGCCCCATGCGGAAGTCCTGCTCTTACCGTCAGCCACCTGTACATGTCTCTGCGCCTCCTTCTCCACACACAGCCTGGCCTGGAGCCCGTGGGCCTCCTGTCTCCCTGCTGGGTGCTGAGCTCAGCAAGGGCAGGGGCCCTGCAGGGCACTGGCCGACCCTCTGTGCGGCTGCTGAGGAAAGAGGGAATTACACGACCATGCCCCTCCATCTCAGGCTTGCTCAGGGCCGGAGGCTGCTCCAGACGCCTGAGTGCAGCTTCATCTTACCCCACAAGCTTATGAGGCAGATGCTGAATCTTACAGAGGAGGAAACTGAGGCCCAGAGAGGCACAGCAGCTGGCCCAACGTGGCACAGCAGCACAGGCGGGGCAGGGTTGAGGCCGTTCCACCGTGGGCCCCAGTGGAGCTTCCCCTCTGGAGCCAGTGATCCCGCTCTGGGACTGGCCTCCATGCCACTCTCTTGGCCGGGGGGATTCGTGCATCAGACCTGGGGCAGACAGGCTGCTTGTCTGATTATTGCTCACTCGGTTAAGGTGACCCGGGGGGTTTCTCCGTCCTGGCGACACCTCCCTGTGCACTGGAAGGTGACCTGTGGGTGACACTTCTGGGTAGTCGAGTATCCCATCCCAGTCCACCTCCCACCCGGCGGCTGAGCACCCAGGAGGGCCTGACGTGGGTCTGTTGTTGAGTGGGGATTTTCCATGCTGCCCGTGAGCCCGGAGCCCACCGTTCCCGCTGCCCATGAGCCCGGAGCCCGCCATTCCCGCTGCCCGTGAGCCCGGAGCCCGCCATTCCCGCTGCCCGTGAGCCCGGAGCCCGCCGTTCCTCCGGGAAGCAGAACTCCCCTCCCCATCCCTTTTCTTAGACTCAAGGATTCTGTTGTAATTAGATATTTTTACTGTTTCTCTGCCCTTTTGAATGGTGCCAGGCCTGTCCCCTGTGTCCTTGAAATGCCCCCGTCACTGTCTGAGCAAGTCCTCAGGTCGGAGAGGTGGTCAGCCCAGACTCAGCCACTTCCCCAGCAGCCCTGGGCAGGGGTGGGGGACACCGTGTGCTTTCCTGGGTTCACGCTGGCTGCTGAGTGGAAGAGGCCGCAGGGGCGAGGGCGGCGGCCAGGACCGATGAGGAAGCAGCTGCAGGGACTCCAGCTCGAGCCCAGGGCGGCCTGGACCTGGGGGGCAGTGGGGGTCTGAGAAGTCAGGTCAGGCTGTGCATCAAAGGCAGAGCTGACGGAATTTGCTGCAGCAGCCACCATGGGTGGAAAGAGCCGCCAAGGCTGAACCCGACGCCCTGGTGTGATCACTTGTGGGGACAAAGTGGTCGCTAATGGGATGGGGGGCTTGGAGTGGACTCTGAGGCTGGGGAAAGGAGGGGTTTGGTTTTGCAGATGCTGGACCTGGGTGTCTCTGAGAGGTCCAGACGGAAAGGCACGTGGCGGGTGGATTTAGGAGGCTGCAGTTCATGGAGAGGTCCAGGCAGCAGCAGGTACCACTTGGAGATGACAGGTAACGGATGGTTTCTAAAGCCACAAACAGGGCGAGGCCCCGGGGAGAGGGCAGGCCTGGAGTCCCGCGAGGATCCGTGGTTAGAGGCGCCCTCCCACACCGCCCACAGGTCTGCAAGGTTTGCACGCCTCCGCTCTGCAAGGAAGCAGGTGCAGTTAGTTCCCTTGGCCTTTCCCAGCACAGGGAGACGGCGCGTGTGACCCGGTGATCTGTTGGGGAGGGGAGGGGAGGAGCAGGCAGCACGGGCGTTTGGGGGCTGCTGGGATGGATTTTGGGGTGATGGGAACTGAGGAACCAAAGGTGCTCCATGGTCTTTGGCTTGAGGGATGGGCGGGGTGGCATTCACTGGGAGGGGCACTGTGGGAAGAACAGGGTCTTCCTGTGGGGAGCAGCATGGACCTGTGAAGTCTGCAGGGCCCGTGTGGACCAGGCAGGTGTGCGGGGCGGCGAGGCCGGACCCAGGCAGGTGTGCGGGGCGGCGAGGCGGGGCTCCGACACCGGCTTTCTGGACACCCAGAAACAAGAGGCATCATGGAGAGACCCACAAGGGCTGGGGGAGGCCAGGCCCTCTCCAGGGGTCAGGCTGGGGATTTTGGTGTCTGCCAGGAGCGGCAGAGAGGAGGGGAGTTTTCGGGGTCCCCTAGGGGCTGTAGCGGGCTGGATGGTTCATGCTGCACTCAACCCCGGGACCCATTTTCCATGTGTCCCTCCGGCAATGGGAGGCCACTGGGAGGCTGCAGACACACACTTGGGTTTTCAGCGGCCTCTGCTGACTGGGACCCACTTCTGATGCCCTGAGCCCCCACTGCTGGCTGGGACCCACTTCTCACATCCTGAGCCCCCTCTGCTGACTGGGACCCACTTCTCACGTCCTGAGCCCCCAGTGTGGGTTGCCGCACAGCCCGGCCACCCCGGCCGAGGGCACGTGGCCACGTGGCGTTGGGGGCTGGGAGCCTCGGGACTCCGTGGAGAAGGGGCTCGGCTGGAGCCTCTCCTGCGGCCTGGGACGCCTGGGCTTTGCCTCTGCTGGTGCCGGGTGTCCACTGGGCCACCCCACCCTCTACTCCTGGATGCGCATGTCCACCCCAGGCCCACTGTCTTCAACAATCCAGAAACCTCCAGAACCTTCTGGAAAGACAGGCAGAGCAGCAGTGGAGCGGGCGTGAGGGTTTGCGCCCTGCTGTCCCGGCTTCTCCGAGCTTCTGGCATGTGGACCACCCTGCAGGCTGCTCACCCAGCACTCGGCCTTTGGGGACCTTTCTCCACTGCCAAACCAGGACACTCGCCAGAGGGGCCATGGGAGAGAAACAGGGCTCCGGGGGCTGCGGGGAGAGGCTGTCCTGGGAGAGATGGCGGCTTTCTCCTCCTTTTTGTTGCCTAGAATGTGAAAGTAAGGGCTGGGGCTGCAGCAGCCGCCGTGAGACCTCCAGGAAGGGAGAAAGGAAGTGAAGACACCTGGTTTTGATGTTGAACTAAAGCACCTGATTTACGGAAGGCACCGTTTTGTAGGGGTTTCTGTTTCTCACAGCTGAAGCTGACCCTTAGCCCATCCCCTCTGCCAAACAGGACGATAATTTGGGTTTTGTAAGAGGACTCACTAGGAAGTGGGTGTCTGGAACTTGGAGCCAGTGGAACTTGCTTCGTGATCTTAGCTTAGTTAGAATACAGCTCAGCTGTGGGCGTGTTTTCTGTTGAGCTGCTTTAGATAAGACGGTAGATCACCTGCCAAGTGAGGTGAGCGCATTGAAAAGCGTGAGCTGTTGGTTGAGGCAGGTCCACCCTCAACGATGTGGTCTCGGGAAGTGGGAAAACATGCTCCCGATTCATCTCAGAACACAAGGAAACGCCTCGGACGGCAAAATAAACCCTGGTAGCCGGGCTGCTCTGGGAGGTGAGGAGGGCTGGGCTGGGCTGTGAGGGCCCTGTGGTGGAACTGAGGCAAAGCGGGGGGGTGCTGCAGGGCTGGCCGAGCTCAGGAGGAGAGGGGGGCCCCCAGGTCCCTGCCCACCTCGGCGAGGAGCGGACAGGGCGGCTGTCAGCTTCCCAGCGGCTTTCAGGGCTAACTGCTGAGCCACTGCCGGGCGACCCCCACCCCCACCACAGGCCTTGTGGGAGGTGTTGTGCCCTGGGGCTGCCGTGCAGAGGAATGTGTTCCCTCCACACCAGAGGCCTGAAGCCTGGAGCTGGGGTGTGGGAGGTCCTGGTCTCCCTGGGGCTCCAGGGCAGGGTACATCCCAGGCCTCTCTGGGGTGCCCCGTTTTGGTACCTCGTGTCCCGTGGCTGCGTCCCTCCTGCTCTGGCCTGTGTGTCTCTGTCTCCCCTCCTCTCCTTACCAGGACCCCACCCTAAATCAGGGTGGTCTCTTCCCAAGCCCCTCAGCTAGCGGATGTGATCCTGGTGTGCGTGGGTCATGGGGGCCTCTTTTTAACCCGCGGGACTGTGGCATCTGGACGTGGCTCTTGTGGAGGGGCTGAGTTCTGAGAGTCCCCAGAGCTGAGCCTGCTGAGGGCTGCGCAGGGCCGTGCTCCCTGGCCTGGGTTTCTGGGGCTCTGATAGGGCACCCCCAGTGCCAGCCCCACACGGGAGGAGGAGGCAGTGTTGGGCCCGCCCCTGCCCCCCCACCCCCCAGGGCTGCCGGGTCCCACTGAGGGGATCCCACCCAGGCTTCGGACCCCGCAGCTCAGCTCCCTGCTCAGCCCCCAGCTCAGCACCACCGTCAGGGCTGAGACTTGCTGTCCACCTGCCCCACGTGGGTCCTGGGCGGAGCCGCTGCTCTGGGGAGCCTGGCCTGGCCGCCCGAGGTCTCCCCACACCCAGAGCCTGCTCACCTCGCCCTTGGCTGGCTCTGCCCACTCCCAGCCAGAGGGAGCCTCAGCCCAGAGCCTTCCAGCAGCTCCCACCCCCTCAGAGCCAGAGCCAAAGCCCTCACCTTGGCCCTGGCTGCACCCCTGAGGCCCCGTTTGCTCCGGGAACACCCCGGCATTTGCCTCCGCAGGGCGGCCCTCTCTGCCTGGAGGCTCTTCCCCGACGCCACGGGCGCTGGCTGCCCTTCCTGGGGCCTTGCTCCCACACCTCCTACCCCGCCGCCGAGCCGTCAAACGGCCCCAACCCAGGCTCCCGGCCCGGCTGGTCCCCTGTTCCTGCTGCAATACAATAGTAGCTGGAAGCTGTTTGGTGGCTTCAACAACCCATTGATCCTCTCGGCTCCGTGGGCCAGAAAATGCAGTGCGGAGGCAGCCACGGTCCTCCTGGAGGAGCTGCTCCTGCTTTCCCAGCGTCCGGAGGCCGCACTCCTGGGCTGGGCCCTTCCCCTCCCTCCTGGCCTCCGCTTCTGTCACCACATGCCCTGTCCCCTCTGACACTGACTTCCTGTCCCGTGGGGGTGAATACATGCAGCCCCACCCTGTCACCCAGGCCGCCCTCCCGGCAGAGGGGAGGCGCATGGAATGGGGCTGCAGGGGTGAGGTCAGAGGCAGCTGCGGGGACCCTGATGATGCTCTGGAGATGGGGTGGCTGACAAGCAGGACTCTCTGAAACCAAGTCCAGGCGAAAGGAGCCGCCTCCTGGGAGCTCGAGGCCCGGGGTGTTAGCTTCTAGAAGCCGGGGGTGCTCTAGACCCCTGATTCTCAAAGTGGGGTCCCTGGAGCACAGCAGCCCCGGGGAGCCTGTTAGGAATGCTAGTTCTGGGGTCCTTCTGGCTCAGAAGCTCCAGGGGTGGGCCTGCAATCTGCGCTTTTGCAGGCTCTGGGGAGTGCTGGCTCCAAAGCACCCCATCGCGGCCCTCTCCCCCACATCGCTGGTCTGAGGACAGGGTCCCTCCTGCGGAGACTGAGGCTTGGTGGAGAATGTTCGCTCAGAGGCGTCGCTCTGCCCGGCGACTGGCTGCGGGCAGACATAAAACTTGCTCTTACTGTAAGGATGGATGATGTTTCCTAGAGCAGTTACAACTCATTTTCTGGGGATTGACAGGAAATTAAATTAGAGGGCAGTCACGAGGGGGAGGAGGCGGTGGGGAGTGACTGGAAGTGCCGTGGACTGTGCAGACGCAGCAGGGACAGCCTGGAGCTGAGACCGGCGGCTTTCAGCTTGTCACGGGCTGGGCGCAAGACTGATGGACTCACCTTTGAGTGGCACTGCAGGGTCGTGGGGTCTGTGCCCACTTCCCTGAGAGGAAAGGAGTGGGCTGATGGGTTGCTGGGCTCCGTGGGGAGGCTGCACGCCGGGTCTATTTCCAGAGCCCCTAGGCTCTAGGAGGAGGCGGCCATGCCCTGAGTCACAGGCAGGGGCCTGACGGGCCCAGGAGGGGCTGCACCCAGACCCCTTGCCTGGCTGGTGTCATGGGTGACCCACAGCCGACCACCTTGCTGCAAGGGTCCCTCAGCCAGGAAGAGACCCCTTGGCCCCATTCCACTCATCCCTGTAAAGAAGGGATATAGAAATAAGAAAAGAGAATATTTTCTTATTTCTTCTAAAATAAGAATGTTTTCTTATTTTTTCTAAAGTAAGAATGTTTTCTTACTTTTTCTAAAGAATGTTTTCTTACTTTAGAAAAACTATAGAATTTACAACTAATTACAACTTTATTAAAATGAATAACATAGTTATGATATATAATTACTATTTACAATTATAACTGAAAAAATGGTAGAATATTTTCTTATTACAGACAAAACAGAAAAGCAAAATTAAGGCATGAAAAAAGTCTTTGTAAACTCACTAGTGCTATTTAATCACTGTGGTATTTAGGTATGTTTATTTCAAACCTTTTTATATGCATATACAAGTACATATTTTATTTACTAGGTAGAATTATCGTTTATATACTTTAAAGGCAAAAATTACCTTTATTGAGGTATGATTTACGTACAATAAAATGTGCATTTAAAAAAGTATTTTTTCTGCCGGGCACAGTGGCTCGCGCCTGTAATCCCAGCTCTTTGGGAGGCCAAAGTGGGAGGAGTGTTTGAGGCTGGGAGCTCGAGACCAGGCTGGGCAACATGGCAACAAAAAAAATTAAAAACTTAGCTGGGTATGGCGGTGTGCACCTGTAGTCCCAGTGACCGGGGAGGGTGTGACGGGAGGGTGGGGAGCCCGGGAGTTTGAGGCTGTACTGAGCTCAGAACCCGCCCCCCCCACCCCCTGCACTCCAGCCTGGGCGACAGAATGAGACCCCTGAAAAGTGTTGGTTTCTGACTTTTTTCGTTTTTGAAATCGTTTCCGGCTGGCCCAAGTCGAAAAATAATGCAGATGTCTCCAGCTGTCCCTGAGAACACTTCCTGTTCCTTGATCTGTGGCTTGTGATTCTCCCCCCGCCCCCACTCCCCTTACATGGGGCTGTGGCTGCCCCCAGCCTTTCCCTTTCGTGACCTCAGGATTGTATGACTGCAGGTTGGGCTGTCCCTTGGGATTCAGGGCCTCAAATGTACCTGCTGACCAGTTGAAGAGTGCTGACCAGCTGTCCTGCTGAACACCTCTCAATCTGGATTTTTGACATTTCCCTGTGATTAAATTCAGGGAATCCAGCTTTGGTGACAGAGCCACTGAAGCAAGGCTGTTCCCTGCTTGGAGACGCACCCACTTTACACGTGTAGGGTGGCGAGTCTGACAAACGCAGCCACAGGCAGCCCCCACCGGGGGAGCCGGACGTTTCCATCCACCCAGACAGCAGCGTTCACGCCCAGGACCATGTGGGCCTGCGCCCCGGGCCGCACCTGCCTCTCCTGCATTCCGTGTCTGGCATCTTGTGTCGTTGCCACCCTGCGTGCCATGTCTGGCTTCTCTCTCTCAGCGAGTGTCCTCCGTGTCTCCGAGTCGCGCCCGTTCTGTTGTGCGTAAATGCCGTTCTCAGAGCTGTTGTTTGTTTAGGGATGTATCATGTTTTCAGCTTAACATTTGTGCCATTCGTGTGCCCTGGCGAGCCCCGCCCCCTCCAAGTTACTGGCGTGCTGTGGGCGTTCTCGGGTTTCTACTCTTCCTGCTGTCGCCAGCGCAGCCGAAGCACCAAGCAGGAAGCTCTGCCGAGTTCTTGGCTTCAGGTAACGTGTCAGACCCAGGGCATGAGCTCCAGTCCCTCTTGCCTCCACAAAGGACAGCACATTTCCAGTTCAGGGTGCTGTGGCCGACACCGTGCGTGTGGCTGGGGCCAGTGTCACCGCGAATCTCGGCTGCTCCACGCCCTTGCTGTGGGCTTGGGGCCAGTGCTTTACCTCTCTGGCCTCAGTTTCCTTATCTGTTAACAGGGTTGGTGTGAGAATGAATGAGAAGGCATGCACAAAGCGGGGCACAGCCTGCCCCAAAGCAAGGTCCCGATCCAAGTAGCTGCCGTTATTGCTAATAGTGGTCCCAGCGGAGCCACAGTTGCTGAACGGTCCTGCAGAGATGTCCCCTTGGGTACAGGGCCCCCAGGGAGGAGCTGGGGACAGAAGGCAAAGCAGCTGGATCCACCCATGCCTGCAGCTTGCTCTTTGCTTAACTGGTTGTTAGAGTTGTCTGTGCAATGGCTGATGGGGATGCTGACAGCTCAGGAAAGGGTAGGGAGAAGGAAGCTCTGTCCATGGTGGGCGGCCTCCGTGGCTTTGGTGGGCAAAGGTTGTGTTTCTGCAGAGCCATGTCTATGTGAGCTGGGGGCCTGGCCAGGCTCTTCAGGACTGGCTGGAACCCCTGGCACAGGCAGGGCCTGGGAGTGGGGCTGGCAGGGCAGGCCCTTCCTTCTCTGTCACCCACCACCTGCTGTAGGGAATGGGTGAGAGTTCAAGCCCCTGGCGGGGTTGCCTGGAGGTCGATGGAAGGAGGAGCTGCTCCTCGTCAAGGCTGCCCCAGCTCGAGTCCTTCCTTGAGATTAGGGCTGCAAACATACGCACACGTGCGTGCACACATACACACATCCATGCACACACGTTCATGTACACATCCATGCAGGCACACAATCCATGCACACGTGCACACATCCGTGCACACTCACATCTATACACACATGCACACACATCCATGCACAAGCACTTCCATGCACAAACACATCCATGCATGCACATACACACACACACATCCATGCACACGCACTTCCATGCACAAACACATCCATGCATGCACACACATGCGCACAGACATCTATGCATACACACACATATCCATGCACACATACCCCTCTTGCTCTCTTGGACATGTGAGGGCACGGTGAGAAGGTGGCTGTCTACGAGCCAGGAAACAGGCCCTCCTAGGGCTGGGGAGCTCGTGTCTCATGGGGACAAAGCCTGAGTTTGGAAGATGACAGGTTCTGGGGGTGGGGGTGGGGATTTCGGCTGCACAGAGGCCTGACTGCTCTTAATCCTGCTAAAGTGCACTGAAAAATGTGACGATGGTGAGTTTTCTGTTATTAAATGAAATGATATATGTATGATTGTATGTATTCAATATCTGCATAAAATGCATATTACGTGTATTATAATACATATAATTTTACACAATTAAAAAATGAAAATAGAAACGAAGCCAGCGCAGCTGCTGAAACAGAGAAGGACTTAGCAGACTTGCAGCTCCGCGTGTCTCCGTCACGGCCACTGCGGGAAGCCTCCTCACTGCTGGGAGGGCCTGTGGGTCTCGGGGTGTACACTCGTTCCGGCCCACGGGTGCCCCTGCATTCTGTGGGGCTTTGGGGGTGTCTGTGTGGGGTGCACGTGGACACCACGGCCCTGAAAGGTCTCGTGTTGGGCACTTCCAGGTTTGCAGGGAGTGTGGGCTCCAGGGAGGGCAGGTGTCGGCCCCGAGGGGAGAGCTGGGGTAGGGACCTGCCCCATCCCCGACGGCCACGCCGAGTTCTCATGTTTTACACCATCTTTGTCCTTGAGCCTTTTACACACTCAGCAACATGCAACAACCCCCTGACACACCTAACACACACTCCCATCGCCAGTGCACACATAGCACACATGTTTGCACACTCACCCTGCACAACTAATATGGCACACTCACCCAGCGCACGCTCACACCCAGCACAGGCTCAGCACATGCTCACACCCCACACAACACACACAGCACACACACAATGCACGCTCACACCCAGCACAGGCTCAGCACAGGCTCACACCCCACACAACACACAGCACACACACACACCTCAGTACACACATCCTGCACAACTCACACCGCACACACACATGCTCAGCGCACGTTCACACCCCACACAACTCACACAGCACACACACGCACAGTACACACACCCAACACAACTCAAACCACACACACACTCAGTACACACACCCAACACAACTCACACAGCACACACACACACACTCGGTACACACACCCAGCACGCACACATAGTACACACACCCAGCACAACTCACACTCAGTACACACACCCAGCACATGTACCCACCCAGCACACGTTCACTCGCACCCTGCACAGCCCAGCGCGCACACACCCAGCAGACAGCACATGCTCTCACATGCTGGCATCAGCCGTCAGCCTCAGCTGCTGGAGGGTGTGGTGGAGGCGGGCGGTGAGCGCTGGGTGCTGGGGTCCACGTCCTTCCAAGCCCCTGCATAGCGGCCGCCTTGGCTGGCGATGACTGGAGGGGGTGAGGGGTGAGGCCACCAGCACAGGTGTGTCCCTTCACTGTTTCCACCTCGTGTGCCCGCCACGCTGTCTTCCTGCCGCTGGTGAAGTCTGTCTCCCCCCCCCCCCCCCCCGAGTGATGGGGCGCCTCCGACTGCCCGGCCACGGTGCCTGCACCTCCGCTCCTCCTCTCCCTGCACCCTCCAGGCCTGGGGGCCCCGGGGCTGACCTTGACCTTCCCACCCGCCCAGGTGTGGCCGGGACAGCACCGCAGTTGTGGCGCCCCTGGGTGGGCAGGAGGGCTGGAGAGTGTGTGGTGTGTGAGCCTCGTGTGGCTGCGTGGCGTGTGTGATGTGTTTCATGGGTGGTGTATTGTGTATGTGTGTGTTGCGTGTGTGGCGTGTGTGGCATGTGTGGCATGGTTGAACGTGTGCTGGTGGAGGCAGCCGTGGCCACTGACCATCTGCCCCTGGGCGGCAGGAGGGGGAAAGCCTTGACTCTGAGCACTCCCAGGTGCACAGGTTCCGCAGGGTCCATGCGGGTGGGAAGTCGGTTTCTCTGCTCTCCACAGTTGAGTATTCCTGGAGAAGATGGCAATGGCCCAGGGTGTTGGTGGGAGAGGGGCTCACGATGGGAAATTCTGGGGAAGGAGCTAAGGGCGGCGCGGGTGCACAGTATGCCCTCGATAAGTGCCTGGGGAATGAATGTGTGGAGTCGCGTATCTGTCCTCGGGTGAACGGTGCGTGGGGCCGCGTGGCTGTCCTCGGGTGAATGGTGCGTGGAACTGTGTGTCTGTCCTCAGATGAACAGGAGTGGGGCCGGACGTCCCTGTGTCCCCCTGGTGTTCCTCTCCTTCTCTCACTCTCTGTGGCTGTTTCTCCTCTCTCTGGGTTCCCTGAGAGCCCAGCCTCTTGGATCTGCCTCTCCCAGGCACTGCTCCCTTTCAGCTGGCAAACAGTCCAAACCTCCCATCCTAACAACAACAGAAAATGTCCCCCCAGGCCTCGCTCTTCCTCCAAACACGAAACCATCCCCCTTTATGTTACTTAGGAGTCATTGGGTTGCTAGTGACAGAAAAACAAACCAAAACTGATTCAGGCAATCGGGAGTGTGTTGACTCCTATTGGTAACTGCCTTCAGGTGTGGCTTGATCCAGGGCTCAAATGGCCACCTCTGCTTTCTCTGGTTTGGCTCCATGTTCGGGCCTGTGCGGTAGCCCCTGGTGGCTTCAAGCTCTTGTCACCACAACTTCCAGCCTCTGGGAGTCTTTCCCATCCCACGAGTGTCCCAAGAGTCATTCTGGTCAGAATATTCTTGGTTGGAGCTCCTCACCGAGCCAGTGTGGGGGCTGAGCATGAGTGTCAGATGGTGCCACTTTCTCCTTTCCAGCCAGACGCCTTTTCTTTTCTTTCCTGGCATGATGGCACCGGTGATGAGAGCTCCAGTGCTGGGCTGAGAGAGCATGGTGACACACTCACCCTGGCTGTGCTCCTCTATTGGGGAAAGCGGTCTTCTCTCACTGTTGAGTAAGATACCAGCTGTGGGTATTTTTGTCAATGCTCCTTACTGAGCTGGGGGAACAGAGCTCCTCTCTGTTCCTTCTGAGAGTTTTGGTCATGAATCCATGTTGAATTTTATCACGCTTTTTTTCTGTGAGATTGTGTGATTTTTTTTCTTAAGCCTGTTAGAATTGTGGATTATATTGACAGATTTAAAAATAATTGAACCAGACTTGTGTCCCCGGGTTAACCTTCTCTTGTACGTGGCATATGATTCTTTTCATATATTGCAGAATTTGCTAACATTTTGTTAAGGATTTTTCCATCTATATTCATAAGAGATATTGGTCTGATTTTCTTTTTTGGTACGATTTTTATCTAGTTTTGGTATCTGGGTACTGTTAATCCATAAAATGAACTAGAAAATGTTCTCTACTTTTCTATTTGCTGGAAGAGCTGCATAGAATTGGGGTAAATGTTTATTTAAATGTGTGGTAAAATTTGCCAAACAATCTGGGCTTGGAGATTCCTTTATTAGGAGTTTTATAATTATATATTACATTTCCTTCATAGTTACGGGGTAGTCACACTGTCTGGTTCATGCTGGGTAGGTTGTGGTCTGCTGTGTTTTCTTAGGAATTGGTCTATTTCAACTGGGTTGTCAAATATTTCCTTATTCCTTTTTTTTTTTTTTTTTTAAATAGGGTCTCACTCTGTCACCCAGGCTAGAGTGCAGTGCTGCAATCATAGCTCACTGCAGCCTCAATCTCCTGGGCTTACGTGATCCTCCCACCTCAGCCTCCAAAGTAGCTGAGACTACAGGCAGGTACCACCTGGCTAATTTTAAAACTTTTTTTGGTACAAAAAGGGTGTCATTATGTTGCCCAGGCTGGTCTCAAACTCCTGGACTGAAGTGATCCTCCCAGAGTGTTGGGATCATAGGCGTGAGCCACTGTGCCCAGCTGCCCTTGTTCTTTTCACGTTTATATCAGAGTGCTGGGATCACAGGCGTGAGCCCCCGTGTCCAGCTGCCCTTGTTCTTTTCATGTTTATATCTATGGGGTTGGTGTGTGTCTCCTTCCTTCCTGATACTTGTGATTTGTGTCTTTTTTTGGTCATTTTTGCTAGAGGTTCACCCATTTACATATGTTTAAAGAAACCAGCTCTTTGACTTTCTGTATTGTTCCTCTGCTTTGCTTTCCATGATTTCTGTCATTTTTTCTTTCCTTCTGTCATTTTTTCTTTCCTTCTGTCTGCTTGCATTGGGTTGATTTTGCTCCTCTTTCATAGTTTCTTGAGGTGGGAGCTTTGATGATTGAATTGATTAGGCTAGTGCTGGAGCTTTTTAATTTTTATTTTTTGATCCTTGTTTCTGGATTACCAGCTTCTTCAAGTCCAAGCATGGGATCGATGAAGCAAGAAGAAAATCCAAGGCCTTCACCACCACATCATCCTTTGGGTCCTGAGGTCCCTAGCCAGCCTGCTTCTCTCCACCCTGCAGGGTCCTAAGTTTTCTCATATAGAGTTTTATGCCATGCTTAGTGAGATGAATAGAGAAAAATACCTCTGCTCTATCTTCCCAGGAGCAGAAGACCCATCCCACTGACTTTTTTTTTTTTTAAACAGAGTCTTGCTCTGTTGCCCAGGCTGGAGCGCAGTGGCGCGATCTCGGCTCACTGCAAGCTCCGCCTCCCGGGTTCACGCCATTCTCCTGCCTCAGCCTCCCGAGTAGCTGGGACTACAGGCATCGGCCACCATGCCCGGCTAATTTTTTGTATTTTTAGTAGAGACGGGGTTTCACCGTGTTAGCCAGGATGGTCTTGATCTCCCGACTTCGTGATCCACCTGCCTCAGCCTCCCAAAGTGCTGGGATTACAGGCTTGAGCCACCATACCTGGCACCCATTGACTTTTGACATCAAGCATTGGCGTGATGCCTGGGGCTGACTTCCCTCTTGTCAGGGTCTGGCTGTATTTATTCCACCTGGATCATGTGCCAATATAAAATTCTGTGTCATCTTTTCCTGAAACACAGTCTATTTCAATGTACGGATTAATCCTTCTTTCATGTCAGGTGAATTTTCTTGTGTGATAGCTTTAAGCAGCTCTCCCGTTTTACTTTTGAGGTTTTCCTTCTTAGAGGCACCTCTTCTCCCTGTGCGGACTTATCTTTGTGTGTATTCCAAATAATTCATTATCGTTTTTTCTGTTGCTTTACCCTATGTATTAAAACATTTTTGGCCGGGTGTTGTGGCTCATGCCTGTAATCCTAGCACTTTGGGAGGCTGAGGCAGGTGGATTGGTCAAGCCCAGGAGTTTGAGACCAGCCCAGGCAACACAGTGAGACCCAATCTCTCCAAAAAAACATGAGCCCAGCTTGGTGGCGTGCACCTGTGGTCCCAGCTACCTGGGAGGCTGAGGCGGGAGGATCACCTGAGCCCAGGAGGTCAAGGGTGCAGGGAGCTGAGAACGTGCCCTACATTCCAGCCTGGGTGACACAGCAAGACCTGGTGTCAAAAACTAAAAACCATCTCGAATCGGCGCCCCCGCCACAAGCATTTTTTCTCGTCGGCAGCTCAGTTTTCAGCTGTGCTTAGTCTGGTTTCCGCTCCTCTGGGTTTTCTCGTTTCATCTTGGTGTTTTTTGGGTGTTCTTTCGTTTATTCAACGCTGTGATCGGTTGTTTTCATCTCATTCTTCAGTTTTGTCACCTAAACCCCGTGGTCTTCTGTTACAAGTTTGCCAGCTTCGATCTTCTGAAGTGAGAGGTGCCTGCGCAGTGCTCTTCCATTCCTGGGGCTGTTTTCTTCCGGAATGGCTCTCTGTCTTGTGGCAACCTCTGCTTCCTCTCTTTTCTTTCCCTTTCTTTTCTCTCTCCCTCCGCCCCTCCCTTTCTTCCTTCCTTTTCTTTTTCTTTCTTCTTTCCTTCCTCCCTCCCTCCCTCCTTTTCTTACACATCTGAAGAGCTGCTGTGTTATTTTGTTTCATTTGAATATGTAGCAAGTCCCCATGTCTTCACTGGGTCAGAACCAGTAAAATTTCCCTGTTCCCTTCGCGGCTCCTGACCTCCCTCTGAGCCACGGTCGGAGTCGGTGGGAGGGAGGGAGGGAGGGCTGCGGTCAGCTGAGCCCTGGCGTCGACTTTGCTGCTGAGACAGGACCTCTTGCTTCCTGCAGCCCCCAAAGCCAGACAGAGAGAAGCGTGAGCACTGCCCAGGAGGCCGCTTTCATTTCTGTGGGGACATCGGGACCACCCACCGGACACCCCCAGGAAGGCCACGTTCTGAGGTTAGAAAGGGAAAAAATCAGATCTCACTGAACTATGCCCGTTAAGGGGGAAATGATCCCAGTTTTGAAATCCATCTTCAAAGCCCTGTAAGCGTGGCCCGGCGACGTTGTGCTCTGATGGGGAGCGTGTGCAGGGCACAGGCCGGGCAGCCAGCACTTCGCCGCCCAGGAAATACCAGCCGGTCAACTTGGGTTAGTGCAGATAAGCCATTTAATTTAATTTTAAAATGACTGTGGGGCACAGGAAAGAACAAGAAGAAACCACAAACAAGGCTCCCATCTTCTTTGTCCCCGAGCAGGTAACTGTGCAACTTATCAAGATTGTCAGTTTAATTAACTTTGGCCGCCAGAGGAGGCCATTCTTATCTACAGGACAAGCACCGCGGCTGTACCAGCCTCTGAGTTCCGACTCGGGTCCTGCAGGTGTGGCTTCCTGGCGCACGCGGGCTCTCTGAGCTCAGGGAGGCTCCGAGCCTGCCTCCAGGACGCAGCCTTTGTCACTCTGTCTTACTCCACCTCCATCTCAGACCCCCGAGCTACCGGGCCAGGCTGCCTTCTGCATCCGTGGAGCCCCAGTGCCCGTGAGGGTGTCCAGGCCTCACCCTGTGGGGCCGTGCATGAATCCAGGCATGGAGGAAGTGTAGCTGGGCTTCTCTAAGCTGAGACAAGTAAAGATGAAGAGGCCCCCAGGTACCCAATTCCTATAGGTGTGAGGCCAGGGCACCAGACAAAGGCGTGAGCTGCAAGTATGGGCGTCTCCTATGGAAAAAGTGGCTCACACCAGAGCCTGGGCCCCGGAGGGAGGAGCCACGCGCCTGGGAGACCACACAGCCGGGAGCAGGACCAGTGTGGCCCGGGGACACTCCCCAAGCCGGGACTCGGCGACAGGCCCGGGGGCCTCAGGATGTCGACGGGCCTCGTGTTGCCCTCGCTGCGGCCGTCCTGGCTGTCCTGGCCTATGTCGGGCTTGAGTGGGGTGGCAGGTTCCGAGATGAGGAGGAACCGCACTGAGAAGCCTCCTCTGCATCCGAACCCGCCACCGGTCACAGGAACACGGACTCTGATTGGTGGGTTTATTTTTTTGAGCTGCCCATCATGAGCCGCCCTCTGCTGAGCTTTGATCTCGATGCCTTAATCAGATGGGGCTCTGGTGGTCTAGGGAGGGGAGAATGCGGTTTTATGAGAGGGGAAGGGACTCGCTGGGGCAGAGGGCGGGCTGCCGGATTCACCAAACCCGGGGCCCGGGCAATTCTCCCTGTGTCCATGCACTGGTGGGACTGTGACTGGGCGGCACCTCCCCTCCCGGGATGGGTCTGTGTCCCTAGGCCCTGGGTCTCGGTGGCCTTTGATTTGCCGTGGTTGGTAGAACATGGTGGAAGGGGTGTGGGGCCTTGCAACGCCTCTCCACTGGGCTGTGGCTCTCCCACGCCCACCGCAGAAGGAACCGGCCTGACCTACAGGAAGGTGAGGGTGGTGTGCGGAATTTCTCCACAGGAGCCCTGGAACGTGAGGACGTGCGCCGTCCTCAGTTAAACTCAAAAGGGGGGTCATCGGGGTGGCCTCGCCTGCTCACTAGCCCCTCAGAGCCAGGAGAACTGGCCATGCTGTTTCCGGTTGGAAGATGGGAAGGGCCCTTGAGAGGAAGATGCCGGCAGCCTTCAGGAGCCGAGAGGGGACCCGGCTGACAACCTGCAAGGAGGCCGGGACCTCAGCCCTGCCGCTGCAGGCCCCCAGAGCTGCCAGGCCCCCCCGCGAGCCTGCAGGCGGGTTCTTCCCCAGAGCCTGCAGAACGGCACCTGCCCTGCTGGCACCTGGACTCCAGGCTGTGAGCCCTGAGTGGCAAATCCACCCACACCGTGGCTGAGTCCTGGCCATGGAAGCTGCCAGGGGATGAACTGGCGTTGCTCTGAACCGCTAGATACGGGGCTCATCAGAAACAGAAAACTGAGGCAGGAGGCCGTGCGGAGGACAGCCCAGGCCGCAGCGACGGCCAGCCCCACCCGCCAGCTGCCAGGAGCCGTCTGCTGCCCGGCCTGGCCAGCCCTGCTGGTGACCATGGCGGCCCATGAGCCAGCCCAGGGAGCCCCCATGGACCCAGAGAATTGTGAGGACCAGGAGCCCAGCGCTGCTTTAACCTGCTGCGTTTCGGGTGGTTTAGTTCCCGTGTTGTGCGTGGACGCATCGTGGCACGGGGGATTCTGCCCAGCAACTGCTCTGTGTTCTGAGACACTAAAGGCCAGTGCAGCGTTAGAGTCAGGCTGGAGGTGGGGGCAGGGGTGAGGAAGAGGGGACGAGAAGTTGGGGGAGGGAGAGGAGCAGGAGCAGGAGGGAGGGTGGGGCTGCTCTCTGGGCAGCCAGGCTCAATACACAGAGAAGCTTCCCTCAGTGGCTAAACCGGGCCAGGAGATGCTGGTTCCGGGGAATGAGCCCACTGCTCTGCCCTCTTCCCGTCCCGGCTCCGCCACCTCCCCAGCTCTGTCCTGATTTCACACAAACCCATCATTCCATTTCACTCCAGAGATGAAATCGGTTCTGCAGCTCACCCTATCCCCATCTTGAGCACCGCCTGAGGGCGCAGGTGGGGTCCCTCCCTGCCCAGCGGGGGATGGGGTGGGCGTGGGGGGGCGCGCACCTGGAGCTGCGCTTCCCTCTGGCGGCCTCCCTGCCCGGTGAGGGGCTGTGCCTCCGGGGTCTGTCTCCCGGCATTTTTCATATTCCACGGGGTTCTGTCATCCTGACTGTGAAGGGCACACGGAGCCGGGTCCTGGCCCATTTGACCGGCTCGGCTCACCCCTGCGCTGCCTGTTCGCCTGTGTCCGTCTGTCCGTCCATCTGTCTGCTGGCCACAGCTCTTCCACCCTCGGGGAGGTGTTCTTCCCCCTCTGCTGAGCCTGCATGAAGACGCGTGCGCTCAGGCCGGCGTCTGCAGTGTAGACACAGCTGCCTAGGCTCACTTGTGGTGTGGACGCTGTGCTGTGCCGGTGTTGCGCTGTGTCCGGTGCAGGCGCCGTCCTCTGGCTTCTCTGGGGTGTGTGCAGCGTCGACGCTGTCCCGGCGGGGCTCGGAGGGAACCGCCCGGCGTAGTGTGAGGGGCGGGGCCGCTCCTGCGGAGTCCACGGAGCTCGGCCGGCCGCGGGGGCCTCTTCGCCGAGGGAGTCGGGGCGGGGCCCGTCTTTCCGGGGACGGAGCACGGAGGAGACGCAGCGACGGAGGAGTCGAGGGCGGGGCCTGGGGCGGCCCTTCGCCCTTTTAAGTCACTGCGCGCGGGTCCCAGGCGGCGCCCGTCTCGGGGGCAGGTCCGCGGGGTGTGACGAATGTTCCCGCGGCGTCTCCCCGCCCTCCCCGGCGCCTCCCCCGGCCTCGGGCAGCCGCTTTCTGCACGGCACCTCCGAAGCCGCTGGGCGTCTGTAACCAACCTGCACGTTGTGCGCATGTGCCCCAGAAATTAAAGTAGAATAAACAACAACAAAACCAAAAGACCTTTTTACTTTGACGCAGTTTTAGATTCCCAGGACGTTGCACAGAAAATCCGGACGGATCCTGTGCCCTCCGCCCAGCTCCCGGGGTCACAGGCAGCCTCGGCTCCGACCCCGCCGGGCGCGCGGTGACCGGCTGTGCGGGTTCCAGGGGCGGATGTGCGCTTTGCCCGGCCCCTCTCCCGCCGCGCGGCCGCTCCTCCTCTCCGCCAAGGGCCGGTTCAGGCACAGGCCCCGCCGAGGCTGCCCCTGACTTGAGGGCTCACGCACCGGGCTGCTTGCGGCTCTGGACTATTGTGAATAAGGCCGGTGTGAGTATTTTACTGTAAGTCTTTGGGGACGTGTCTTCATGCCCCTTGGGTGAATCCAGGTGTGAGATTGCCGGGCCGGGGTGCTGTGAGTTACCTTTGGTTATAGGGAGGTGGTGACCCATGGTGGCTCCAAGTGCCCGTGGCCTTTCGTGACCCCGCCAGCAGCGGGTGGGCCTTTGGGGCGCTCCGAGGCTCGCCCGTGCTGCCCGTGGGTGCTTCAGCCAGTCCGGCCGCCGTGGCTTTCCTCTGCAGCCCCCGGTGCCTGCTGGCGTCGTGCCTTTCCGTGTGCTCGTTGGCCACGCACATGTCGAGGGGCCGTTCTGACGATGGACTGAGGGGCTCGGGGATAGCACGTGTCCAGCGGGGCAGGTCAGCCTTTCTCTTCTCCCCACAGACCTCAGCACAGCTCTGCACCTCGGAGGACTCGGGGAAGTTTCTGGGCCTATTTGGGCAATAGGAGAAGGTCATGGGCTGTCTTTCCAAAATTCACGTCCACCCAGAACCCCCGAATGAGACCTATTTAAAGAGAAGGCCTTAGCTGATGGAACATTAAGATGAGGCCACCCTGGAGCAGGGTGGGCCCTGAATCCGAGGCTGCTGTCCCTGCAAGGTGACGAGAGGGTGCAGGCGTGGAGGAGACACATGGGGGTGGGGTGAGGAACAGGCCACCGGCAGCAGAGACGGGTCAGGCCCAGCGAGGGAGGAGGTGGGAGGAGCCCCGGAGCCCTCGGAGGAAGCCGGGCTGGCACCTGGGCCTTGGACTCTGGGACTGTGAGGGAATCAATTCTGCCATCTGAAGCCACCTGCTGTGGTCCTGTGTTACAGCAGCGCTGGGCACAAACATGGGAGGGCCTCGTGATTGGGACTGGGGCATTCACAGGCCCGGCAGGCTGGTGAGCCGGTGCCTGGCAGGTGGGGAGGACATGGTGTGAGAGGCGGCCTGCGGGCCGGCCAGTGAGCTCCAGCACGGGGACTGGTCACCAGCCAGTGAGCTCCAGCACGGGGACTGGTCACCGGACAGCAGTGTCAGCGTGGACGGTGATCCCTCTAGAAGCCCTCCTTGTGTCTCGGGCCGGAAGCTAGGCACTGCACGCGCTCGGGAATGGGCCGCTGCTGTGAGGGAGAGCGCCCGCTGTGCAGTGGGTGTCAAATGAATATTAATAAACAAAAGAGCCAATTATCCTTCGTTGCAGACAAGTTTCTTTGCAGAAAATTTAGGAAATACAAGAAGCAAATAAAAAAATCAAAACCACCCAGGAATATAACAGTTATGATGTGCTTTTTTCCTAATCTTCAAAGCAAAGCTTTGGAGCCTGTATTATTTCTTGTTTGAATTAAATGCAGTTCAGAAGGAGAAAGTAATTTCCCCAAAGCTGCCCAGTGAGGAGAGGGCGCCCAGGTGTGTCTGCTGCTGCCCCTCTCTGCAGACCCCAGAGCTGTCCCTGCAGCCCTCTCAGAGGGGGCCCCCGCCCTGGAGTCTGCCCTTCACCTTCCCCTTGCTTCGACCAGAGCTAAACTTGCCTGTGATGACGAGGGAGTGTTTGGGAGACCCCCACGCTCTGTGTGGTTGGGCCCCTGGTCAACACCAGCCCGGCCTGCACCCCTGCTGGGGCCCTTCGAGGCTGCCCCGCTCCTGGGGACAGGCCCCCCCCGCATGCTGCTTCCTGTAGGACCCACTCTTGAAGTCGGTCTGAGCCATAAATGAGACTCATCAGGCAATGGGCATTTTTATTAGAGGCAAAATTAAATTCGGATGCCCAGGATCTCTATCAAGAGCAGAGAAAGGAGAAGAATGACGTGTGTATTTGTTCACTGCTTCCACCAGGAGCGCCTGCTCCCGCACCGGCCGCTCCGAGCCCCGGTCATCGGGCTGGGGGAGTGCCTGCACCCGTACTGGCTGCTCCGAGCCCCTGTCGTCGGGCTGGGGGAGTGCCTGCTCCTGTACCGGCCGCTCCGAGCCCCGGTCGTCAGGTGCCAATGAACCATGTCAAACAGATGACGTGGATTTTTCTGAATCTGCTGCAGAGCCAGATTTTAATTGAATCAATGGGAGAAGCAGGCCTGCTATTAAGTTTTATTAAATTCTATTTGCTTGTATCCTTGCCATTTAAAACATGACTGTTTAAAAAGAAAAAAATACTGGGCAGCCAGGCAGGGTTGAAGGTCGCAGGTTTGGGGTCACATGGATCTGGGTGGGACCCCCTGGGTCGGCCTCTGTGATGCGTGTGTCTTGTATGGAGTCATTTTACTCCTCCGAGCCTCTGTTTCTCCTTAAGTGGGCACAGGAGTGCTCAGTACTACTTAAGGTATTTGAAGAATTAAATGGGATTAAAATTTCAGCCGTATATAAACATCTTCCTCCCTCCCTCGTCCTCCTCCTGTGTCCTCCCTCGTCCTCCTCCTGTGTCCTCCCTCATCCTCCTCCTGTGTCCTCCCTCATCCTCCTCTGTCCTCCCTCCTCCTCCTCCTCTAAGGAGAAGAGAATGGTTGGCAGCAGTTTTCCCGAGTACCTGGGACAGGAGCTGGCGTTTCTGTAGACCTTTGCTCTGAAAGGAATCTCTTGTGCGTCCTGTCTTAGTCACATCTGTTGGACTGGGGGCGTGCTCTGCGTCTCGGTCGCGTCCGTCGGACTGGGGAGGTGCTCTGCGTGTCTCGGTCGCGTCCGTCGGACTGGGGAGGTGCTCTGCGTGTCTCGGTCGCGTCCGTCGGACTGGGGAGGTGCTCTGCGTGTCTCGGTCGCGTCCGTCGGACTGGGGAGGTTCTCTGCGTGTCTCGGTCGCGTCCGTCGGACTGGGGAGGTGCTCTGCGTCTGGGGGTTTTGGGAGAGCAAGTTGGGGGTGTGCTGGCCAGTGTCTGACAATAGGCTGTTGGAAGCGCAGCCGTGGCGTGTAGCATTGCCAATCATAGTGTCTGTATCTCTGTCTGTCTCTCCACCACGGACCGTTCCAGGCGACCAACACGCAGTCTCCAAGCTTGGAGTTGCCTGCTGTAGGCCCCCCACCGACTGCCGGAACCCCAGCTCCCAGCCCTTCCAGCCTGTGGGTGTTGGTAGGCGGTTTCGGCAGTTGTGAGCCTGGTCAAAGCCTCAGCTCTTCCCTCACTTGGGCAATCGGTCCTCCATATTAAATCCCTTTTGTTTGACTGGTTGGATCCCACCTGATACAATTGGGGTGGCCCCAACCAAGGACCTATGGTTACAAAACAGGACACAGAAGTCCATGAGGAGGAGTGATTGTGCCTTACAGGAAGGGACGTATCCACATGTGTCAAAGGGTTTAGGGGATCACGGTGGCTTCAGCACAGCCCACGGACGGCACAGCCTACAGATGGCACAGCCCACGGACTGCACTGCACGTTTTCCTGAGCCCAGGGACTGTGCTGGGGTCAGGGCAAATGCATGTCTCCATCCGTTTGGCATTTTGCTATTCATATAAAGGAACATCTGAGACAGGGTAATTCGTGAAGAAAAGGGGTGTAAGTGGCTCACGGGCCTGCAGGCTCTACAGGAAGCCTGGCACCAACATCTGCTTCCGGGAAGGCCTCAGGGAGCTTCTTCTCAGAGCAGAGGGGACGTGGTGAGGGAGGGAGCAGGGAGGGCAGTGCCAGGACCCTTCTAACAACCAGCTCCCTCAGGAACTACTAGAGTGGATGTTAGTTACCATGAGGACAGTGCTGGACTGTTCATGAGGGATCCACCCGTGACCCAAACACGTCCCAGCAGGCACCACCTCCATGTTGGTTAAATTTCTACCTGAAATTTGGAGGGGACAAACATCCAATCTACATCAGCATGTCACTGTGACTTAAACAGTATGGTTGGTTCCCATGTGGGGCACCCCTCTGAGGCAGGCGTGAGAGTCTAGGCCAGCAAGGACATCCTGGTGGCCACGGCCGAGTGTTGGCCATGCAGCCGTGCAGGGACCATCTTCAACAGCGACACCGTGTGGCAGCAGATGCAAAGGCAGCAGCGGACGTTGGGACATCTCCAGCTCTGCCCCACCCATGCAAGGGTGGGGAGCTCTTTGGATTACATGATCTCTAGGATTCGTGGGTACTTTCTCCAGAACAGGGGCAGTTCTCAAGAGGCGTGTGGCCACTTAGGCAGGTAAGGACAGAGGGGAATAGTCAGGGAAATAAGGACACTTGGAGGTGTATTTGGTGAAGCAGAGTGTTTGGCAAGTCAAAGTCATGCCTGTTGAAGAGTCTCCTGTCCGGACAGCGTGGACAGCACCTCACCTCCGCTGCCCTGCAGGGATCTGCCATCCCAGGTGCTCCCCTCGGGACTCCTCCTGGTGCCAGGGAGGAGGGGCTGGGCCAGGTGAGGCGGAGCAGCCATAGGCTTCCCTCAGTGGGAGGGAACACTCACCTCCCTGAAGGGTGGGAGTTCTACTGAGGATTCGAGAGTAATTTTCCAGGTGTCAGGTTTTCTGTGGGATCCTGTGTGGGCTATGAACCAGCCAGCTTTGACTTGCCTGTCAATTTGCCTAATGAATTGGTGTGTGAGCGAGCCGAGTTTGCACCTGCCATCCTCTTGGTCTAAACTACAGGCACTGCACGTTGCAAGATAAGGGACGTTGCACATCCTTCACCTGGGAAACTTCTGGACTCCTAACTTCACCTGGGAAACTTCTGGACTCCTGTGAGTCTGGCTGGGGGTGGGGGGGGTCCCTGGCAAGCCACTCACTTTTGGGGCCTCACTCACTGCCCGTGTTTTGCCTCCATGATCTTAGAATTTTGGCAAGATCTGGACTAGACAGAGGGCTGAGGCTTGGGCTGGGGTTGGGAGAATTCTCTGCTGAGAACAGAGAAACTGGGACCCCTCAGGGCTTCTTACAGGAACAGGAAGCAACGACTGGGGAGTCCCAGAGGAAGGCGTTGAGCAGAGGGGCCGTGTGGTGGGTGGGCACCCCAGCAGGCAGGGTGCTGGGGGAGGAACATGAGCCCCTGCGGGCTTTGGAAAGAGCAGTGAAGTACAGCCCCATTGCCTCTGCCCAGGGCTAGCGGAAAGTGAAGTGTTCCCAGCCCCATTGCCTCTGCCCAGGGCTAGCGGAAAGTGAAGTGTTCCCAGCCCCATTGCCTCTGCCCAGGGCTAGCGGACAGTGACGTGTCCCCGCAGGCTGAACTCCGACTGGTGACAACGGGTCAGCGTCCTCACTCCCTGGAGACTCGGAGCCTGGACTTGCCAAATTTGGCACCTGCCCATTTTTTTTTTTTTTCTTTGAGATGGAGTATCACTCTGTTGCCCAGGCTGGAGTGCTGTGGCTCGATCTCGGCTCACTGCAACCTCCACCTCCCAGGTTCAAGCTATATTCTGCCTCAGCCTGCTGAGTAGCTGGGATTACAGGTGCCTGCCACCATGCCCAGCTAATTTTTGTATTTTTAGTAGAGATGGGATTTCACCTTAGCCAGGATGGTCTCAATCTCCTGACCTCAGATGATCCACCCACCTCAGCCTCCCAAAGTGCTGGGATTATAGGCGTGAACCACCGTGCCTGGCCTTTTAAAAAAAAAATTTTAGATTCATGGGTACATGTGTGGGTTTGTTATGTGGGTATATAGCTTGATGCTGAGGTTTTGGCTTCTAACGATCCCATCACCCAGGGAGTGAACGCAGCTCCCAACAGGTGGTTTTCCAGCCCTCGTCCTCGTCCTCCTCCCCCTCCCACCTGCCCCTCTGGAGTCCCTGGCGTCTGCTATTCCCTCTCTGCGTCATGTGCATGCAGCATTCAGCTCCCATGGATAAGTGAGAACACGTGGTTTTGGTTTTCTGTTCGGGTTGAGTTCTCAGGCTGACGGCCTCCAGCTGCATGTGTGGCTGCAGGGGACGTGCTCTCCTCCATTTTCCCGGCTGCATCGAGTTCATGGTCTGTCTGCACACGTGAGGCCACCTGCCAGGCCACATCCCAGCACAGGCGTCATCCAGTGATTTCCTCATCGGCCAGAGTCTGCGTCTGCAGCTTTGTGAGCCACGCGGCCATGGCCTGACTCTGTGCCGAGAGCCCCGCAGCGGTGGCCACAGACAATAGTAAGCAACTGGGTGTGGCTGGGCGCCAATAAAACTGTATTTATTAAAACAGGCAAGGGGCTGGGCTGCGGCAGGGCCCAGGTGCCTGGGAAAGAGGTGGGACCGGGCCCCAACCCCCAGCTCGGCTCCCAGGAAGACACACACAGTGCTGCTGCCTAATCCTCTCTTTATTTGGTCTCTGCTGAAGCAGTCGTGCCAGCCTCCTAGACACGGCCTCAGGTTTGTCGCTGTCCATGTCCTCCAGCACCCCTCTTACCAGACCACAAGGAGCTGCATTATGATGTGTGACTTAGGTCTTGGTTGGAGGGCTGAGCGGCCGCAAGTGCTGGGGGAGGCTGCTTGGAGCATGGGAGGCCTGCGGGTGGAAGACACCAGGGTGCAGCCTGGTGCATGGTCCGGGGCTTGGCCTCCCTATGGGGCGTGGGGGGCTGTGGTACATGCAGAGGCGGCGGCTGTCCCAGCAGCCTGGCCAGGAGATACCGTGGAGAAGGCACGTGTTTGAGTTGGCATCACTGTCCCCAGACGCCCTCCCTCGGGTAGAGCCGCCTGTCCTAGGAGAAGCTGTACTCCAGATGCAGTGGGTGACACCCTGGTCACTCAGCCACACCCCGGCCCCTCAGCCTCTGCTGTCCTGGCCGCACATAGAGCCCTGTCCTGCTGTGTCTGCCGGGCACACCCCGGTCACTCAGCCACACTGGCTCGGCCCAGCGCCTTCCCGAGGTCTGTGGGGGTCCGGGCGGAGGTGGGGTCAGTGCCGTGCGTGTTTGATCCAGTTTCTGATCATCCACTTCTGCCCCGAGCACCTCTGTACCACCAGCCGGAGCCCAAAGTTGGCATCTTTGGACATCTCCACCTCCAGGCAGCGGCCCGTGGCCCGGCTCACAATGGGGCCACTCTGTGGGGACAGGCACATCAAGTCAGCCAGGTGCAGGCGTCCTTGTTCCCCCTCCCCCCACCTCAGGGAGGCTGCTTCGTGCTCTCAGCCCTCGTGCTCATTCTTGGGGCAGCTTGAATGGAAAGCCAGCATCACAGCAGCACCCAGGGGGGCCGGGAAGGGGCTGACTTCAGTGGAGCTTCGAGGATTTCCCATCTTTCCTGCAGGGCTAGCGGCCCAGGTTGGAATCATACCTCATCCCCTTCCTAAATCCTCCCTCTACCCTGGGCACCTGAGGCTGGAAGAGGCAGATGCAGGGCTATGATCAGACTGTCCAGCCCGACCCCTCTCTGGCTGTGTGACCCTGACCAGTCACCTGCCCTCTCTGTGAGCGTCGGGGCCCATAAGGGAACAGCTGATCCAAGGCCCGGTCCCCTGACCACCCCCTGCCGCACTCCAGCTCCCACCCAATGGGCTGGCTCTAGTGGCAGAGGCACCCAGGGGTCCCAGCAGCCCTGCCCCGCCCCAACCCCACGGCCCCCCTTCCCCAGAGGCTGACCTGGGTGAAGTCCCACAGCCGCTGTGTTGGCCGCGCCACATCCTCACACTTCTTCAGGGTGGGCATGCGGCCCGTGCCGTCATCCACCAGACACTTGGAGTCAGGCAAGAAGGCTGTGGAGCCCAGAGGCCCCAGCTGCAGCAGTCCATCAGCGCTGTACCGCACCAGCTGGGGACAGGACCACCGGGACTGTGTGTGAGCAGCGCCCAGGCTCTCCCCAGTGAGCACTGACAGGCCGTGCGAGCTGCCTTGAGCTGCAAACGGGGCCCTGCGCGGCTGCCTTGGAGCCTCCCACCCCGGGGACGCTGTTGCGGGCGGGAGAGGACCGCCGGGCAGGGCCCACGTGGGGATGCGGGCTGGACGGCGCCCAAATGCTCCGCAGGGCCAGGCTCCCGGCTTGCACAGCTGGCTGGTCTTCCGCCTGGACAGACGTCATGAATGTGGCTCAGACCCAGAGCGCGGCCCCACTCGTTTCGGGGAGGACAGGAGTTGGGTTTAATTTGGGCAACATGCAGTGCCGTGTGTGAGCGGAACACGCATTCCCGTGGGGTTAGAAACGTCCAGCTCCTTATGGGGGTCATGGTCAGAATGGCCTGGACCTTCACTACGGCCAGCCCCTGACCACTGTGATTCTGCGGGGCTGGGGCTGGGGCTGGGCCTGGGCCTGTGCTGCAGGTGAGTCCTGCCCAGGTGGGGAGTGCTCGGAGGTCAACAGCACTATTGCCGTGTTAATCCACCCCCCGAGCCAATGCTTCCCACACTTCGCTTCAATCACGCGACAGTCCTGAGCGGTAAGTGCTGTTGCCGTCTCTCTTGACTGAGGGGGGAGTGATGCACCCCCAGCCCATCTGACCCCAAAGGCCTGGTTCCTTTTTAATTTTTTGAGATACGGTCTCGCTCTGTTGCCCAGGATGGAGTGCACTGGTGTGATCTCAGCTCAACCTCCGCATCCCAGGCTCAGGTGATCCTCCTGCCTCAGCCTCCCGAGCAGCTGGGAATACGGGCATGCCCCACCATGCCCGGCTAATTTTTGTATTTTTTGTAGCGACAGGGTTTCGCCACGCTGCCCAGACTGGTCTCAATTCCTGGGCTTAAGTGATCTGTCTGCCTTGGCCTCCCATCGTGCTGAGATGACAGGCGTGAGCCACTGCACCCGGCCCAGGCTGTTTTCAATTCCCCGTGTTCTGCTACCTTCCAGGTGGGGCGGGCTGGGAGGCCTCTTCTAGAGGGGCCCTCAGGCTGCTCCAAGCCCTGGAATGCAGCCCTGGTGGCCTCAGAACACCCCAGCAGGCTGGACCCGTGCCTCTGCCCCAGGGTGTAGGGTCCGGGTGGCCTGGGGTCGTCCCCTTGGGAGCTGCATGGGTGGCCGCTGCTACTCCTACCTGGGAGGACATCCCGTGGCAGGGGTAGAGGATCGCCCGGTCGCCGTCCTCCGCTCCCTGGTCCAGACAGTAGGCACTGGCTTTGCTGTTTCTCACCTGCAAGCAGAAGCCCCAGGAGAAAGTCCAGAGTCACCCGAGGGTGCGGCCCCAGGGAGCTTCACGCAGCCAGCTCTGCAGCCAGCACCTAAGGAGGTGCCCGCGGGAGGAGGAGGGGGCGTGTGGGATGCTCTGGCCGGGTGGGCTGCCTGGGAAGGGGTGGCTGACCGAGTTTGTCACTGATGGAGACATGGAAGTGTCCGCCATGCACAGATGGAGACTTGGCCATCACTCCATAGGGGAACACTTGAGCAGCAGGGACGACGGCCCCAGGCTGTGGAGTGGCTTCCCTGCCTTGCCGCCTGCTCCCTGTGCCCTTGCGGCTCCCACTGAGTGGGTAGAGACCGCTCGCCAGCCTTGCAGTCTAGGCTGGCCTTGGCTTGGACCCTTGGGAGACCTTCCAGCTTCCACTCTGTCTTGGAAGGAACCCTGACAGCCCTCTGAGAACAAGCCCGGGCCAGACTGCTGGGGGATGTGTTGTCATCGGGCAGCCAACCTCCAGCCTCCAGAACAGGCCCATCGGAGATCAGCACAGCCTGGATCAGGCCAGCAGCACTGCCTGGGTGGCCCCGGCTCGTGAGCAAGTGTAGATGCTTATTGCTTTTGTCCACCGCGTCTCCAGGCTGCTGGGTTTGCAGCAGCAGCTGACCCATCCACCACGGCCACCACGAGAGGTCACACAGGTTTGAATTGGGACCGTTGAGGAAGCCCAGCAGAGTCTGGATGTTACGGCTGCTCTGGGTTGGGGGTGCCTGCACTTGGCTAATTGAGGATGGAGTGGGCAGAGTAGAAGCACAGGGAGGCTGGGGGAGAGGGGCGGTGCCCCGATGCACACTCAGCACTGCCTGGGAAACCTCTGTGCCCAAGGGACTGGAGTCAGCGCAGGGTGGACCAGGAGCTGCAGGAGGGGAGGCTCAGCGAGGACCATCCACCCCAGGGACCCTTTTCCTTGCCCCATCCGAGTGCCAGCTCAGGGCTGGGACGCTCGAGTCTCATGGTGGGAGGCACCCCATCCCCTGCACAGACTGGGGAGAGGGCAGAAGAGCAGCACCTTCTCGCTGGCTTTACGGAGTGCTGTGCATGTGGGGGCCAGTGGAGACGGGGGTCTCTGTGTAGCTGATGGGCCTGTGTGAGTGTGCATATCACCCATTGTGTGCATCTGTGGGGGCACCTTCATGCATGCACGCTGGTGTATGAACGTGGCTCCGCATATGTGGATGCACAGACGTGTACACACACACATTATTTTGCTTGATAACAAGGGCCTGTGTGTTTATCTGTGCACAGGCAGGCGCCTTTGGGGTTCATGCACTTAGTGAAACATACATCTGTGTAGGAAGAGCTGTGTACATTAGCAAAACTGGGTGCAAATGTATACTCGTGTCCGCGTGCTCTTGTACATATGAGTGTTTGCATGGATTTACGTACCTGCCTGTGAATGTCTCTGTACACACATCTAGGTGAGTGCATGTATCCCTATGTACACATACGTGAGAGCGTAGGTACATTGAATCAGGCATGTGAACACGCATGGATGTGACTACACACCTGCCTGCCTCTAGGGAGGTCCATGTGAAGGAATGGGTGTGTATGGACATGTGGGTCTGCAGGTGCGTGTGTTTATGTGAACCTGCACCTTGTGTGTGCACGTGGATGTGCCTGCATCACCGTGAATGCACACGTGTGTGCAGGAGTCAGGGCGGAAGGCCTGTCGGGCCGAGTGGGACCCTCTGGGGGAGGCGCTACCTCTCCGTGTGCATGTGGATGTGCCTGCATCACCCTGAATGCATACGTGTGCAGGAGTCAGGGCAGAAAGCCTGTCGGGCCGAACGGGGCCCTCGGGGGAGGTGCTACCTCTCCGTACGTGAGGGTGTTGTTGTAGACCCTCATCTCCGGGTACACGTTCTCCAGGTACCACTTGAAGCTGCGACACTTCAGCCTCTGACGCAGGGCCAGCCTCTCAGACACGTCCCCGAAGTCCACCCCTGGGTTCTGCAAGGCCAGAAGTAGGTGAGAGGGTACATGGGTGTCACCATGACCTGGGTCTTCCCCATAATGAGGTTGGGGGTCTCCAGGGACCAAGTGCCCTCACAGGAGCAGCCTCCCCCCCAGTATTCAGATGCTGAGGCCCCATCCAGTTGGGACCCCCCAGCCTCCTAATATCCACAGAGGGTCTGAGGCAGCTGCTCCTGATGGGAAGGACCCTGCCAGAGGCCAGCCCCGGCCTGGACAGACGGCCCCTGCTGCAGCCGGCTCGTCCACACCCACCCGGGCCCAGGAACCTCCTGCCTGAGAAGACGGCCCTGCTCACCTGGCCTTACTGCACGGCATCAGCCTGACCTCTGGAGGGTGGAGACTGAGGTCAGCCATATCCAGAGACCAGCCTGGTGAGGACCCTGGATACTGAGGCTTGGGGGCTCCTGGCTGGCCCCGCCTGGCACGTGTTGTCACGCATGGGTGCCGGAGAATCAAGTCCTTGGGACCCCCCGCGGGGGGACACCTGAGAGCTTGTACCTGGCCTTTCCTGGTCCCTGCCCAGGCGTCTCTTCCCTCTGCTGACTTTGACCCGTGTCCTCTGCCGTGAGAACCCACAGCCGAGTGCGGTGTCTGTGTCTTCCTGGGACTGTGGGGCCTGAGAGGCTGTAGGGACCAGCACTCTCTGACGGACAGCCAGCCCTGAGGGAGCACCTGCACCCTGCCCAGGGACCCTCCAGGCTCAGGCCTTGTGGGGAGGGCAGACGACTTGGCCTTCACGGCCTGGGCTTGAATCCCGTCACCTTCTGGTATGTGGGCCTGGGACAGTCCCCTATCTTCTCTGTGCCTCAGTTACTCATTGGTAAAGTGGGGACGATCACGCCAGAAACTCATTGTTGCTCTGTTATGAGGTTTTAATCAGCCAAGGGGCTCACACCAGGGCCCTTGGACACGGAGGTGACAGGCATTTGCCGGCCTCACTGCCCGGGGGCCTGGAGCACCTCACTCAGTTGCCCACACACTTGGGGAGGTCATCACCCTGCACGTTTTCCTTATCACTTCATGGAAAACAAGGCTGTAGGAGCACCGGGTACCCTCTTCTCGTCTCTCAGACACGAGTGCACGTGTCTACGGCTCCTGATCTGCCTGGCGGGAGCTGATATGGGGGCTGGATGCTGGATTTGCAGTGAATGGTCCAGCCCGGGGCCACTTCAGGCCGTGTCACCCACACGCTGGGGTGCACTCTAGCAGGGGGTGGTAAGCCAATTTAGGGGCTGTGGTGGGAAGTTTTAAGAAGTAGTAATATTGTAAATGAGAAGGGTCACTTTGGTGCTACGTACACAAAGCGCTGTATGTGGACAGATGTAAATGTATGCGTGTGTGCGCTGGGTCATGACTTAAGATCTGGCTCATTAGGGTTGATGCAGACAAGCCCGTTTCTAAGATGAGCCCTCCCAGAACTCAGGGACCCAGTGCCTGCAGTGGCCAGGGAAGGAAGGGGGTGGTTCCAGAGACGCTGGGGTGTGGCGGGATGGGTCGCGGCCACCCGTCTCAGTACCTGCCTTTCTTAGGGTTGTGGGGGTGGGGCGCTTTGAGAAAAGCCAGAATTCAGGCTCTTTATGGGAAATTACAAATTAGAAAACAAACAGCAATCCTCAACTTGAAGCGGGTCAGCCACTCATAGGCCAAAGCCCAACAGGAAACAACCAAAAACGTCCATCCACGGACGAGTGGATCCACACGAGGGGCCCTTTCACACTGTGGACGTGACTCAGCCATGGTGGGGGTGACCTGGAAAAGGTGGCGCTGAGGACGGGAAGCCACACAGCGTATGAGCCGTTCATGAAACCGCCAGACAGTTGAGGCTGCCCGGGGCTGGGGAGGGGTCCGCACTGGCTGACAGGTGCTGTGCAGGGCACTAAGTGGGGCCCTGGCTGAGGCGGCGGCACCAGGTTGGGGAGAGGCCGCCCCTCCCTGGCTTCTAACCACGGGGCAATTGCTCTAGGCTGAGAGGAAAAACGCCCACCACACCGGGGTGGGTGTGAGCTGGTCTCTTCCCAGTGTGAGGAAGGCTCCTTCCCAGGCAGACAGCTCACCCACTCACACCTGCACACACAACTGCTTGCACCTGTGCACACCTGTCAACACACCCACTCACACCTGCAGGGGGCCCTAGGGGGCCTCCCTCCGGCCCAGCCCTGCCGTGGCATTGACCCCGACCCTGGGGCATGGCCCCGGCTCCCGGCCTGTGGGGGACTCACCGACATGGGGATGTTCCAGGCCATGTACACGTGGGACTTGAAGTCATCCATCCACACCTCGGCGGCGCGCAGGGCGTTGCGCTTGGCATAGTAGTCAATGTCGTTGTTGTAGGGCTTCCTGGTGCGCTCGATGTGGGCCACGCGGGAGCAGGGCAGCACCTCCATGCTGCCGCCACACTGCCACACCTGCGGGGAGACGGCGCTGGGTGCCGGCGTCCTTCCCAACGGAAGCGGGCAGCCCGGCCAGCTAGGGGCCCGTGAGAGGCCAAGGGGCCCGGCCCTCTGTTCCTGGGGCACCCCCACCACCGACGGGCCTGGTGGGTCCCGGGGCTTTGCCTCTCGGGGGCTGTTTTCAGGGGACCCCGCCCACAGAGAAAGTTCAGGTCTGGGTTGCGTCCTCTCTGGGACTTCTTTCTCTTGTGCGTTACACGATGGCTGTGGGGAGGGGGGTTTATTCTACCGACCCCAACACTTAACAGGTTTTTCACCCTGTGGTTCCCACCCCCAGTGCTTGTTCTGTGCAGGGAACCCCCCGCCCCACTGCACCAGCCACCTCCCCCAGCACCCGAACACACCAACAATCTGTTTACAAACAGCTGCTTGCCATGCAGACACCGCTCCACGCATCCCCAGAACACACACAATCAAAAGCCCAACCAGCCTCCCCAGCTAATAAAACCCCGCAGCCCCTGGCTTTCTGAACCCCCACGCGCAGCAGAAACGTGTTTGTCACTGCGTATCCTTTTATGCTTCCTTCCGTGTCGTTCCACTTAAGCAATACCAGCCTTCCTATACGTGCTCTTTCACTCCGGTTTGTCCCCCCGCGCTGTCCTGCCTGTGAGGGTTGGTTTTGTGTCAGCGTGGCAGGGAACAGGGTGCTGGGACGTTTGCTCTCCCGATTCTGGGTGGTCTGTGCATGGCCTCTGGTGGGAGCCGTGTTTAAATCTGTCCCCTACAGGCCTGAGTAGGACAGAAAGGCCGAGGCAGGGAGTGTTCACACACTCTGCTCGATTCGGGCTGGGACGTGGGTCCTCCCCTGCCTTCAGGCTTGGAGCTCACGCCACCGGCTCTCCTGGGCGCCTGCCAGCCGACGGCCAATCTCGGTACCCTCAGCCCCCGTAACCGGGTGAGTCAATTCCTTAGATGAACTTTCACAGCTAAGCCCACGTCCCCACCATCTGCTATTAATCTGTTTCCCTGGAGAGCCCTGAGCCAGCCCCGTCCCATCCTATCCTACCCTATCCTGTGCTGTCCCATCCCATCCACCCCATTAAAAAAAGGCCGATGCCACCCACGGGCTGACATCACTATGAACAAATGGGTCTGATCCACGTGGCCCAAGCTCCGCCGTGCTCAGGTCCTCAGCCCTGAGCCTGCCATGCTGGACGAGTGTGCCAGGCCCAGGGCGGGCACTGTGCTTGCCTCATCTCCTGAATCCCCCCACCACCCGAGAAAGGGTGGGCAGCCCTGGCATTGCCCCGTTCCCTCCGCGGTGCTGAGAAGGTGCCGAGGCCGAGGGTGGTGCCAACTGCAGGGGCGCACGGGGTGGAGCCTCTGCCCAGCTGAGCTCGGATCCCTCAGTCATCCCTGGACTCTGGTTCATCCTCGTCCAGGCTGCTCTCATCTCCAGGCCGTTATCTTAATCATGTCTGCAAAGATCCCTTTTCCCAAAGAGGGCCACACTCACACGTCCCCTAGCTGCATCCTCCGGGGGTCGCCTGTCAGCCCAGCCCACCCCAGAGGCCCAGTCCCTTGTGTGGGGGAGCAGGGGGCTCCTCCCTCCCCCGGACTCTCTGCCTTCAGGAAGCCGAGTCCCAGGGAGAGAGAGAACCGGGAGGCCGTATCGCCGATCACTTACGGCTGCTCCGACACCGCCCACCGCAGGACAGATCCAGAGTCCGGGGCAGGAGGGAGCCGCTCCCTCCTCGCCGAGATGACCACACAGCACGCAGCTAACGCCAGGCTCCCTGACCCCGGTCCGGCAACCCAGAGCCTCCTCGCTGCTCAGCTCAGCCCAGCCGGGGACACCCCCGCCCCACAGTCCCACGTCACCCACAGGGGTCCGGCTCCTTCCCCGGGATGGTGGAGTCCGCGGCGCCGCCGTGCCAGGCTGAAGTTGGCCTTTGCATCCCGAGGGAGCGAACCGCGTTTCTGCATCAGGTTCACATCGTGGCAGGTGGTTTCTGGGTTTCTGTCTGTTGTCTCTGCTGTGGGACAACCTGCCTGAGAAAAGCCTGGGGTTTTCCAGCCCCCTGAGCCGGGGCTTCCTTTCTGCCTTCCAGACTAGGGTCGGGATTTCTGTTCGCAGCGGGAAGGGGCCCCGCTGGTGAATCCCGCCCACCGCCCTCCCACTCCGCGGATGTCTCCCACCCTCAACCTGAGACCACCCAGGTTTCGTGAGAAGGAGGGGGGAAGCACCTCGGAGCCCTGCCCTTCGCTGGAAGGGGCCGGAACGAAGGAAGCTCTGCAGGGGCGGGACAGAGCCTCGTCCTCCATCGTCTGCCCACCCGTCTTCAGAAGCGCCTGGCACACTGGCCTCTGGGACGACCTCCAGCAGTTTCAGCCTCCTTGTCTACCCCCAGTACAGAGGCCACGGTGACTCGGTCCCCCCACCCACCACAGAATCCTGTCCTCGGGCCTCACGCTGGGGAACACGAAGCCCCCCAGGGCTCCTGACGCCTGCCTTGCCCACCCCCTGGGTTCGAAGCACCTTGGCCTTCCCAGCACCCCCACGTGCACCCCTCAGGGCCTTGGCACAGGTGGTGCCCACGCCGGGCGCCCTTCCCAGGTCTCTGCATGCTCCACTGCCTCCAGCCTTCAAAGCTCTAGTGCCAGAGAGATTAGTTAAAGGCACAAAACCAGCCGGGCACAGGGGCCTCACACTTGTAATTCCAGCACTTTGGGAGGCCGAGGTGGGTGGATCACTTGAGGCCAGGAGTTCGAGACCGCCTGGCCAACATGATGAAACCCCATGTCTACTAAAAATACAAAAATTAGCTGGGCATGGTGGCAGATGCCTGTAGTCCCAGCTACTCAGGAGGCTGAAACATGAGAATCTCTTGAACCCGGGAGGCAGAGGTGACAGTGAGCTGAGATCACACCACTGCACTGCAGCCTGGGCGACAGAGCGAGACTCCGTCTCAAAAAAAAAAAAAAAGGACCAAAACCACAGGCAGAGAGGAGCCAGTGCTGGTGCCGCTGAGGGAGGACCGTGGACCTGACCGTGACCCAGCCGGCAACTGGGAGGAGGAGCCGAGCCCCCACACAAGGAAATGGCAAATGTGGAGATGGCGGCTGACCTGAGTGCGGCACGCCATACCCCGTGAACGGGGACAATCCTATTTGTCCATTAAAAAAACCAGCGAGCCTGGGCAACATAGTGAGACACCACCTCCACAGAAAAAAACAAAATTAGCCAGGTGTGGTGGTGCATGCCTGCGGTCCCAGCTGCTTGGGAGGCTGAGGCGGGAGGATCACCTGAGCCCGGGAGGTTGAGGCTGCAGTGAGCCAAGATCACGTAACGCTCTCCAACCTGGGTTAAAGAGTGAGACCCTGTCTGAAAACATAAAAAGTAAAAATAAACCCCAAATGTCACCATCAAGTCTTCAGGGTGAGTCCTCTCCCTCCATCCTGTTTAGAGCCGCCGTCCTTGCCCCATAGCTGGGCGTCCGGACCAGAGGCTCACACCCCTCAGTATGGCGCCGCCTGCTATCCGTCCCCGTCTCTGCCTGTCCCTCCCCATGGCTCAGCTCCGCAGGACAGGGTTTCTGTCGCTTCTGCTCACAGCTGCCTCCCAGTGCTCAGAGCGAGGCCGGGCACACAGTAGGTGCTTGATAAATAGCTGCGGAACGAATGTGTTCCCTTTAGGAACCCCACAGCCACTTACGGCCACTCTGTCCCCGGGGCCTTCTGTGGCGCTGGGGCGATTCCACATGGGAACCTGGTGGGACTGCTGGGCGGTCTGCGAGGCCTCCCCAAGCCAGCTCCACAGGTGCCAGCCCCGTCAGTGTGTGCTGAGCTTGCGGGTGGTGCCGAGGCCCCTTCTTGGGTGAATGCAGCCTCAGGTCTCTCGGCCCTCGGGTCCCCCACCGTGTCTCTAGAAGGACCGAAGCTACGGGAGAGGCGAGGCTCCCGGGCGGTGGGAGTCGGCCAACTTCCATCATTAGCTGAGGACCTGTCACAGCCGGGGACTGGGCTGCTTCAGTCTCCGGGCTTGGGCCGCAGACCCCTGAGCTTTCGGGGTGTGTGAGGTGCCCCCTAAGCACAAGGGCCCACGGCTTGCGTGACCTGGCTTTTCAGCAGGGCCATTAGCTCAGGAGTGATAAAGTCGGAGAGTGAACCCCCATGCCCTCAGCAACATCCCCTTTCCAATCCCTGCAAAACAGGGAAAGAACAAGACAGCCCCCACCCCCCACCACGACTCCTCGCGCAAGCAGCACTGGTGTGTGGCGTCCCCACACCCGGGGCAGGTCTCTTTTCTGCGTCAGAGTTAATGACCGTGTAGTTTTTCACATATTTTGAAGCCAGGGACCAGTATATCATCTGCCTTGTGCCGCGCTCCCCGGGAGATTGATGCTTATGCAGAGGGAGAATTTAAAGGCTCTCCCATCACAGTCTCAAGGGAAACAGTTTAACCCCTCTATAAATTTCAGATGAATATTGGCAATAACTTCTCCACTCTGTGGGCCAGAGGAGACCAACACCTAAGGATCAGGCAAAATCCTCCCACAGGAGCCAGAGGCACTTGGCCCCCCTCTCAGGGGCTCTCAAGAGGCAGGAGGCCCGGGCCCCTCCCCTTCCTGGCCACACTAGAGGAAGATCAGGTGAAGGAGGCCGGAGCCCGGCTGGCACTCTGCACTGAGAGCAACTGGGGATAAGCTGGACTCGCCTTCTGGCGTCTGTGTGTGCAGCTCTCCCCACTGAGAGGGGGACGCTATCACCCTAGGCCTTCGTCACGTGATTTGCTTGGACCAACAGAAAGGGCCAGAACCCACCCAGTGCCAAGGCCAAGCTTGGGCCTCAGGAGACTGCACTCACACCGATCTCTGTCTTGTAACCTGGCCGCCAGCATGAGGATGAGAGACCATGTGGAGCAGAGAGAAGCCGCCCAGCTGAGCCCATTCCTCCCCACCCCAACCAGCCAACCCCGCTCACCTGGCTGCTGACTGCCGGCATCAGCAAGGCCAGCTGAGAGCAGAGCCGCTCTGCTCCACATAGACCATGTGCCAACCCAGAGTTGTGGGCCAAGGAAATGGTTGTCTTAGGCCGCAACATTTCAGAGTGGATTGTTACACATCCAAGAGCTGACCCATCCATGCTGCTTTGGCAGGTACAGCTGGCAAAGACCCTCACTCCTGTGGCTTCCTTGCATGCAGCACATAGTACCAGTTAATGCTAGTTACTAGCCATGCATCCCCACTGCCCAAGACAATCCGAGTTGATACCCCTGTCTTGGGGTAATTATTAATAGCACCTCTGGTAACTCTCAGGTGTCCTGGTTTGGGTGACGATGCCTGTGGTCACCCCCGTGCTACCTGACCATCTGGCCCCACAGCCAGGGCGGAAGTCCAAGCATTAGAGCCATTCAAACCACATCGTGAACAGGGGCTGGGTAAGATGAGGCTGAGACCCACTGGGCTGCATTCCCAGATGGTGAAGGCACTCTAAGTCACAGGATGAGATAGGAGGTCGGCACAAGACACAGGTCACAAAGACCTTGCTGATAAAATAGGTTGCAGTAGGCCGGGTGCGGTGGCTCACGCCTGTAATCCCAGCAGTTTGGGAGGCTGAGGTGGGTGGATCATGAAGTCAAGAGATCGTGACCATCCTGGCCAACATGGTGAAATGCCGTCTTTACTAAAAAAAATAAATAAATAAATAAATAAAAAATAAAAAATTAGCTGGGCATGGTGGCGTGCACCTGTAGTCCCAGCTACTTGGGAGGCTGAGGCAGGAGAATTGCTTGAACTTGGGAAGCAAAGGTTGCAGTGAGCCGAGATCGCACCATTGCACTCCAGCCTGAGTGACAGAGCAAGACTTCATCTCAAACAAACAAACAGGTTCCAGTAAAGGAGCCGCCAAGTCCCACCAAAACCAAGATGGCAACGAGTGACTTGTGGTCATCCTCACGGCTCATTTTATGCTCATTATAATGCATTAGCTGCTAAAAGACACTCCCCCCAGCACCAAGACAGTTCACAGATGCCATGGGAACGTCAGGAAGTTACCCTGCGTGGTCTAAAAAGGGTGGAGCCCTCAGTTCGGGGAAATCCTGCTGCCTTTCCCAGAAAACTCAGGAATAATCCATCCCTTGTTTAGCAAATGATCAAAAAATAACCACAAAAGTTAATTAGTAAATAATCAACCAGCAGCCCTGGGGGCCACTCTGCCTGTGGAGCAGCCATTCTTCTCTTTACTTCATTTCTTTACTTCTCTAATAAACTTGCTTTCACTTTACTCTGTGGACTCGCCCCGAATTCTGCCTTGTACAAGATCCAAGAGGCCTCTCTTGGGGTCTGGATGGGGACCCCTTTCTGGTCACACGAGGAAGACACGGGTGGCGTGGGTGACACACCAAGGCTGAGGGGCCGTCACTAACTGCAGAGGCCAGAGATGGGAAAACAGGAGACTCCTCCAGAGATGGGTGGGTCCCTGGGGCCCGTCGTCTGCAGGCCCCGGGCTGGCACATCACAGCGAGAGGAGAGACAGGAGAGGGGCCCTGCTGCGCGTGGGCGTTGGGTCAAAAACTCCCCCTGTACATTCAGGACTGACGTTGTCTTTGGCGGCGCTGTGGGCCTGGCAAAGGGCCTGCGGGCGAGGCCGTCCCGTGAAGTCGGACCTGTTCTTCTGGTCAAGGCAAGCAAAGCAACAGGGCTCGTAGGGTTCTCCTGGAAGCGCTGGGGACATGCGGCCTTCATCGTGAAACTGTCATCTAGAGGGGAGGCAGGCGAGGCTCAGACGTCACACTCATCACGTGTGGGTGCAGCTGGAGGACTGAGTGGGGCCATGAGGCTTGGGCAGGAGGTGCGCCCTGGCTGGGGACGGCTTCCTGAACCCCAGCTCTGAGCGGAGATGGGTGGCGAGTGGGGTTAACTGGCGGTGAGACACAGGCATGCTTGAGGCCCGAGCCCCGTCCTCCTGGGCTGTGGGGCTGTGCAGAGCTGGCATGGGCAGGCTGTGCTGCGGTCAGGGAAGCTGACCATCTTAATGGTTGAATTGAGAAGAAGCTCCAACTTGCCAAAAGCCAAACTTGCACCAAAAAAGGGCTTGGTCGCCATCTGGAGGTCGCCGTCTGGCGGTTGCCATCTGGGTGGTCGCCGTCTGGAGGTCGCCGTCTGGAGGTCGCCGTCTGGCGGTTGCCATCTGGAGGTCGCCGTCTGGGTGGTCGCTGTCTGGAGGTCGCTGTCTGGTGGTCGGCTGCCGGCCTGACTCACAACAGCTTTCTGAATCCTGGCAAAACCATCACACTTGAGAGGTGCGCTCAGCAAATCCATGAGATGCACCAAAAATCGCGGTGCCTGCCGCCGGCCTCAGTCCACAGAAAGGGCCCAGTTCTTCTCCACCACAACGCCTGGCTGCACGTCACACAACCAACGCTTCACAAGCTGAACGAATTGGGCTGCAAAGTTTTGCCTCATCCGCCACATTCACCTGACTTCTCGCCAACCAACTACCGCTTCTGCAAGCCTCTCGACAACTTTTTGCAGAGAAAACGCTTCCACAACCAGCAGGATGCAGAAAATGCTTTCCAAGAGTTTGTCAAATCCTGAAGCACAGATATATTTATGCTACAGGAATAAACGAACTTATTTCTCATTGGCAAAAATGTGTTGATTGTAATGCTTCCTATTTTGACGAATAAAGGTGTGTTTGAGCCTAGTTATAATGATTTAAAGTTCATGATCCGAAACTGTAATTACTTTTGCACCGACCTAGTACGAGAAAACACCTCAGACGCTGTCACCACAGCAGTGAGGAGGCAACCTCGTGTCTATTCGGTCAAACCACATGCAGCTGCCTTTCGCGCTGGCCAGAAACAGCCGTGTATCCGCAGTCTTACTGTGATCCGCTCACTCCGTCCACCCTCTCTCGTCCACCTGGCCATTCTGTGTCCCTCATCCTCTGTCTCCACCGTGGTTTTCCCGAATATTCTCTCTGTGAAAGGCAGCAGGCCCAGAGCTTCCCAGAGCATTTCCCCCTCTCCGTCGAGGGGACCCTGGGGCAGGTCCTTCAAGAGCATTTGTGGGAATTAGGAGATGGGCACGGAAGGCTGAGGAGTATGTCCAAGTCACCCAGCCAGCACCTGAGGCAGCCAGACTCCAAACTTGGTCCCCAACAGCAGGCCACGTGCTCACACACTGCACCCCTGCCCTGCAATCCACGCCTGTGGGCTGTGGCCCATGTGACGGTTTTACATCTGCTCAGGAGGTGAAGGTCCCATTATTCAGTGGATGTGAGGTGCTGCTGGGACCATGTCTGCAGCTGTGAGTGATGCTTGCGTCAGTGGACACTCCGCATGGCAGCGGACGTGCACGCAGGCAGGCCCCACCCAGCCAGGCATTGAGAGAAAAGACGGGTGGGGAGTTCCCAGAGAAGGATGCCAGCCTTCAGACCGTGACACGGAAACCCCACCCGGGTCTACAGCCTTCACACCACGACACGGAAACCCCACCCGGGTCTGCAGCCTTCAGACCTCGACACGGAAACCCCACCCGGGTCTGCAGCCCTCAGACCTCGACACGGAAACCCCACCCGGGTCTGCAGCCCTCAGACCTCGACACGGAAACCCCACCCGGGTCTGCAGCCCTCAGACCTCGACACGGAAACCCCACCCGGGTCTGCAGCCCTCAGACCTCGACACGGAAACCCCACCCGGGTCTGCAGCCCTCAGACCTCGACACGGAAACCCCACCCGGGTCTGCAGCCCTCAGACCTCGACACGGAAACCCCACCCGGGTCTGCAGCCCTCAGACCTCGACACGGAAACCCCACCCGGGTCTGCAGCCCTCAGACCTCGACACGGAAACCCCACCCGGGTCTGCAGCCCTCAGACCTCGACACGGAAACCCCACCCGGGTCTGCAGCCCTCAGACCTCGACACGGAAACCCCACCCGGGTCTAGCAGCCCTCAGACCTCGACACAGAAACCCCACCCGGGTCTGCAGCCCTCAGACCTCGACACGGAAACCCCACCCGGGTCTGCAGCCCTCAGACCTCGACACGGAAACCCCACCCGGGTCTGCAGCCCTCAGACCGTGACATGGAAACCCCACCCGGGTCTGCAGCCCTCAGACCGTGACACGGAAACCCCACCCGGGTCTGCAGCCCTCAGACCGTGACACGGAAACCCCACCCGGGTCTGCAGCCCTCAGACCTCGACACGGAAACCCCACCCGGGTCTGCAGCTCTCAGACCGTGACATGGAAACCCCACCCGGGTCTGCAGCCCTCAGACCGTGACATGGAAACCCCACCCGGGTCTACAGCCTTGAGACCGTGACACGGAAACCCCACCCGAGTCTACAGCCTTGAGACCTCGACACGGAAACCCCACCCGGGTCTGCAGCCCTCAGACCTCGACACGGAAACCCCACCCGGGTCTGCAGCCTTCAGACCTCGACACGGAAACCCCACCCGGGTCTGCAGCCCTCAGACCTCGACACGGAAACCCCACCCGGGTCTGCAGCCTTCAGACCTCGACACGGAAACCCCACCCGGTTCTGCAGCCCTCAGACCTCGACACGGAAACCCCACCCGGGTCTGCAGCCTTCAGACCATGACACAGAAAACCCACCCACTGCCCACCTTAAGGATCTCAGACTTGGCAACCCCACAATTGTGTGAGCCAATTCTTAGAATCAATCAATTTCTTCACACACACACATGAAAATGCACCGCAGATGCACACGTGTGCAACATAATCACTCAGTCAAGCATACACATGCACTGTTACCCCCACACACAGGCACACTCACACCCACACACACGCACTCCACTCACACACAGGCGCACTCACACACACGCACTCCCACCCACATACAGGCGCACTCACACAGTCACACACAGGCACTCCCACCTACACACAGTCACACACACACACTCACACACATGTGCACTCAGCTGTCATTCCTGTCAGCCTCTGATGTACCTGCAGGGACAGCTCATTCTGTGAGCACCTAGGGGTTCTGGGGTCAGCCCTCATGTCCGAGGAGGGGTGTTCAGGGGACATGAGGCCCACTGTGGCCTCTGCATTCTCCAGGTGGCACCGGGGACCTGAGGAGGCCCCAGCTTGCTGCCAGCTCTCTCGAGCAGAATGCAGACACGTCCCAGAAGCTGAAAGAAAGAGCCTCGACTGCATCAGTTGGTGCGCGTGGGCGCTGACAGTCCAGAACAGCCCGGTCACGGAGCAGCCCTGGAGATGCAGGCCCAACCCCACCCCCTATGTCCGCACACCCTCCCTGCAGCATGAGTCCAGGGACACCCGCGACTCCGAGTCCTCAACCACCCCCGCTCCCTGCCAGGTCAGGCGTGGGGATGGGGGTCTGGGCCCCTCAGTCCTCCCAGGTGAAAGCCGGGACACCACCCTCACAAGGATTACCAGGAGGGGCACTGACCCCAAGGGCACCTGGAGAAGAGAGAGCCGATTCCGGGGTGCCGTGTGTGAGGTCCCTGATGGTGGCTCCTTTGGAGATGGCTGGAGAACCACGCCTGTGATTCCACTGTCCCTAACCAGGCCAGCGACTCCGCCCTCCCTCACCACACCGGCGACTCCACCGTCAGCAGGAGCCCAGGGATGAAGGGGGCGAGCAGGAGCGGAGCCCGTGTATTAATCATGCTTTCATATTTTCTGTATCTGATGCTTTGACATCTGGAACCTCACTAGCCCGAGAGGCCTGCCCCTCCCGGGTGAGTGATTTCCTAGAGCTAGTGAGCACCCCCCCAGCGTCTTTCCAAATGCAAACCAGGCAACGAGAGTCCACGCCCCACCAGCCAACGCGAATCCACAGCCCACTGCCTCTGTCCTTCACTCTGGGCTACCATCCTCCCACCCAACCACTCAGGAGGATGGCCCATGCCCCAGAGCTGCTGAGACGATGGAAGCCAGGCCCCCCAGGCCTGCTCACCCGGCCTTGCCCATTCCTGGCCACATCCCCCTCATACCCTCTGCCTCCTGTCCAGCCTGGTGCCTCCTGGGTGGCCCTGCCTGGTGGTACCCCCTTCTCTGGGATCCGTGCGTAACAAACCATCTCACCAATGGCCATTGTCTCCTGGCCTGCTGGCTGCGCTGTCCTGAATAACGATAAAGCCACTTGGAGACCAGGGCAGGCGGTGGCACCCTGTTCCTGCTCAGTTCTGTGGCACGCCATTCCTGCTCAGCTCCTGATCTTGCAGAGCAGGGGATGCACACCCGTCACAGAGGCCCATCTCACTGTTCTACGCGGATCTGGAAGATTCTGGCTGACAGGCAAAGCCAGCGTGAGGCTGTGAGAGTGGAGAAACCTGCCGGCCTCTGTAGCACCCTCCGCTGGTGCTGACTGGCCTGTCAGCGTCCTCACCTGCCACGCTGTCCTGCCCGTTTAAGGGCGTTTGGGAGGAAACGCGACACAATCGCTGTTGGTTTCCAGACGCCGGGTCTCCGCAGCTCTGGGTGGCTTTGTGGCCGCTTCGGCAGAACAGACACAGGTTTCATCGGGGCCCTGCCTGGAGCCCCAGCTCTTTCTCGTGGTTTGCAGGTGACACAGCCCAGGCTCTCAGGGACAAAAGTACTTCCTCGCACACCGAGCTGCAATTTACCAGCCCTCCTGTCGGGCTGTAGGCCCCACACACGAGACACAGTCAGTTTCTAAATGGAGGCCAGGACGCGGCGCCCGGCACCGCCTGGATGCCACTGCAGCCCGGGGAGGATTGCTGGGTGTGGCCCTCGCTCTTGGTGAGGCTGTTTGTGTGCTGGCCTCGACGGAGAGCACAAGCAGCTCCTCCAGGGAGGGCGTGCTTCCTCCCTTTCCCAAGAGCGCTGCCATGCCAGGGCTTGGCGAGTGCGGGGACCACTCCGAGGGCCAGGCAAGGCTAGCGTGGCCCAGGGTCCACTTGATCCTGCTTGTTGGCTCCAAGACCGAGGTTCAAGAATGAAGCCAGCCCTCTTTGTATCATCAGGACACACATGCCAACCAGCACCCGGGTCCCACGAGGCCGGGCTGGCACCATCACAGCCACCACGTGGCTCACGTGGCAGCACAGAGCAGCCAGTGGGCATGGGCGGGGGGCAGCCTCGCATGGCCACATGGGACCCAGCACGGGACCCAGGTGCCCTCCATCACCTCCTGGGTGCTGGCCCTCCCTGACTCACAGCAGGGGATGGAGAGGGGGTGAGGGGGCGGAGAGTAGGGTTGGGGGGTGCTTCTGGGCCAGGCCTGAGGGGCTGCGTCCCCCTCCCCAATCCCCTGTCCAGGACTCAGCCAAAGGACTCCTAAGGGACAGTGGCTGGACGTGTGGAGGGAAGGGAGACGGTGGCGGGGCACACACAGGGGCTTGTCCATGCCCATCTAATGATAGACAGAGACATAGAGAGACGTAGACAGAGACACAGAAACAGAGACAGAAAGATACAGAGACACAGAAACAGAGACAGAAAGATACAGAGACACAGAGATGGAGAGACAGAGGCATGAGATAGAGACATAAGACAGAGACATGAGAGACAGACACGGAGAGAGAGACAAAGGAACAGATTATAGAGAAGACAGAGATAGAGATGAAGACACAGAGAAAGACACACAAACAGAGGAAGACAGAGAGACAGAGAGAGGGGCACAGCCCCTTGCTTCTCTCCCCACAGGGTCCCTCACACAGGGAGAACAATGTGGAGGCTTTCCTGGAAGGGTCATTTGCTGACGACGTCCTGGAGACCAGCACCAAGCACTCTCATCTGCAGGCAGGACGGTGCGTGGCACAGCCGCAGGCCCAGCGAGGAGCCAGGACCTGGGTGCTGAGCGCAGTCTGCAGCCTCGGAGGACGGGGTGTTTTCTGTGGCAGGAATGGGACAGGGAGGGGGTCCACAGGCAGGCGGCACTGAGTGTCCCCCATGTCCAGCTCCTCCCTGGTCTCCGCTGGGTGTCTTCCTTCCTAAGATCTGCGTGCCCACGTGGCTACCTTGGGAGGTGTTCCAGCATCTGGGGGGATGAGCAGTTTTCTCTTTGGGCCGCTGACTGGGATGCCCACTCACAAGACTGGAGAGAAGCCGTGGCTGCTTCTGTGGCCAAAGTTCACCTCTTCACTTGGCACCGTTCTGAGCTCGAGGCTTTGGCTCCCAGGCAGCCTGTGAGGCGGCGTTTCTGGGCTTTTCGCCCTTGTGGGCAGTCTGCCCTTGTAAGTGGGAAGAAGAATTTGGGGATAACTTGGCTCTTTCTTGACTGATAGGTTTAGCTGTGTGACGAACTGTGTGTTTCCTTTTGGGTGTTGTGATCCACTAAACTGTTATAAAATCTGGTTTTCACTTTGAAAATAATGAGGATGAGACTTCACCTCTCAAGTTATGGCCACCATTTGCTCAAGCCCACCTCTCTTCCATTTTGCCAATATTCCTTGGATACAGTAACTGATAGAATGACCCACTCATCCACCCATTTACCCATCTACTCACTTATTCACCCACCTAGCCACTATCTATCCACCCATCCACGCGGACTCATCCATCCATCCATCCCTGCATCCAGCCAGCCATCCATTCATCCATCCATGCATCCCACCCACCCATCCATCCATTCACTCATCCATCTATCTATCCATCCAGCCAGCCAGCCATCAATCCATCCATTCACCCATCCATCCACCCACTCATCCATCCATTCCTTTATCCATCCATCTACCTACTCATTCACCCACCTAGCCACTATCTATCCATTCATCTACATGCACTCATCCATCCATCCACTCATTCATCTATCCATCCATCCCTGCATCCAGCCAGCCATCCATTCACCCACCCATGCATCCCCACCCATCCATCCATCCATCCCTGCATCCAACCAGCCAACCATTCATCCATCCACTCACTCTATCCATCTATCCATCCAGCCATCCCCCACTCATCCATCCATCCATCCATCCAGCCATCCATCCATCCATTCACCCATCCCATCCACCCACTCATCCATCCATTCCTTTATCCATCCATCTACCTACTCATTCACCCACCTAGCCACTATCTATCCATTCATCCACACGCACTCATCCATCCATCCATCCACTCATCCATCTATCCACCCATCCATCCCTGCATCCACCCAGCCATCCATCCATCCGTCCATTCACCCATCCATCCACCCACTCATCCATCCATTCCTTTATCCATCCATCTACCTACTCACTCACCCACCTAGCCACCATCTCTATCCACCCATCCATTCATCCACCCACCCACCCATCCATTCATCCACCCACCCACTCACCACTCATCCATCTACCCACCCACTCACCACTCATCCATCTACCCACTCATTTGCCCACCTAGACACCATCTATCTATCCATCCTCCCACCCACTCATCCAGCCACTCATCTACCCATCCATCCACCATTTATCCATCAATCTACCCACTCATTTGCCCACCTAGCGACCATCTATCCCTTCCTTCTTTCACCCACTCATCCATCCACCCATCTGCATTAGTCCCTAGAACCAGCATGACTCTGTCTGGGCGCTGTGCAAAGCTGTGTCATCAAGATGAGGAAAACAACCTTAGAGGCCAAGCAAGCCCTGTGTTCCCAGCCCAGGCCTCCAGGAAAAGGGTTGGATGCACCAGAGGTCCAGGCTGACGCGGACGGAAACCCAGGCATCCTGACCCCCAGGTTGTCTCACCTGGTACAAACCCAAGAGGTACCTAGTCAGCACTTTCCCTTTGGCAGAACGGAATTTCCCCTTTAACAAAAGGCAGGGCTTCATATTCACTCTGGAGGAAATTGTGTGCATACCTTTGAGAGATTTCATTGAACCTGATTTTTAAAAAAGATTTACAATCTGCTTAGCGTGTCCCTGCCCCTGGAGCCCAGGTCGGTTTCGGGAAATGATAATTCCTCTGGTACGGCTGTGGGTGACGCCACCCTCTTGTCACACACATGCCTCGTTCTGCAGCAGCGATCCATCTTCCGGGCAGGATCTGCCTGTATTTATCGCTGGAAAGGCAAATCCCATCTCCCAGGGCGCAGTGGGCGCCATTCATCAATGTCCAACAGGAAACCATCTCTTCCTGGATGACGGAGGTTTCAGATACAATGGAGGCGAAGAAGGCAGTGGCCACAGCATTCCCACCCCAGGGCCAGCCGTTGTCCAGACCCTCCCACTCACCTCACCAAACACTGAGCATCTCAAACAAATGAGAGAAACAGCGTCTTCCTTCCAAACAAGTGGTTCTCAAAGTGACCCAGTAGCACCAATCTCATCTGGAACCCCCAAGAACCGCAAATTCCCAGACCCCACCTGGGACCTGTGGAGTCAGAAGCTCCGGGGAGGGGCGCCCCGCATTTTGAGCTCTCGGGGTGCTGCCGATGGAGCCGTTCGAGGAGAGCAGAGCCAAGTGCCTGAGGCTTCTCACCCGGTCCCACCCCCCTCCACACAATCATCTGTCCCTGAAGCCCTGTCCCTTGATCGGCAGAACGACACCTGGTGGCTTTTTCTGTGATTGCTTCTGTCCTCAAACAGATGAGGATACAGTTTAGGTCATGATTTCTGCAGACCCAGGCCCGCTGCAGCTGTGACGGATGAAATGGTGGGGAAGACATTGGTCAGCACCACAGACATAGAACCCTCCCCTGCCGTTTCAGACACACAGAAACGATAGATCAGTTGTTTTAAAAGTTAAAAGTAACATTAGGAAACAAGGTGAAATTCTCCATAGCTCATGAGGAGCAGAAGCCGGCTGCAGTGAGTGGCATGGAAGCCATGAGGCTCTGGGGACCATCGGCGGGACAGGTGCCGGGCGTGTGGCTCTGATGTCCATTGGCGGGGACAGGTGCTGGGCGTGCGGCCAGGATCCTGGCATGAACTCAGGGTGGGGACGAGCTCAATGAGCAGGAACAGACACTGAAACCAGCTCTGATGGACCCCTGGGGCTGCCGCCAGAAGTGTCCCATGGCGAGAGGCAGCAGCACCCGCGCTTGGGTAAGGGGAAGGGGCACCTCCCCAGGGTGACACCCGCCCGGGTAAGGGGAAGGGACACCTCCCCAGGGTGACACCCGCCCGGGTAAGGGGAAGGGACACCTCCCCAGGGTGACACCCGCCCGGGTAAGGGGAAGGGACACCTCCCCAGGGTGACACCCGCCCGGGTAAGGGGAAGGGGCACCTCCCCAGGGTGACACCCGCCCGGGAAAGGGGAAGGGGTACCTCCCCAGGGTGACACCCGCCTGGGTAAGGGGAAGGGGCACCTCCCCAGGGTGACACCCGCCTGGGTAAGGGGAAGGGGCACCTCCCCAGGGCGGCACCCACCACTGACTTCCACGTCAGGAGTCAGAAGTGCCAGGAGGAGACGCTCTGAAACTTTCTTCCCAGAGTGGGTGCTCATGGAGTTAAGCCACAACTTCCATAAAAGATGAGCACTCAGCAAAATGACAAGGCAGCTGGACGTGGTGGCTCATGCCTGTAGTCCCAGCTACTCAGGAGGCTGAGGTGGGAGGATCACCTAAGCCCAGGAGTTGGAGGCTGCAGTGAGTGATGACTGTACCACAATACTCCAGCCAGGATGACAGCAATACCCTGATAAATAAATAAAGACAAAGCACCTGAGGAAATCCAATTCTAGGAGCGTCAGCCAAGAAATCCAACAAAATTGGTGAATTTAAACCCAAAGAGACAGAAAAAGAGAGTAATTAAAGAGGTCTTAGGACGACTGTTAGAATTTCCAAAGGCATGAAGGAATGAGAGAAAAGCATTAATCAAAAACATGAGTTTATGGATCAAAACAACTATAAAAAAAGAACCAGATATGAAAAATACCCATGGAAGAAAGTCTCCTAAATGTAAGATGCAGTCAGTAACTTGAGAAACCAAGGCTAAGCAAGTGGCTCGAATTGCTGTCTGGATGTGGCTGAAGAGAGGACTTGTTCCTTGGAGTGCAGAACCAGGGGAATTTCCAGGGACACCCCACAGAATGGAAAGGAGATGAGAAACAGGAAGGAGACATCGGCAACCCTGAGGGTCAAAGTCCCACCCACCTCCAACAAGATTTCCACATGGGGAGGCCACGCACTGAGAAACTAAGGACTGTCCAGATTTGTAGAAACACACAGCTGGTGCCTCACACCTGTAATCCCAGCACTTTGGGAGGCCAAGGCAGGTGGATCACCTGAGGTGAGGAGTTCGAGACCAGCCTGGCCAACATGGTGAAACCCTGTCTCTACTAAAAATACAAAAATTAGCTGGGTGTGGTGGCTCACATCTGTAATCCCAGGTACTCGGGAGGCTGAGGCAGGACAATCACTTGAACCTGGGAGGTGGAGGTTGCAGTGAGCTGAGTTCACACCATTGCACTCCAGCCTGGTGAGAGTGAGATTGTGTCAAAAAAAAAAAAAAAAAAAAAGGTCTGGGCGCGATGGCTCTTGCCTGTAATCCCAGCACTTTCGGAGGCCAAGGCAGGCAGATCATGAGGTCAGGAGTTCGAGACCAGCCTGGCCAACATGGTGAAACCTGTCTCTACCAAAAATACAAAAATTAGCTGGGTGTGGTGGTGGGCACCTGTAATCCCAGGTACTCGGGAGGCTGAGGCAGCAGCATCACTTGAACCTGGGAGGTGGAGGTTGCAGTGAGCTGAGTTCACACCATTGCACTCCAGCCTGGCGACAGAGTGAGATTGTGTCCAAAAAAAAAAAAAAAAAAAAAAAAAAAGGGCTGGGTGCGATGGCTCATGCCTGTAATCCCAGCACTTTGGGAGGCCAAGGCAGGCAGATCATGAGGTCAGGAGTTCAAGACCAGCCTGGCCAACATGGTGAAACCCATCTCTACTAAAAATACAAAAATTAGCTGGGTGTGGTGGTGGTGGGTGCCTGTAATCCCAGGTACTCGGGAGGCTGAGGCAGGAGAATTCCTTGAACCCGGGAGGTGGAGGTTGCAGTGAGTTGTGATCATGCCACTGCACTCCAGCCTGGGTGACAGAGTGAGACGTTCTCAAAAAAAAAAAAAAAAAAAAGCAAGCAAGCCTGAGATGGACAATGTATGCAACGCCCCATAACGGAAAAGAAAGGAATCCGCAAACGTCAGGGCTCTGTGATCAGAGGAATTCGGGGGCCCAGAAGCCCACCCCACAGCCGTTCCTGGTACTGCGCTGCTGGGTGACATCGGGTAAATGCAACCCGCACTTGCTGGAATCGAATTTCAGCAAAAGGTTTCTCAGGTTCACATGGGAGAGTAAAAGCAAGAGAATAATAGTCAAGAAAGTCCTAAAATAGTAATGGGGACAGGTTTAATCGCTAGACATGCAGCTATTTTATAAATAATTGTATAAATAATGGCTTAGAGTAGAAAGCTCAAGACAGACAGTGGATTGGGTAAGCCTGTGACGAGGGCTGCTCTTCCGTTCGCGGCTGAGGATGGAGATTTGATGAGTGACCTGAGAAGGCATCGTCCACCATCTTAAAACCTGATAAAGATCAGCAGCTTCCTCATGTGAAAACACACAACTCCAAACGGATGAAGGCTTTTAATTTGAAAAAAGAATTCTACGAGTATCAGAAAGATGTTCAGATGGTCAAACAGGCTTCCCTAAGAACGACAGCAAAGGCACACACCATTAAAACGCACATACCAGGCCAGGCGCAGTGGCTCAAGACTGTGGCCCCAGCACTTGGGGAGGCCGAGGCAGGAGGATTGCTTGAGGCCAGGAGTTCAAGGCCAGCCTGGGCAACATGGTGAAACCCCATCTCCTCACAAAAAGTAGATACAGTTCACAGTTACTAATTCCTGTGTATCAAAAACTCAACACCATAAAATGAAGCCAGACCAACAGGGAAAGCGCTTGGTCACACACGCAGTTTCTGCCCCCAGGGCTAAGAGCTCCTCACATGAACAAGCACACAAGGGGCACCGCGAGCAGCAGCTGGCAAAGGAAGAAAGATGCAGCCGACGATGCGTGGAGCACTCAGGCTCGTTAGCCACGGAGGAAACACAGAGACGCCGCAGAGGCACTTCCTGCATGCCTGTCGTGATTGCAAAAGTGACAATTATCACATTCCATCGGCTCCTGAGTGCTGCAAGACCTGGGAGGCCGCTTTCTCATGAACGACTGAGGAGGAGATACGGACGCTATGGACGCACCCCCCGCCACACACCACACAACCCACACCCTACACAACCCGCACACCACACACACAGACACGCCACACAACACACATACACCCCACACAACCCGCACCCCACACAACCCACACCCCACATACATCCCACACAACCCACACCCCACACACACCACACAACTCACACCCCACACAACCCGCACCCCACACAACCCACACCCCACATACACCCCACACAACCCACACCCTACACAACCCGTACCCCACACAGACACACCACACAACCCACACCCCACATACACCCCCCACACACACCCCACACCCTACACAACTCGCACCCCAGACACCCCACACACACCCCACACACACACCACACAACCCACACCGCACACAACCCACACCCCACATACACCCTACACAACCCGCACCCCAGACACCCCACACAACCCACACCCCACATACACCCCACACACCCATCCTACACAACCCACACCCCACACAGACACCCCACACAACCCACACCCCACATACACCCCACACAGACACCCCACACAACCCACACCCCACATACACCCCACACACCCCACACCCCACACACACAAACCCACACCCCACACAACCCGCACCCCACACAACCCGCACCCCACACAACCCACACCCCACACAACCCACACCCCTCATACAGACACCCCAAACACCCCACATACACCCCACACCCCCCCACACACACCACACAACCCACTCCCCACACAACCCGTACCCGACACCCCACACACCCCACATACACCCCACACAACCCACCCCACATACACCCCACACAACCCACACCCCACACACACACACCACACAACCCACACCCCACACAACTCGCACCCCACACAACCTGCACCCCTCATACAGACACCCCACACACACCCCACACAACCCACACCCCACACACACCCCACACAACCCACACCCCACACACACACCACACAACCCGCACCCCACACAACCCGCACCCCACACAACCCGCACCCCACACACACACAAAACCCACACCCCACACAACCCACACCCCCATACACAGACACCCCACACACCCCACATACACCCCACACAACCCACACCCCACACAACCCACACCCCACACACACACACCACACAACCCACACCCCACAAACATACACCCCATACACCCCATATACACACCCCAGCGTACATACACACCCCACACTGTACCTATACACCCCACACTACACACCCCACACTGTGCATACACACCAGACATACGCCCCATACACCATACACACCCCACACCCCTCCCACACCCCACACTGTACACACCCCACACACATACATCTCATACACACACCCCACACACATACACACCCTCCCACATACACACCACACAACCCACACTCCACACACTGTAATGTACACACCCCACACATACCACACAATCCACACTGCACACACTGTATATACACGTGCCACATGCATAAACACAACCCACACCCCACACACTGTACATACACACCCCACACACATACACCCCATATACACACCCTATACACTATACGTACACCCCCCCCACACACCACATAACCCACACCCCACACACTACATACACACCACCCCCCCACACACAACCCACATGCCACACACTGTACATACACACCCCCACATATACATACCACACAACTCACACCTCACACACTGTACACACCCTACACACATACCACACAACCCACACACTGTACATACACAACCCACACACATACACTGCATATACTCCATATACACATCCCATATACTATACTTATACACCCCCCACACACCACACAACCCACCCCACACTACATACACACCACCCCCACACAACCCACATGCCACACACTGTACATAAACACCCCCACATATACATACCACACAACTCACACCCCACACGCTGTACACACCCTACACACATACACACCACACAACCCACACACTATATACACCCCCCACACACACACCACACAACTGAAACTCCACTGTACATACACATCCCACACACATACATACCACACAATCCACACTCCACACACTGTATATACACATGCCACACACAACACACACCCCACACTGTACATACACACCCCACACAACCCACACACCACATTCTATATATACACACCCCACACATGCACATCACACAACCCACACCCCACACACTGTATATACACACCCCACACACACACTCCACACACTGTACGTACACACCCCATACACACACTGTACGTACACACCCCATACACACAACACTGTACATACACACCCCCCACAACCCACACTACACATGCTGTATACACCCCACACACGCCACACAACCCACACCCCACTGTACATGCATACCCTCACACACACCACACAACCCACACCCCACACTGTGTATACACACCCCCCATACACACCACACACCCCACAACCCACACCCCACACACTGTACATATACAACCCACACACACACCCCATACACCCCATATGCACACCCCACACACTGTACACACCCCACACACATACACCCCACACACCCCACATTGTACACACCCCACATACACCCCATACACACTATACACACACCCCACACTGTACATACACATCCCACACGCATACACCCCAAATACACACCCTACACACATACATCCCACACACCCCACACTGTACATACACACCCCACACATACACCCCATACACACCATATACACACCCCACACACATACACCCCACACTGTACATACACAACCCACACATACACCCCATACACAACATATACACACACCCCACACACGGTACATACACACCCCACACATACACCTCATACACACCATATACACGCTGCACATACTGTACATACACCTCACACATACATCCCTTATACCCCATATACACATCCCACACACTGTACATACACATCCCACACACATACACCTCATATACCCCATGTACACACCCCACACTGTACAGACATATCCCACACACATACACCCACCCCACACACTGTACACATGCACGCCACACATATGCCCCATACATACCATATACACACCCCACACACATACACAACACACAACCCACACCCCACTGTATATACACACCCACATACACCCCACACACATACACACCACACACCCCACACCCCACTGTATATACACACCCCACATGCACCCCATGCACCCCCATATACACACCCCACACACACTGTACATACACACCAAACACCCACCCCACACACTGTACATACACACCAAATACACATCCCACACACATACACCCCATACACCCACCCCACACACTGTACATACACATCCCACACATACACCCCATATACACACCCACACACATCCCATAAACACACCCCACACACACCATATACACACCCCATACACTGTACATACACACCCCACACACATACACTCCATAAACACGCCCCACACACACCATATACATACCCCACACACTGTACACACCCCACATACACCCCATACACACTGTATACACACCCCACACTGTACATACACACCCATCCCCCCCACACACATACATACACCCCATACACACACACACCCACACCCACACACAACCCATAGCTTTTTCTTTGGGAGGAGGGAGGTGAATTTGGCAAATTGTACATAAATCCATGAAAATATGCGTTTCCTGAGTCAGTAATTTCGCTTCTAGAAATTCAGCCTGAGGAAATGGCTAGGGCATGAGGAGAGACTCAGATACAGGAAGAATCGTTTCTGTGCCAGATGGAACGGAGGCACCGAAATGGCTCCCCAGCTCGTCAGCAGAACCCCGGGGCACCAGCGTGCAGCTGTGCATGGTGCCGTCCCCGAACGCGTGTGGGGAAGTGCATTGCACGGACAAAGGCCTGCGACCCTCTCCCCGGCCCAGCTCCCCGACCCTGCTGGCCGCAGCTCCCTCCGAAGCGTGTGCCTGTGAAAGCAACACCTCAGGCCGCGTTACACCCAGGCACACGCACGCACCACAGACAGAGTCTGACAGACGCAGACGGGCTCCAGCGAGGTGCACGTCTCGGCCCAGACAGAGGCAGAATTGTGGGTGATTTTTATTTTGTTCTAGTTAACTTATATCCAGTGCTTTTACATCTAAAACAGCTTTTCTAAAGAAAAGAAAACTGGTGTTTAAGGAATGTCTGCACGTGATGAAAATTAGCATGCTTGCTGTATCCCAGGCACTGAGAGCCCCACTGCGTTTAATCCTGAAAGAGCCCCAGGGGTGTAGTCGTATTGTCATCCTTAGTGACAGATGGGGAAACGGAGGCTCAGGGTACGGAGGCAGCCCCGCTGGTTAATGGGCAGAGGCAGGGTCCAAAGGCAACGTGGAGGGGTCTTCTGAAGACCCCTCGTGCTCAGCGGGGCTTCCCCACAGGGATGTGCAAATGGACAGAGACCTCCCCGTCCCCACACCTTCTTGCTCTGAGCCTCGGTTTCCCCATCTGTCTCCTCCCTGCAGCCTGGAGGCCTGGTTGACCTGCTGAGGTTGAGCAGGGGCTGTGGGCAGGTGAGTGGCCCGTCTTGTAGCTACAGCCTGCTCTGTGGTCTGCTGGGGAGTGGCGGTGCCAGACTTGGTGAGGACGCCATGTGCCGCCCCAGCAGGGGTGGCGGGGGGGCACCAACCACCTGTGGCTGGAACAAGCCCTTGGACAAAGCAGCTCTAGAGAACAAGAACAGGGCTTCAGTCTCTCTCCAGCCTCTCCCTCTGCCCTCCACTCATGCAGAAAGGAGACACCCCCGCGTCCCTCCCCGGCGTCCCTCTGACACCTGCATCCCTCCCCGGCGTCCCTCCCCAGCGTCCCTCTGACCCCGGCACTCCCTTTCCCTGAGTGTGGGTGGCGGGGCGGCCCGTCAGCACCTCCTCGCTCCCTCCCCAGAGGAAGGGTGATACCTCTTTGCCTCTGGCGAGGCAGGGCGGCCCGTCAGCACCTCCTCGCTCCCTCCCCAGAGGAAGGGTGATACCTCTTTGCCTCTGGCAAGACAGGGCGGCCAGTCAGCACCTCCTCGCTCCCTCCCCAGAGGAAGGGTGACACCTCTTTGCCTCTGGCGAGACAGGGCTTATTAACAGGATCTTGATGAACCCACCCCCTTGGAGAATTGCAAAAGCCACCCCCCCGGCCCCAGACGTTCTGATGCTCACACAGCCCCCCAGCGGAGTGGGGTCTCGAGGGTCCAGGAGGTGCCTTCCGTGTGCAAGAGGAGGTTTTCCTGTAACACCCGAGGAGCAGCATGTCCGAGCGTTTCAAGACAGAGAGCAAACGATTTCCAACTTCCGCTCTGCAGATGGCTTTCCTGGCCCGACTCTCACACTTGATTCCGTCCTGACCTTTATTAAGCCTAATAGACGCGATGGACTCATTTTCCTCTAACTGGCTCTAGGACTTTCCTCATTAGAAGATGAGCAGCTGGCATTTCTACCGTCGCAGAAATGTAAATTGGCCCCAAGACGGGAGAATTACTCCTCTAATTGGGCTGAATTGATCAGAGAGGCCGCCGGTGTGGACGGGTTAGACACGGGTGCACAGGAGCCAGGGGCAGAACACATGGCCACGTGGTCCTGGGGCACACACCTGTGCCAGTGCATGGGGCAGGGGGCCGCCCTCCCCTGGACACGTACCAGTCTCAGGGCGGCAGAGCCTTTGCCCTTGCCAATCCCTCTGCTGGAACACTGTTCCCTGCAGCTGCCTCTGCTCCTCCATCCTGGCTCACAGGTGGCCGCTCCGTGCACCGTTCCCTGGTCTTCTCCCCACTTAGGCCTCTCCACCGCAGGTGGAGCCCACGCCCCATCTCGCCCTGGGTCACCAGAGGCAAGCCCCACGAGGCGCACGCTTTGTCTGCTTTGCTCTCTGTGGAACCTGAACCCAGAGCAGCCTCCAGCACCTGAGCTCACTCAGGAGTCTGTTCAGCCAATGAATAACTCGCTTCCCTTTGACGCCCCACCCGTCCTGCCCTGGCACGAGCACTTTATGGAGAGACTATCCAGATGACTTATCTGTTCATTCACTAATGCCCCAGACACCGACCACACCCCGCGGCAGGCCCCAGGGCCACACTCGCAGGCACAGCCCCGCAGTAAGTCCTGCTCTCATGAGCACGCGTGACGGGGATGGGGCTGGGAGAGAGGCCGCCTGTGCCTCAGCGGGGCCGTCCCCACCCTTCTCGGGCCACACGGCCGGCATGGTTGGCAAGCTTAGCTGGGAAGCCACCAGCCTCTCCCTGAGTCCCAGGCGAGAAAGAAATCATGGTCACCGGCATCTGTGAAGCACCAACTCAGTGCCAGTTACGGGGTTCAGGGCACCACAGGTGTTCACTGATTTAATCCTAATAAAGGAATCCTTTCTCCGATGAGGAAGCCGGGGCTGTGAGAAGCTAGGAGCTTGCCCAAGGTCACCGTCCGTCGGTGGTGGAGTCACAGGCTCTCAGCCCCAATCTCAGCCACCTCACTCTGCTGAACAAGCAAAGAACAGTGAAATACACAAAGAATGCACATTCCCGGACCCTTCTGCCAGGCCGACCTGGGTCCCGGTGCCGCCCCCTTGAACCTGGGCAGGCGTGTGGCTGCATCCATCAACAGTCGCCACCGGGTCATCCAAGGTGGGGCACAGAGGGCATCGTAATTCCAGCCTGGGCCACCAAAATTCACATACCACCAGGAAGCCCAGCTGTGGAGAGGCCGCGCACAGCCACCTGCCCCAGCTGAACCCTCCGGAGTCCACGCACCCCCTGCCATGTGTGTGCGTGCCCCTTGCTGGACGTCCTGCCTGTGAGCCTTGTGATGGGGGCCGCCACACAGGACAGCATCCGCCTTCCCGAGTTCCTGACCCACAAGATTGTGAACAAAATGAAACAGTCACTTTAAGCCACTAAATTATGGGGTGATCTGCTACAAGGCAAAAGGAGCTGGGGTACAAACCAACTGCAGGGGGGTTTGGTGGGTCTACGGGCACCTGGCGTTCGCTGCCAGATCGACGGGCATAGAAAAAGCCCCATAACCCACGCGGGCTGGGGAGCCCTTTAATCCGTCCACTGCCAAGGCCACGCTGCCTGGCCCTCGTGGCGGGGGAGTCCTGTTAATCTGTCCACTGCCAAGGCCGCGCCACCTGGCCCTCGTGGCGGGGAAGTCCTCACGGAGTGGATGAGAAGGCTGCCCGGGCAGGACCCCTTCCCCGCAGCCCTTAAATCAGAAGGGTGAGGCCCGGTCCTCCTGTAGCTGGGACACGGCATATTTTGGCAGGGAGGGGCTGGCTGACGTGTGATAGCCACACTGGAGGCTGAGGTATGTGTTAACGGGGTAACAGTCCGGGTTAATGGATCGATTTATTTTGTTGGTGTTTCAGCCTCCCTTGAGCTCATTACAGGCAGACCACACCGCAGGCCACTGCAGGGCTCCCAACCTCCATTCGGGACGTCTTGGTGAGACTCTGCTGAGCCTCACACTCTTCTGGGCACTGGAAAAGTAGTGACAGAGACTCACCCTAGTGCCACACACTCGATGGAGTGACAGAGGAGACAGCGTGGAGTCCCTAGTGCCACACACTCGATGGGGCGACAGAGGAGACAGCGTGGAGTCCCTAGTGCCACACACTCGATGGGGCGACAGAGGAGACAGCGTGGAGCCCCTACTGCCACACACTCCATGGGGCGACAGAGGAGACAGCGTGGAGCCCCTAGTGCCACACACTCGATGGGGCGACAGAGGAGACAGCGTGGAGTCCCCTACTGCCACACACTCGATGGGGCGACAGAGGAGACAGCGTGGAGTCCCTAGTGCCACACACTCGATGGGGCGACAGAGGAGACAGCGTGGAGTCCCTAGTGCCACACACTCGATGGGGCGACAGAGGAGACAGCGTGGAGCCCCTAGTGCCACACACTCGATGGGGCGACAGAGGAGACAGCGTGGAGTCCCTAGTGCCACACACTCGATGGGGCGACAGAGGAGACAGCGTGGAGTCCCTAGTGCCACACACTCGATGGGGCGACAGAGGAGACAGCGTGGAGCCCCTACTGCCACACACTCGATGGGGCGACAGAGGAGACAGCGTGGAGCCCCTAGTGCCACACACTCGATGGGGCGACAGAGGAGACAGCGTGGAGCCCCTAGTGCCACACACTCGATGGGGCGACAGAGGAGACAGCGTGGAGCCCCTAGTGCCACACACTCGATGGGGCGACAGAGGAGACAGCGTGGAGTCCCTAGTGCCACACACTCGATGGGGCGACAGAGGAGACAGCGTGGAGTCCCTAGTGCCACACACTCGATGGGGTGACAGGGACAGCGTGGAGCCCCTAGTGCTACACACTCGATGGGGCGACAGAGGAGACAGCGTGGAGTCCCTAGTGCCACACACTCGATGGGGCGACAGAGGAGACAGCGTGGAGTCCCTAGTGCCACACACTCGATGGGGCGACAGAGGAGACAGCGTGGAGTCCCTAGTGCCACACACTCGATGGGGCGACAGAGGAGACAGCATGGAGTCCCTAGTGCCACACACTCGATGGGGCGACAGAGGAGACAGTGTGGAGTCCCTACTGCCACACACTCGATGGGGCGACAGAGGAGACAGCGTGGAGCCCCTAGTGCCACACACTCGATGGGGCGACAGAGGAGACAGCGTGGAGTCCCTAGTGCCACACACTCGATGGGGCGACAGAGGAGACAGCGTGGAGTCCCTAGTGCCACACACTCGATGGGGCGACAGAGGAGACAGCGTGGAGTCCCTAGTGCCACACACTCGATGGGGCGACAGAGGAGACAGCGTGGAGTCCCTAGTGCCACACACTCGATGGGGTGACAGGGACAGCGTGGAGCCCCTAGTGCTACACACTCGATGGGGCGACAGAGGAGACAGCGTGGAGTCCCTAGTGCCACACACTCGATGGGGCGACAGAGGAGACAGTGTGGAGTCCCTAGTGCCACACACTCGATGGGGCGACAGAGGAGACAGCGTGGAGTCCCTAGTGCCACACACTCGATGGGGCGACAGAGGAGACAGCGTGGAGTCCCTAGTGCCACACACTCGATGGGGCGACAGAGGAGACAGCGTGGAGTCCCTAGTGCCACACACTCGATGGGGCGACAGAGGAGACAGTGTGGAGTCCCTAGTGCCACACACTCGATGGGGCGACAGAGGAGACAGCGTGGAGTCCCTAGTGCCACACACTCGATGGGGCGACAGAGGAGACAGTGTGGAGTCCCTACTGCCACACACTCGATGGGGCGACAGAGGAGACAGCGTGGAGTCCCTAGTGCCACACACTCGATGGGGCGACAGAGGAGACAGTGTGGAGTCCCTACTGCCACACACTCGATGGGGCGACAGAGGAGACAGCGTGGAGTCCCTAGTGCCACACACTCGATGGGGCGACAGAGGAGACAGTGTGGAGTCCCTAGTGCCACACACTCGATGGGGCGACAGAGGAGACAGCGTGGAGTCCCTAGTGCCACACACTCGATGGGGCGACAGAGGAGACAGCGTGGAGTCCCTAGTGCCACACACTCGATGGGGCGACAGAGGAGACAGCGTGGAGTCCCTAGTGCCACACACTCGATGGGGCGACAGAGGAGACAGCGTGGAGTCCCTAGTGCCACACACTCGATGGGGCGACAGAGGAGACAGCGTGGAGTCCCCTACTGCCACACACTCCATGGGGCGACAGGAGACAGCGTGGAGCCCCTAGTGCCACACACTCGATGGGGCGACAGAGGAGACAGCGTGGAGTCCCTAGTGCCACACACTCGATGGGGCGACAGAGGAGACAGCGTGGAGCCCCTAGTGCCACACACTCGATGGGGCGACAGAGGAGACAGCGTGGAGTCCCTACTGCCACACACTCGATGGGGCGACAGAGGAGACAGCGTGGAGCCCCTAGTGCCACACACTCGATGGGGCGACAGAGGAGACAGCGTGGAGCCCCTAGTGCCACACACTCGATGGGGCGACAGAGGAGACAGCGTGGAGTCCCTAGTGCCACACACTCGATGGCGTGAGAGAGGAGACAGCGTGGAGTCCCTAGTGCCACACACTCGATGGGGTGACAGAGGAGACAGTGTGGAGCCCCTAGTGCCACACACTCGATGGGGCGACAGAGGAGACAGCGTGGAGTCCCTGGTGCCACACACTCGATGGGGCGACAGAGGAGACAGCGTGGAGTCCCTAGTGCCACACACTCGATGGCGTGAGAGAGGAGACAGCGTGGAGTCCCTAGTGCCACACACTCGATGGGGCGACAGAGGAGACAGCGTGGAGCCCCTAGTGCCACACACTCGATGGGGCGACAGAGGAGACAGCGTGGAGTCCCTAGTGCCACACACTCGATGGGGCGACAGAGGAGACAGCATGGAGTCCCTAGTGCCACACACTCGATGGGGCGACAGAGGAGACAGCGTGGAGTCCCTAGTGCCACACACTCGATGGGGCGACAGAGGAGACAGTGTGGAGCCCCTAGTGCCACACACTCGATGGGGCGACAGAGGAGACAGCGTGGAGTCCCTGGTGCCACACACTCGATGGGGCGACAGAGGAGACAGCGTGGAGTCCCTAGTGCCACACACTCGATGGCGTGAGAGAGGAGACAGCGTGGAGTCCCTAGTGCCACACACTCGATGGGGCGACAGAGGAGACAGCGTGGAGTCCCTAGTGCCACACACTCGATGGGGCGACAGAGGAGACAGCGTGGAGTCCCTAGTGCCACACACTCGATGGGGCGACAGAGGAGACAGCGTGGAGTCCCTAGTGCCACACACTCGATGGGGCGACAGAGGAGACAGCGTGGAGTCCCTAGTGCCACACACTCGATGGGGCGACAGAGGAGACAGCGTGGAGTCCCTAGTGCCACACACTCGATGGGGCGACAGAGGAGACAGCGTGGAGCCCCTAGTGCCACACACTCGATGGGGCGACAGAGGAGACAGCGTGGAGTCCCTAGTGCCACACACTCGATGGGGCGACAGAGGAGACAGCATGGAGTCCCTAGTGCCACACACTCGATGGGGCGACAGAGGAGACAGCGTGGAGTCCCTAGTGCCACACACTCGATGGGGCGACAGAGGAGACAGTGTGGAGCCCCTAGTGCCACACACTCGATGGGGCGACAGAGGAGACAGCGTGGAGTCCCTGGTGCCACACACTCGATGGGGCGACAGAGGAGACAGCGTGGAGTCCCTAGTGCCACACACTCGATGGCGTGAGAGAGGAGACAGCGTGGAGTCCCTAGTGCCACACACTCGATGGCGTGAGAGAGGAGACAGCGTGGAGTCCCTAGTGCCACACACTCGATGGGGCGACAGAGGAGACAGCGTGGAGCCCCTAGTGCCACACACTCGATGGGGCGACAGAGGAGACAGCGTGGAGTCCCTAGTGCCACACACTCGATGGGGCGACAGAGGAGACAGCATGGAGTCCCTAGTGCCACACACTCGATGGGGCGACAGAGGAGACAGCGTGGAGTCCCTAGTGCCACACACTCGATGGGGCGACAGAGGAGACAGTGTGGAGCCCCTAGTGCCACACACTCGATGGGGCGACAGAGGAGACAGCGTGGAGTCCCTGGTGCCACACACTCGATGGGGCGACAGAGGAGACAGCGTGGAGTCCCTAGTGCCACACACTCGATGGCGTGAGAGAGGAGACAGCGTGGAGTCCCTAGTGCCACACACTCGATGGGGTGACAGGGACAGCGTGGAGCCCCTAGTGCCACACACTCGATGGCGTGAGAGAGGAGACAGCGTGGAGCTGGCCCACAAGCTCAGAGTGTGTGGGGCAGAGGACAGTGCTGGAGGAGTGAGGAGCCGGGTGCGGTGGGCGCTGTGCACGGTGTGGTCATTGGAGCTGGGACCCGGAGACTGGGAATCAGGCAGCTTCCAAACAAACTGTGTGGGGTAGAGCCAAGATTTGAACCCAGGGTCCTAGAGGAGAGGTGGACAGGAGGAGAGAGCAGAGGGAGAGAGTGTTGGGGGGCACCGGCTGCGGGAACTGGAGCTCAGAAGAGAAGGAAGCTGGGGCACAGCTCGGAGGTGGGGAAAGGTACCCGACCTCTTTCCAAACCCCCTTGAAGTGCCCCTCCAGGGTGGTCAGCATGGAGTTGGGGAAGGGGGAGACCCTGCCCTTCCACCCACCCCACAGCAGCCAGAGCCAGTTGCTCAGCCCCCAGCGGCCCTGGCGGCCAGCCCCTCGGGACAGGGCAGGAGGGTCCCCCGGGCTGGAGTTCAACCCTCGGGACAGGGCAGGAGGGTCCCCCGGGCTGGAGTGAGTTCAACCCTCGGGACAGGGCAGGAGGGTCCCCCGGGCTGGAGTTCAACCCTCGGGACAGGGCAGGAGGGTCCCCCGGGCTGGAGTTCAACCCTCGGGACAGGGCAGGAGGGTCCCCCGGGCTGGAGTTCAACCCTCGGGACAGGGCAGGAGGGTCCCCCGGGCTGGAGTTCAACCCTCGGGACAGGGCAGGAGGGTCCCCCGGGCTGGAGTTCAACCCTCGGGACAGGGCAGGAGGGTCCCCCGGGCTGGAGTTCAACCCTCGGGACAGGGCAGGAGGGTCCCCCGGGCTGGAGTTCAACCCTCGGGACAGGGCAGGAGGGTCCCCCGGGCTGGAGTTCAACCCTCGGGACAGGGCAGGAGGGTCCCCCGGGCTGGAGTTCAACCCTCGGGACAGGGCAGAAGATCCCCTGGGCTGGAGTTCAAGGTCAGACGGGCCTTTCAAATACAAGCAAATGCCAGCCTCCCTCCCCCAGGCATCGATCTCGTGAATAAATCAGCAATGACAGCCCCGACAGGCGGCTGGCGGGGAGCGGGTGGGGGCCATGGCCCTGGAGTGGGGGTCGCGGTGGGCCTGGGTCGGGGCCAAGGGAGCCACATCCAGTGTGGGGGCTGCGGGCTCCAGGCCTGGTGTCTCTGGAGGGGGCCTCGGAACCGGAGGGGAAGACCCCACAGCGTCTGCGGAGCTCCCTGAGGCCCCATAGCACCTGTCATCACGGCTGCCAGGGAGTCAGCTCTGCAAAATCATCACAGACGTGGGGGGATGGCGTCTCTCCCTCCCCCAGCCCTTTCCCCTTCCTTCCTTCCCACCTTCTTTCCTTTCTTCTATCTTTCCTTTCAAGCTCCAAACTTGCACTTTGATTTCCTTCAAGAGTCCACCCTTATCTGTACCTGGTTAAAATAATCAGCGAAAACCAAAGCCATCCCGAAGATCGCCCAGCCTCGCAAGGTGTAAGGTTTCGGGGCATCAAGCCTGGCCTCGGCCAGCCACGCCTCCTGGGGGTCTCCCGTGTCTAAGTCTTGCTGTGCCCCCAATTTCAAGTCAGTGGTGATCCCTGTGGTCTATCCTGGGCATGGCGGCCCCTCATGCCCGTTTTCCCAGGGTTGGTTTGGCTGTGGTCTTTGTGGCATCGGGATGGGAAAGCCATGTGGGTGCTGGTCGTGTGGCCTCCCACAGCCTGGCTTCCTCCCGCAGGCCCCACAGCTGTTCTTATCCTCATCCAATCTGGTAACCCTCGTATCCTGGATCTCTCCGGGTGCTCCATGGCCCATGGGATTCCGCCCAGGTCCTCTTCTCCACTGGACTTCTCCTCCATCTCTCAGGGAGCCCAGGGCTGCCCTGACCCCAGTGTGGAGCGGCCAGGTCTCTCGGGACTGTGGCTGCTGAGGCTGTGCAGGCAGTGTGGGACCCAGGGCTGGTTGGCTGTGTCCTGACCTGGAGTCTGGCTGCCTTCACGTGGAGCTCCTGTATCTGCCGTGTACCCTCAGCTGCCCCAGGCCACCTGATCACACCCGTCCACACCTGTTCATACCTGTCCACACCTGCTCACACCCATCCACACCAGTTCACAGCTGCTCACACCTGCCCAAACCTGCTCACAGCTGCCTGCACCTGCCTACACCTTCTGACATCTGCTTATACCGTACACAGGTGCTCACACCTGCCCAAACACCTGCCTACACCTTCTGACACCTGCTTTTACCTGTTCACTGCTGCTCACACCTGCCCATACCTGTTTACACCTGCACACAGCTGCCCACACCTGCTGACACCTGCATACAGCTGCCTGTACCTACCTACGCCTACTCACAACTGCATATACCTGCTCACACCTGCTAACACCTGCCAGTAACTGCTCACACCACACACCTGCTCACACCACACACCTGCCCACAGCTGCCTCTGCAGGAGATGCCCAGTGTGGTGGTTCGTGGGTGGGGGATGGGGTCCCCTCCCTTCTGCTCAGGCAAAGGAAATATGTGCTCAGTTCGGGGCCACCTGTGCAGAATTGGTGGGGCCTGACGCAGCCTCACCACGTGGCATGGAAGCAAGCCCGGGACAGCGCTTGACCCGAGCGGACAGGCATCTGCCAGGCCTGCGGTGGAGGTTGGGGGGTGGAACCCTCCATCTGTGGCATGTGACCCAAAACCTCTGCATGAGGGACCCCCGTGCCAGGCCTGCCCCTGCTGCCCTCCAGCTTCAGGGCCTCTACCTCTCCCCAGCGTGCGGCCTAGACCCAGGCCCTCAGGAAACATCTGTGACCCCAGCAGACGGGGAGCCAGGCAAGGACTCTGCAGTGGGTGAGCCAAGGTCAGGTGGAGGTCACGTGTGTTTCCTGTGGCTGCCGTCCGCCACGAATTCCACAGCTCGGTGGCTTGAAGGACATAGTCATGACCTTACAGCAACGAGCCTGGCTGATGCTTCCAAGGCTAAGGACGCGGGCAGGGGCTGCTCAGGACCCAGGAGAGAGGGGAGAGAGGGGGCGTCATCCCAGAGCCCATGAGGGACACGGCCGGCTGCTGGGTCCCTCACGGCGGAGACCGAGGACTCCCCTTTGCAGGTAGCTCTGGGGTCACTGGCGAGGGGGACAGAGCTGGATGGGGGGCTTCAGGAGGGGCCGGGCAGGGGGACGTGGAGACGGCGCACTCATAACCCTACTACGGCTTCCTGTAAGGGGGAGTGGAGGCCGGGGCAGCAGCCGCAGGGGCGACATGGTGTCAAGGTCTCCTGGACATTGTGCCACTGCTGGTGCCAGAGAGACCACGGTTTTGCAGATGCCCAGGACAGGCCAGAGGGCGGGGCCGTGGCATGGGGAGGGGCTGCCCTAGGGATGGGGACTCCTGGCCTGGCTGACCTGCACCTGGGCCAGTGGAAGGCGAAGGTGGGCAGGCCTGAGTGTGAGTCTCACATCCATCTGCTGCGTGGCCCTGGGCAGGTCACTCAGCCTCTCTGGGCCTCAGCTCCTCCCCAGGGCTGTGGGAGGGGCCAGGAGAATGACAGCCTGATTCCTCCGCCCCCTCATCTGCAGGCCACCCGCCCAGGGACGTGCTACCATTTACCTAACACACGTCTTTAAATCCACCCAAAGGATAACTGCATGAATTTTAACAGGAAACTCTTTATCACTGCCTTAGGAGAGGACCATTATCTCTTGCCAAAAATGAGAGATAACTGTACAAATAAATACAATAAGATACACACCGCAGTTAAAGTGGTTGGATACCACAGTCTGGAAGGCTTTGTCGTCTGATGGCCGCTCGAAAGGTGAGACTGTTCAGCATCAGAGGTGCTCTAGAACCTGGCCTAGATTTTCCTCTTGAAATAATCAGAAAGCTTAGAAGAGAACGGGGGTACTTTTCAGGATGAGGGAGAATTTTTTATCTTCATGTGGGGGTGGGGGCCACACAGCATTGACATCTGTCAGAACCCAGGAGCTGTGTGGGGGTGGGGGACAGGCAGAGAGAGAGACAGAGAGACACAGAGACAGAGAAAGAGACACATACACTGAGAGACTGAGAGACAGAGAGACACAGAGACAGAGACACAGAGAGACAGAGAGAGACACACACTGAGAGACTGAGAGAGAGAGACAGAGTCAGAGACAGAGTCAGAGACAGAGAGAGAGACACACAGAGACAGAGACACAGAGACAGAAAGAGAGACACACACTGAGAGACTGAGAGACAGAGAGACAGAGTCAGAGACAGAGAGGCAGAGAGAGACAGAGAGACAAAGAGACAGAGATACAGAGAGACAGAGAGAGACACACACACTGAGAGACTGAGATACAGAGAGACAGAGTCAGAGACAGTCAGAGACAGAGAGACACAGAGACAGAGACACAGAGAGACAGAGAGAGACACACACACTGAGAGACTGAGAGACAGAGAGACAGAGTCAGAGACAGAGTCAGAGACAGAGAGAGACAGAGAGACAAAGAGACAGAGATACAGACAGACTGAGACAAAGAGACACAGAGAGACAAAAAGACTGGGAGAGACAGAGACAGAGACATGGAGAGAATGAGGCAGAGACTGGGAGGCAGAGACAGATGCAGAGACAGAGATAAAGAGACACAGAAAGACTGAGAGAGACAAAGAGAGACAGACACAAGGAGATAGAGTGACACAGAGAGACAGACCACAGAGAGAGATGCAGAGAGAGGGGAATCATTTCTTGTGAGGGGCCTGGCCTCAGGCAGCCGCCTGCCTGGGAGCTGCTAGGCTGTCTGGTGTCTGGGGAGAGGAGTGATCAGAGGTGAAGAGTGGCTCCCCAACCCAGGCCCGCCGCTCTAAACACAGGAAGATCCACAGTCCTTGGGCAGTTTATAGAACTGCTCCCCTTGGGGCCTATCAGGATGTGTGGTCTTAAATCATTGCTGTTTAATATTCAACAGTTGCTCCACTGAGAACAAGCGTATTTAGGGGACGTTGCTTGAGAGGAATCTCCTCTCTAAATGGCGGGGTTGAGTGGGGTGGTCGCCCTACAGGTCAGGGATCTGGAATATGACCAAGTCAGGCGCCGCCATCGGGCTGGGGGTCACCGTGCCCCTCCCTGTAGCCCCGGCCCGGCTCTGGCCTCTGGCCGGCAGACTCCAGGGCTGCAGGGAGACCCCACTGTACACCCCATGCTGGCCAGGTGGCTGGTGAAAGGGACCCTTTGGCTTCCAGCCTCCACTTGTTCAGCGCAGACATGGCCTCAGAACCAGCCCTCAGAACGGAGCAAGAATAGCCGTGCCCAGCTCGGACCCCGGGCGGCACTCACTCCAGTCGCTGGCAGTGCTGCTGTGGGCCTGGCGTGGCCCCAGGGCTCAGCTGTGGGCTCCGTGCGTGGCCCCGGGGCTCGGCTGTGGGCTCCGTGCGTGGCCCCGGGGCTCGGCTGTGCTCTATGGGCCTCGGACCTGCTCCTCTTCACTCTCTGCCGTGTTTTTCTTCCTCTTTTATTCTGTTTATAATTTACCTTATCTTGCTGGAACCCTTCTGTTTCCTGGGAAGTTACCAGAACCTGATCACCAGCAGAATTGGAATGTGCAGTATGATCTATACATGTTTACACACATGCCACACACCCTTCCCAAGGCCGTCCCTATACCCATTACACACACACCACACCCCCTTCCCAGGGCCGTCCCTATACCCATTACACACACACCACACACCCTTCCCGGGGCCCTCCCTATCCCCATTACACACACGCCACACCCCCTTCCCGGGGCCCTCCCTATACCCATTACACACACGCCACACCCCCTTCCCGGGGCCCTCCCTATACCCATTACACACACAACACACACCCTTCCAGGGGCCCTCCCTATACCCATTACACACACGCCACACACCCTTCCCGGGGCCCTCCCTATACCCATTACACACACAACACACACCCTTCCAGGGGCCCTCCCTATACCCATTACACACACGCCACACCCCCTTCCCAGGGCCCTCCCTATCCCCATTACACACACAACACACCCCCTTCCAGGGGCCCTCCCTATACCCATTACACACACGCCACACCCCCTTCCCGGGGCCCTCCCTATACCCATTACACACACAACACACCCCCTTCCAGGGGCCCTCCCTATACCCATTACACACACGCCACACCCCCTTCCCGGGGCCCTCCCTATACCCATTACACACACACCACACCCCCTTCCCGGGGCCCTCCCTATACCCATTACACACACGCCACACCCCCTTCCCGGGGCCCTCCCTATACCCATTACACACACGCCACACACCCTTCCAGGGGCCCTCCCTATACCCATTACACACACGCCACACCCCCTTCCCGGGGCCCTCCCTATACCCATTACACACACACCACACCCCCTTCCCGGGGCCCTCCCTATACCCATTACACACACAACACACCCCCTTCCCGGGGCCCTCCCTATACCCATTACACACACGCCACACCCCCTTCCCGGGGCCCTCCCTATACCCATTACACACACAACACACACCCTTCCCGGGGCCCTCCCTATACCCATTACACACACAACACACCCCCTTCCCGGGGCCCTCCCTATCCCCATTACACACACGCCACACCCCCTTCCCGGGGCCCTCCCTATACCCATTAAACACACAACACACCCCCTTCCAGGGGCCGTCCCTATCCCCATTAAACACACAACACACCCCCTTCCCGGGGCCCTCCCTATACCCATTACACACACACCACACCCCCTTCCCGGGGCCCTCCCTATACCCATTACACACACAACACACCCCCTTCCCGGGGCCCTCCCTATACCCATTACACACACGCCACACCCCCTTCCCGGGGCCCTCCCTATACCCATTACACACACGCCACACCCCCTTCCCGGGGCCTTCCCTATACCCATTACACACACGCCACACCCCCTTCCCGGGGCCTTCCCTGTACCCATTACACACACAACACACACCCTTCCCGGGGCCCTCCCTATACCCATTACACACACGCCACACCCCCTTCCCGGGGCCTTCCCTATACCCATTACACACACGCCACACCCCCTTCCCGGGGCCCTCCCTATACCCATTACACACACACCATACCCCCTTCCCGGGGCCCTCCCTATACCCATTACACACACGCCACACCCCCTTCCCGGGGCCTTCCCTATACCCATTACACACACGCCACACCCCCTTCCCGGGGCCCTCCCTATACCCATTACACACACAACACACACCCTTCCCGGGGCCCTCCCTATACCCATTACACACACGCCACACCCCCTTCCCGGGGCCTTCCCTATACCCATTACACACACGCCACACCCCCTTCCCGGGGCCCTCCCTATACCCATTACACACACGCCACACCCCCTTCCCGGGGCCCTCCCTATACCCATTACACACACGCCACACCCCCTTCCCGGGGCCCTCCCTATACCCATTACACACACGCCACACCCCCTTCCCGGGGCCCTCCCTATACCCATTACACACACGCCATACCCCCTTCCCGGGGCCCTCCCTATACCCATTACACACACGCCACACCCCCTTCCCGGGGCCCTCCCTATACCCATTACACACACGCCGCACCCCCTTCCCGGGGCCTTCCCTATACCCATTACACACACGCCACACCCCCTTCCCGGGGCCCTCCCTATACCCATTACACACACGCCGCACCCCCTTCCCGGGGCCTTCCCTATACCCATTACACACACAACACACACCCTTCCCGGGGCCCTCCCTATACCCATTACACACACGCCACACCCCCTTCCCGGGGCCCTCCCTATACCCATTACACACACGCCACACCCCCTTCCCGGGGCCCTCCCTATACCCATTACACACACGCCACACCCCCTTCCCGGGGCCCTCCCTATACCCATTACACACACGCCACACCCCCTTCCCGGGGCCCTCCCTATACCCATTACACACACGCCACACCCCCTTCCCGGGGCCCTCCCTATACCCATTACACACACGCCACACACCCTTCCCGGGGCCCTCCCTATACCCATTACACACACGCCACACCCCCTTCCCGGGGCCCTCCCTATACCCATTACACACACAACACACACTTCCCGGGGCCCTCCCTATACCCATTACACACACACCACACACCCTTCCCGGGGGGCCATCAGGGCCCCCAGTGGCCTCAGTGTCCAGTCCTCCCCGTCCTCCGGAGCTCTCTCTGGTGGGGGCCCCAGTCCTCCTCGTCTTCCGGAGCTCTCTCTCTCTGGTGGGGGCCCCACCTGGCCGACCTGAAGGTCAGGGCATCCACTCTTTGGGGAAACGAAGTTGGGTTCGTAGGGGCAGCTCTGGTGTTGTTGGTCCTTCCCTCCAGACACCACGTCTCTTCGTCTGGCTCCCAGGAGACCCCAGTTCTATTTCTATTTCTCCCGCCTCTGTCATCCCCTCAAACTGCTTCTGCATAGCCCCCACTCTGCCTCTCAGGCTTTAACCCCAACTGTGAGCCCCACCTGGCTGTCCTGGGGCCACTGAACTCCACGTGTCCATCGTGGCTCTCCCCAACATGCCACCACGCACCGGCTGGCATTCTGTCCCTATGAAGGCCCTGCCTGCCTGGGGACTGGGAATCAGCCGCTGTCCCAGCCCACCCGTCAATCACCCATCAATCACCGGCCAATCACCCGTCAATCACCGTCTCTTGCCAGCTTTGCATCCTAAATATTTTTTGGAAGAGTCCCGTGTCCGCCACACCCCACAAGAAAGAAAGTTCACCCTACTGGGCTCAACAGTAAAGATGTTAATGAAGGGAAGCTTTAGGGATGTGTGGTTAGGGGCATAGGGACAGACGGGGGCAGTGCAACCTCAGGGGCGGCAACGTGCAGTTCTCGACACCGGCAGAGTGAGGCCTCGGGCCGGCCACTCGGACCACGGTGCAGCTTCCAACAACCTGTGGTGCCTCCACGGGCCAAGACAGCCTGCGGTGCCTCCACGGGCCAAGAGCACAAGGTGGGAGGAGGGAAGGAGCTGGGGGACTGGAAAGCGGTGGTCAGCATCTGAGGGCCCGGCAGGGCTGGGGCTAGACGGGGGATGTGGTGATGGGGCTGGACGGGGGGGCGTGGTGATGGGGCTGGACGGGGGCGTGGTGATGGGGCTGGACGGGGGATGTGGTGATGGGGCTGGACGGGGGGGCGTGGTGATGGGGCTGGACGGGGGCGTGGTGATGGGGCTGGATGGGGGCGTGGTGATGGGGCTGGACGGGGGGGCGTGGTGATGGGGCTGGACGGGGGCGTGGTGATGGGGCTGGACGGGGGCGTGGTGATGGGGCTGGACGGGGGCGTGGTGATGGGGCTGGACGGGGGCGTGGTGATGGGGCTGGATGGGGGCGTGGTGATGGGGCTGGATGGGGGCGTGGTGATGGGGGCTGGACGGGGGGGCGTGGTGATGGGGCTGGACGGGGGCGTGGTGATGGGGCTGGACGGGGGCGTGGTGATGGGGCTGGATGGGGGCGTGGTGATGGGGCTGGACGGGGGGGCGTGGTGATGGGGCTGGATGGGGGGGCGTGGTGATGGGGCTGGACGGGGGCGTGGTGATGGGGCTGGACGGGGGCGTGGTGATGGGGCTGGACGGGCAGCATGGTGATGGAGTTGGACGGGGGCGTGGTGATGGGGACAGGTGAGTCTCCTGTCCCTCACCAGGAGAACTGGGTTCTGGTTCTCAGCCTGTCTCCCACCGTAGAGCAACCTCTGACCGCCAGACAGGACACCAAGGTGAAAACTTTCAAGCCCCCAGGACGGGAGAGAGGTCAGGGGGAGAGGTCGGGGGAGAGGTGGCAGGGAGGGCAGGGAGGTCAGGGAGTGGAGTAAACGCTGGGCGCGGCCACAGCTGTGCCTTGTCAGGGGATGAAGGTGAAAGACAGAACCCGCGGTGACACAGGCTCCCCTGCCCCGCGGAGGAGTCAGGCCATCAGAAAGGCCCCTATGTCAGCCAGGCGTGGTGGTTCACACCTGGAATCCCAGCACTGTGGGAGGCAGAGGCGGGCAGATCACCTGAGCTCAGGAGTTTGAGACTAGCCTGATCAACATGGTGAAACCTCGTCTCTACTAAAAGTACAAAAATTAGCCGGGCATGGTGGCATGTGCCTGTGGTGCCACCTACTTGGGAGGCTGAAGCAGGAGAATCAGTTGAACCCGGGAGGTGGAGGTTGCAGTGAGCAGAGATCGTGCCACTGCACTCCAGCCTGGGCAACAGAGTAAGACTCTGTCTTAAAAAAAAGAAAGGCCCATGTGTCATGGAGACGGGAGGGAAGCTCTCCAACGGCTGCAGCCAGGGCCCTCTGTGGTCCGGCACCCACACCCCCAGCCCAGCCTGCTGACCCTCGCCCAGCCAGGGCCCTCCGTGGTCCGGCACCCACACCCCCAGCCCAGCCTGCTGACCCTCGCCCAGCCAGGGCCCTCCGTGGTCCAGCACCCACACCCCCAGCCCGGCCTGCTGACCCTCGCCCACCACACAGGTTCGCTGTCGTCCCGGCTTTGCTCTGAGCCTGAGCCTGGGATGCACCCACGACCCAGCCTCCTGGGACCTCCTCTCACTGCAGCTGGGTTTGGCCCACGGGAGCCGATTTTGTTTGGAGGGGAGGTGGGCGTGTTTCTCCCCTGGGCCCTTCCTGCTGAGGCGACTTGTCTTTCACTGACGGTGGCTCTGTCCCCAGGACCACATCTGCTGGGTGCCCTCCACCCCAGGGGTCCCGTCCTCCCTCGCTCTTCGGCCTCGGTGGTGGCTGCGCACTGCCGGTCCCCGGCACCCTCCCCAGGCTGTCCTCCTCGTCTCTGCGGTGCGTTCCATCCCTCTGAGGGCCTCGGCTTTCTTAGGCCCCTGACTGCTGGCCTGGTCTCCTGCCCCACAGGGTGAGCATCAGGGGAGACGGTGAGAGAAGCCGACACCCGCGTGGGTGCGTTCAATCCACGGCCGACCCGCCAAGGTCTGGTGTTTAACAATCACAGCAGTTAAGGGAAGTCAGAATATTAAAGAACCTGCCAGATTAACTTCCAGCTTCCATTTTAAAAATGTGTAATTGAGGATTGATTCTAGATGTGCAGTTTAAAATCGGACAGGATGAGAGGATTAAAGGCACCTGCAAACAGTCCTGACATCCTTCACAGATCTGGTCTCAATTCAATTTATTAAACTAGATATTTTAAAGCACTTGGTCGGGGGGATTTCTGGTATGATATCAGGCATTCAAAGTGATTAAAAGAAAATAAAACACTATGTTTGTAAGTGCCATTTTTAAAAGGCTCAAGGGACTTTAAAGGCACAAAAGCAGTGAATTCTGTTTCACGGTATTATTTTATTTTATTTTATCATATATTTTTTGAAATGGAGTCTCACTCTGTCACCCAGGCTGGAGTGCAGTGATGCGATCTCAGCTCACTGCAATTTCCGCCTCCTGGGTTCAAGTGATTCTCCTGCCTCAGCCTCCTGAGTAGCTGGGATTATAGGCATGCACCACCATGCCTGGTTAATTTTTGTATTTTTAGTAGAGGCAGGGTTTTACCATACTGGTCAGGCTGGTCTCGAACTTCTGACCTCATGATCCACCCACCTCTGCCTCCCACAGTGTTGGGATTACAGGCGTGAGCCTCAGTGCCCGGCCTCACAGTATTATTTAATCTGCCCAACCTGAGTTAAACAATCGCGGCCACGGGGAAGGAGGCCGTTTTATTGATTGAATTTGTGTCCACGATAGTACGATCTTTAAAGTGAACCGCAAGCTTACAGCACAGGTTTTGAAAGGTGCAACTTAATAAACTACATATAAATTTTTAAAACTAGCCTTAACTCTTTTCTGTGAATAGAAGCCCCATGGGCAAAACACAAAGGAAACCAAACGAAACTCCAAAATAAAAAACCCGCAACCTCCAAAATAAAAACCTAAGAAGCAGAAGCCCGGCCGAGCTCAGAGCCTCACACGGACACGGTCCCGGGAGGCAGAAGCCCGGCCCAGCTCAGAGCCTCACACAGACACAGTCCCGGGAGGCAGAAGCCCGGCCGAGCTCAGAGCCTCACACCCACCCTCTGTGCCGAAGGACCCACCTTTCCAAGGTCCCAATCCATTGTCACCTGGGGGCAATTCATAAACAGCAAAACAAAGGGCATGAAAAATAAAGTAGACATGGGAAATGCCATCTTTTGTGATTCTACAAAATTTCTCAGTGATGTTGCCACTGAGCTTCTAGCAAGACTCAGGGTAGCCCCATCTCACTGTCCCCAACTCCAGCTCAGGGACCCTGGGAGCCTTGGCCGCCCAGCTTGGCTTCCAGCTGCCTCAGCCTAGGCTCTGGAGAGGGCTCAGTGCGCTGAGCAGGAGCCCTGGACCTCACCCTGTCCCTAGACCATGGCTGCACTCGCCCTCACCCTGTCCCCGGACACTGCAGCCACACTCGCCCTCACCCCATCCCCAGACGCCATGGCCGCACTCGCCCTCACCCCGTCCCCGGATGCCGTGGCCGCACTCGCCCTCACCCCGTCCCCAGACACCGCGGCCTCACTCGCCCTCACCCCGTCCCCAGATGCCGTGGCCGCACTCGCCCTCACCCCATCCCCGGACGCTGCAGCCACACTCGCCCTCACCCCGTCCCCGGACACCGCGGCCTCACTCGCCCTCATCCTGTTCCCAGACGCTGTGGCCTCACTCGCCCTCACCCTGTCCCTGGACACCGGGGCCGCACTCACCCTCATGCCCAGTTCTACGTTCTCGCCGCCATACACCTCCATGCCGGGGTCCAGCAGCCCAATGTCTCCGAAGTACTCGCGGTCCACTACGAAGGAGCAGCCGATCATGGCTGGGGTCCTGGGAGGCAGAGACAGCGGCGTGAGGACCTCGCCATGCAGGCCTGAGCCCTGCCTGCTGGGCCATGAGCCAGGAAAGCCTGGAAGACCCCACCACCCCTCCCTCCTGTGCCTCCTCCCTGTGCACTCAGGTCCCTGTGCTCAAGGTGAGGGGCCGCTGCTCCTCCAGCCACCAGGACTTGAGTCCCTTGGAGCCTGGTTAAGCCCTCAGCCCAGACAGCGTCCAAATGCTGAATGCCAACAGATGACAGAACCCGCATTCAATTCAGCTTAGTGTAGGAGGTTTAAAAAAAGATCAATCGGCCGGCACAGTAGCTCACGCCTGTTATCCCAGCACTTAGGGAGGCTGAGGCAGGAGGATCACTGGAGCCTGGGAATTGAGGCTGCAGTGAGCTGGTATTGCACCACTACACTCCAGCCTGGGCAACAGAGTGAGATCCTGTCTCCCCTCTCCCCTGAAAAAAGATCAGTTTACCTAAGGAGCTCTGTGGTTGCCTTGAACATCATTTCCCAAGTTCGAGTGAGTCACTTGCCCGCCTCCCCCATGCTTCATCCTAACTGTGTATCAGGAGCCAGGACTGCAATGGGCAGTTGCGTAGGCTGTGCACTGCTCAACTCCACAGAACCTTGTTGATGACAGATTCTGAACGACGCAGCTTGGAGCTGAGTGCACAGCCTGTGCAGCTATGTGCCACAGACTGCCAGCTGTACTATACTTCCTGTAATAATTCTAAAACGTCAGCCGACTTAGCCTGGCCCCATCTCTGTGAAATCATGCATTGGTATGCTAGTTATATTTTTTCTAATATGTATTGAGAGTGCATCAGTGCTGCAAATCCCCTGGGAAGAGGCTGCATGGACAGCAGTGGTGAAGGCAGGATCCGCGGAGCAGTGAAGGCAGGATCTGCGGAGCAGTGAAGGCAGGATCTGCAGAGTGGAGCGGGAGGATAAGCTGGTGTGCCATTGTGGGCCACGCGACGTGCGAGCTCATTCACTCATCCCTCTCAGGTTTCTACTGGGTGTCTGGAAGGTGGCGGGGATTGAAAAAGAGGCAGGAAAATCACATCTCCAGCAAGGAGCAGGCAGAGTCTGTGTGTTGTAAGGAAGGAGGAACTTCTCATCTTTGCTGAAAGATTTTGCCTCAAAACAATTTCCTTGTCCGTGGAGAGCTTCATTTCTTCTGAGGCCTCAGGAGCTGTCAGAGGAAGCAGCAAAGCCTCACGCTATCCCCAGATGCCACGGCAGGCCGCCCTGCAGGCCTTGAGCTTCCCTGATCCTCCTCTGCGTATCAACGCGTTCTTCCATAAAAACAACAGCAAAAGTTGGCCTCTGTCATAATTTAAAGGAAGCAATTCTGTCCCCAGAGACTCAGCAGTCAGAAATAAATGCCCATCGATTGTCCAAGAATAGCAGGAGCATTAAAAAGCAATTGTCCTTTTATTTGTGCAAAGATCCAATTTGTTCTGTCATTAGATTTCGGCCACAAACCTAACAGTGATGAAATTTTAATACCCCCCCTTGATTTTTAATAGCAACCTTTGATTGGGTAAGTTATAGTTTATCATATACAACAGGTATTTCTCCTGTTTTCTTAACAACAACCATCATTTCAGGGTGATCTCTGATGAAGTGAAGAGCCAGATTCTCTGCCACATCTATTGTAGCGGGTAGCGTCTTTTTTATTATTGCTCAGAGTTCTAAAATAAAGCCCATGAGGCAAGGGAGGCAGCACCAGCTGGAACTGGATTGACTTGCCGGAGAGATGCCTGCTGTGATTACAGAAAAAGGTGGGCTGAGGGTTCTCAGGCTCGCGTGGGGCTGCCTGTCACCGTGGTGACAGCCTCCCCTCGGGGCGGTTCCGCCACACGCGGGGCACAGGGGTGCAGGGTGGAGGCCCCAGGTCCTGCCTGCTGGAGCTGCTCTGCCCGATGCCCGCACCTGCCCTCCAGTTCTCAGCTTCCGGGGCCTTAGTCCAGCCGGACGCCTCTTGTTAGCATCAGAAGCGACTCAGCCCAGCAGCCACGGAGGGACAGGTGGATACATGGAGAGTGGCCCATCCAGGCTGTGGACCGCAATTCTGCAGTGGAAGGAGCGAGGCTGACACAGCCTGCGACGTGGAGGAACCCTGGAAACGTGGCACCGAGGGCAGGGAGCCAGGTGCAAGAGGTTGCCCCCCGTGTGACTCCGTCCGCATGCAAGGAACAGAAGAGGCAAGTCCACGGGGGCAGGAAGTGGATTCGTGGATGCAGGGGCTGGGGCGGGGGGAACGGGGAGTGGCGGCTCGTGGGTGTGGGGTCCCCACGGGGAGGGAGGACAATGCTTTGGAACGAGACGGAGGTGGCAGCTGCACGACACTGTGATGGTCGAAACACCGCAGAGGTGCCCACTTTAGTGTGGTTGATTTGTGTTATATGAGTTTCACCAATGGCCCATTGAGTGCTTTGATCTTCCACAGACCCTGATAACAAGAAAAGCCAACGTGGCCGGGCACAGTGGCTCACGCCTGTAATCCCAGCACTTTGGGATGCCAAGGCAGGCAGATCACCTGAGGTCAGGAGTTCAAGATCAGACTGGCCAATATGAAGAAACTCCATCTCTACTAAAAATACAAAAAATTAGCCGGGCGTGGTGGTGTGCACCTGTAATCCCAGCTACTCGGGAGGCTGAGGCAGGAGAATCACTTGAACCTGGGAGGCGGAGGTTGCAGTGGACTGAGATGACGCCACTGCACTCCAGCCCGGGTGACAGAGGGGATTCCGTCTCAAACGACAACAACAACAAAGGCTCAGCTCATGCCGAGGTAAGACGGCGAGGAGGCGGTGGGCACCGCCCGTGTGGGTGGAGTCGGGACCCACATCCCCGGAGGCCTGCGGTGGACCTGTCGCCTGCACACGTGCACAGGGAGGCCTAGTGAGCCCGGTGCCCGTGAACCTGGGATAGGTACGTAAACAGCAGCGCGCGCGTAAGACACAATCCACGGAGAAGCTAAGACAAGGGCACCGGAGCCGCGTCCTTCCACACGGAGTTTGGAACACGTCGAGAATAACGCACACTGAAACCTCGCCGTGCAAGACCCAAGCGGTGACCGGCACACGGTACACGTACGTGCAGATGTGCGAGCCACAAACGCATGGAAACATCACCCGAGAGCTTGATTATTTACATTTCTTTCACATTCATTTGATTTTATGAATTTCGATCGATACAATTTTAACTTTGGTTTCAGTCAACACTTGCCACCTTCAATCAGAGGCACTGAAACGAAAAGTTAAAATTAAAACTGGAGTACGTTAAGGATGAAAAGCACAGGAAGGCATGTCCAGTTCACGACGCCGGTTACGGGGCAGGAAGCTGTGAAACAGGCCGGTGCTCTGCGTCTTGGGGGGCTCCCGGCATCCGCTTTCCGGGGAGGGGAGCGGCTGCTCTCGTTTCTGTGTGGCTTGTCAATGGGGTTGGGGTCGCTGACTCCTTAAATCCTTGGAGCTCAGGGCTCTGCAAGGCCAGCTCTCAGAGGGGACTCCTCCGGGCCCACACCGCCCTCCCAGGTCCTCTTCTGACCAGGAGAGGTCTCAGGGACAGCACCCTGTTCTTTGTTCCTCGGGTGAAGGAGAAAATCAGGGGTCTCCTCCCCGCAGGCCCAGCCCCCGGCAGACAGGGCTCTGCAAGCTGGAGGGCCCTGGGGAATGGAGGTAGTGCTTGGGGTTCCAGAGCTTTGGAGGGAATAATTTCCGAGTGGTTCTCAGGTGGGCAGGCCTGGTGTCAGCACAGCCCTTGATCCTGGAGGGGCTGGTGGCACATCAGCAGCCTCTGGGCACCCACAGCCTGGGGGCCCCACCTCTTCCTGGAGGAACACATGTCCCCAGGTGTCCTCCGAAGTCACACTTGAACCAGCAGCCCCGATGAGAGCCAGCTCCCCCAGGCCTGCCCCCCGCCTGCCAGGCTGCCTGTCCTTCCTGCCGTTCTCCCACCTTGCTCACGTGATGGGGGTGCCGGATCTTAACTGGGATCCCAGGAATCCTCCGTGATGAGGATGGTCCCCAGCGTCTGTCTGGGAGAAAGGAGCAGGGGAGCAGGAAGAGGACTAGAACAGGGTGGAGGCCAACAGGGCAGCCACCTCCACAGGCCCAGGCAGTGAGGCCACACTCCTGCCTAGGACTGTCCCATTGAAGCTCAGGTGCTTCAACTCTGCAGGGAGCAAAGAGGCCTCCAAAGATGAGCCACAGGCGGCTGTGAACGCAGGAAGGGCAGAGAGTCCCAGGCACATGGGCACCTCCTGCAGCCGCATCCCCGCCACGACTGAAGCCTTCGTGTCTTGCGGACGCCGACACTGACATTTAATGTTATTTAAAAACTGTTTCTGAGAAGGCAGAGAAGCACGTGCCACGTTTTAGAAAGAGTTTGCATCCACAATGGAAAGAGTGAAATGTAGGGTCCAGCCCTACAGGGCTTAGCGGGTGTTCTCCCCGTGTGCAGAGACAAGAGATTGTCAGAAATAAAGACACAAGACAAAGAGATAAAGAGAAAACAGCTGGGCCTGGGGGGAACCACTGCCATCAAGACACGGAGACCTGGCTGGGCGCACTGGCTCATGCCTGTAATCCCAGCACTTTGGGAGGCCGAGGCAGGCGGATCACCTGAGGTCGGGAGTTCGAGACCAGCCTGACCAACATGGAGAAACCCCGTCTCTACTAAAAATACCAAAAAAAATTAGCCAGGCGTGCTGGCACATGCCTGTAATCCCAGCTACTAGGGAGGCTGAGGCAGGAGAATCGCTTGAACCTGGGAGGCGGAGGTTGTGGTGAGCCGAGATCGCACCACTGCACTCCAGCCTGGGCAACAACAGCGAAACTGCCTCAAAAAAAAAAAAAGACACGGAGACCAGTAGTGGCCCCGAACGGCTGGGTGCGCTGATATTTATTGCATACAGGACGAGGGGGCAGGGTAAGGAGGGTGAATCTTCTAAGTGATTGACAAGGTGAAGCAAGTCACATGATCACAGGACAGGGGGCCCTTCCCTTTTAGGTAGCTGAAGCAGAGAGGGAAGGCAGCAAATGTCAGCGTTTTCTTCTATGCACTTATAAGAAAGATCAAAGACTTTAAGACTTCCACTATTTCTTCTTCTGCTATCTACTACGAACTCCAAAGAGGAACCAGGAGTGCGGGAGGAGCATGAAAGTGGACAAGGAGTGTGACCATTGAAGCACCACAGGGAGGGGTTTAGGCCTCCGGATGACTGCGGGCAGGCCTGGAGAATATCCAGCCTCCCACAGGAAGCTGGTGGAGCAGAGTGTTCCCTGACTCCTCCAAGGAAAGGAGACTCCCTTCCACAGTCTGCTAAGTAACAGGTGCCTTCCCAGACACTGGCGTTACCGCTTGACCAAGGAGCCCTCAAGCGGCCCTTATGCGGGCATGACAGAGGGCTCACCTCTTGCCTTCTAGGTCACTTCTCACAATGTTCCTTCAGCACCTGACCCTATACCCTCAGGTTATTCCTAGATTATATTAGTAATGCAACAAAGAGTAATATTAAAAGCTAATGATTAATAATGTTTATAATAATGATTGATAATTGTCCATGATCATCTCTATATCTGACTTGTATTATGATTATTCTTATTCTAACTATTTTCTTTATTATACTGAAAGTTTGTGCCTTCAGTCTCTTGCCTCGGCACCTAGGTAATCCTTTGCCCACAGTGAAAATTGTTAGGACTTAAAAAGTGAGGTGGTTATCCCTGCACCTAAAGTTCCATTCCCCAAAGAGATCACGGAAATGCCGTCCTGGAGCAGGGCCCACACTTTCTCTGCCCGGGGCAAGTGTGTAAATGTCTTGGCTCTGTGCCAGAAGCCTGGGTGGCAGCTGCTCCCCTCTGCCCTGATATGCAAATGAGGAAACATGGCCGTGTGTCAATAAAGCTTTATTTACAAATACAGGACTGTGGGCCATGATTCCCTGACCCCTGCTGTACATCCTTGAAAATGCCCTTCACTGTTTTTTCTTTTTTTTTTTTTTAGACTGAATTTCGCTCTCGTTGCCCAGGCTGGAGTGCAATGGCACCATCTCAGCTCACTATAACCTCTGCCTCCTCTGTTCAAGCAATTCTCCTGCCTCGGCCTCCCAAGTAGTTGGGATTACAGGCACCTGACACCACGCCCTGCGAATTTTTGTATTTTTAGTAGAGACAGGGTTTTGCCAGGCTAGGAACTCCTGACCTCAGGTGATCCACCCGCCTCGGCCTCCCAAAAGTGCTGGAAATACCGGCGTAAGCCACTGCACCCGGCCCCTCCGCTGCTTTTAATATGCATATTTACTTTTATGGAAATTTTCAAGTGTATGCAAAAGGAGAAAGATGAGCAGAATGTGTTCTCAGTTTCAGCGATGATCAGCATCGTGTCCTTCTTATTTTTTTCTCTCGCCTATTACTCCTGATCCTCCAGCATGAGGGGAGTGATTCTGACAGGGCTCATGTCTCTGACTCTGATCCTCTATGCGAGAGGAGTGATTCTGACAGGGCTCCAGCACGTGACTCTGTGATCCTCCAGTGAGTGGGGAGCTGATTTCTGATGGGGCTCTCGCCCAGACTTTGATCCTCCAGGGTGAGTTTTGACAGACAAACTTACACGAAGGTCAGGCAGGTAAAGTACAAGAGAGAAGAGGGCTAGTGTCACTTGTTGAACATGGTGAAATCAAAGCCTTCATCTTCTTTCTCTTGAAATAGTCAGTCCTCTTGGTCTGTCCCTATTCTCCCTCTCCCGTAAGGACCCAGCTCTAGAGAATTATTTCCCCAAGTGGAGCAGCAGCATCAGCAAATGATAAACAATACAGGACAGATGGGCTTGCCGGGAGCGGCTGTTGGGACAGGTGGTGACTGTGGCTCTGCTCTGTCCGAGGGAGCAGCCACAGCTCAGCTTCAGTTCATCATGACTGAGTAAGAATTGGGGCCTAGAATCTTCCAATTTTCAAAAAGAGTAGAAATCATTTTCACATAAAATAAGATTTCAAGTGAAAATGATTAAGTATTGGTTCTGTCAACCAAGAATAAAATTCTAAGACCCCCAACCAATTGAATGGAGCCGCTTCTCAACCAAGGGCACCCCAAAGTAACCCAGGAAAACGAGCTCAGGTCCTGATGGGAAGAGGGTTTGGACAAGCCCCTTAGACTCTCCTCCCTTTGGAATTCTGGAACACTAAAACACAGATGTTAAGTCTGACCAAACAGACTCTTTTGTAGAGATAAAATGCATCCAAAATGACAGTTAGCAGGTCCCTAAAGAAGTTAAGTATTTTACCCCAAAATGTATTTCATTGATGTATTTTGAAATGGCTTGCAATGCTGTGTCTTGTGGGGGAACTCAACATTCTGTAGAGACTTCCCTTTCTTTTGGAGGTCTTTTCTGATCCAGACAAGATTAACCAGAAGTCTGGCCCCTTTTTAAGTCTGATAAGAAACATTTACAATCTCCTCCTTCTGAAGCTCCTTCTGAAGCCCGCTACCTGGAGGCTTCATCTGCATCATAAAACCTCGGTCTCCACAACCCTTTATCTTAACCAGATGCTCCTTTCTATTCATACCAGGTCTTTAGATAATAACTTAACTCTTTCAACCAATTACCAATCAGAAAATCTTTGAATCCGCCCATGGCCTGGAAGTCCCCACTTCCGGTCCTCCCGCCTTTTGGACTGAACCAGTGCACACCTGACATGTGTGCATTGATTCCTTCTCCCTAAAACATACACATCCAGCAGGCTGCACGCCTGCACGCTAAGCATGGAACGCAGGGGCACCGGCCGCGATGACAACACCGCGTGGACCCACATGCGCCTTTGCGATCTTCACGCTGGGTGTCCACCATGGAAGCCGTCCTGGAACTTCTAACATGGCCCCATCTCGTTGCGGCTGTCTGCTGTTTCTGTCCCCATGAGGGAGGGCGAACTCCTGAGTTTACGCAATCCACCCACCTGGGCCTCCCAAGTGTTGGGATTACAGGCATGAACCACCGCACCTGCCTTAATATTTCATTTATTCTTTAAAATCAACTTTGAGGGGTGAAATTTATATAAAATGAAATGCATCCATGTGATCTTTGCATTTTGGCCCATTTTGACTGATGGAGACCCCTGGGTGACCCCATCCTTTTCCAGCAGAGAACACTGCTGCCCTGGAACTGTCCCAGGCAGGCCCCTTCCCTGTGAGCCCCGACCCTCAGCCTCCACCCAGGATGAATTTTGCCTTCCGTGGAATTCTGTGTGCAGGAATCACGCAGACACTCTCTTCCATGTGTGGCTCCGAGGCTCAGCATGAGCCTCTACATCTCACCACGTTGTTAGGTGTGGAAGGGTCCACTCCTCCCTGTTTCTAAGTATTCCGTGATGTGGGTGGAGTCTGCCCTGCTCATCCATTCACCTGCTGACGCATATGAGGCTACTGTGAGTAACGCCGCTGTGAACGTTTGTGTGGAAGCCTTTGCATGTACGCATGTCTCATTTATTTTGAGAAAAACACCTGGGAGTGGAATAGGGGGGACACTGGAGGGGGGACACGGGGGACACTGGAGGGGACAGTGGAGGGGGACAGTGGAGGGGGAACACTGGAGGGGGAACACTGGGGGGACGCTGGAGGGGGACACTGGAGGGGGGACGCTGGAGGGGGGACACTGGAAGGGGGGACACTGGAGTGGGTTTCGGGCCTTCAGAAGGAGCTGCCGGTTTTCCAAAGTGGCTGCACCGATTCACAGTCCTGCCAGCCATGTCCGAGAGTTGCATCTGTGCCATGTCCTTGTCAACATTTGGTATTGTCAGCCTGCACCTTTCAGCCACCCCAGTGGGCACAGAGCCCCATCTCACTGTGGGTTGAATTTGCATCTCCCTGGACTGTGGGGAGCACATTTCATGAGCTTGCTGGCGCAGGCCAGTCTTCTCCTGGGTAGTGTCTGTTCATGTCGCGCCCTGTCCTTTAGCTGAGAGCTGGAACGGGGGGCTTCAGCAGCTGTCCAGGTGGTGGCTATGAGGAGCAGGGGGGCAGCCATGCCTTGAAGACTTGATGGGGCCAGTGAGCCTGCTCCTGCCACAGCTCAGGGCATCCAGAGCCTGCCAAAAACTGTGGGAGGTGCCTCCCATTGGGTTCTCTGAATTTCACTGATTTTTAAAATGTCAAACACAAGGCGATCCTTTTCCTGCTAATTGGGGATTATCAAGTGCATTTTGAATGAAGAAAAATAACCTTCAAGCCGTTAGTACTGGCTCCTGTGAACCCTGAGGGCTGCGTCTGCATCTCTGTGATACAGACAAGCTCTGTGTGCCAAGTTTTTATGGCAAAGCCCAGGGGCCCCAGCACCCGGCCCGACACTCACCGTGGTCTCTGCTCAGCCCCTGCACCAGGTTGTGCTTGCTGGGGGACGTCCCCAGCCCTCGTCCCCATGCCCTCATCCCCGGCCCTCGTCCCCACGCCCTCGTCCCCGGCCCTCGTCCTCATGCCCTCATCCCCACGCCCTCGTCCCCGGCCCTCATCCCCACGCCCTCGTCCCCACGCCCTCGTCCCCACGCCCTCGTCCCCAGCCCTCGTCCCCGGCCCTCATCCCTGGCCCTCGTCCCCACGCCCGCCTCGCTCTGCTCCGCTCCTTGCCGGGCAGGGCCGCCCTCGACCCCTGAGGGCGCAGCTCACCTGATGGGTGCTGACTCGTCGCCGCGGTCCAGCCAGTCCTGCGGGGGGATGATGTACATGCACCAGAGGCCCCAGTTGTAGCCATGGGCGGCGTTCGCATACTGCTGCACCTCAAACGTGCTGTACTTGATGTTGTCGATGGCTGGCAGCACGATGCGACGCCGGTCCTCTCGGATCCGCGACAGTGCGGGCTCGGCCCTGCGGAGGCACAGCTGTGAGGAGGGGCGGCCCCAGCCCACCGCATTCCCTGAGGAGGGTCCACTCGCCCACAGGGAGGGGAGGCCAGTCCCCACCTGGTCTGCATCTAGCCCTGCCACCCCCTGCTGAGCTAGACCCACATCCTCCCTTGGAAGCCCAAGGGCCCCTCTCAGCAGCAGACCCACCCTGACCAAGGCCTCACCCCTGCTGGGGTAGCCCCTCGAATGCCACTGGCCCCTGGGGGACGCTGACACCGGCCACGTTGGCCCAACTGCAGTATCTCTGAAGGGCTGCCCAGGGGTCCATAAGAGGTCAGCTATGTCCACCACGGGGCTCCCCAGCTCGGTCTCCCTCTCTGCCCAGCCCCGAGTCCCTCCTCTCCTTTCCTGCTCCTGTGGGAGCTGCATTCATTTGCAAGAATTAATTGAGGATCTACTATGTGCCACGCCCTGTTCCCACAAATTGGAATACAATCATGAACTAAGGAATAAAAACAATCCGTGCCACGGGGAGCTCGCACGGTGTGGGATGAAAAGCCACCAGGCACCGTTGTGCAGAGTGGAACCTGCATGAGTGTGCAGCGGCCCCGCTCAAGGACGGGACGGAGGATGAGGTATAAGCAGTCGTGGATGTTGTAGAGGGGGCTCACAGTTTTAAGTAGGGCTGCCCTGGGTAGTGACTGGAAGGAGGCATAGAGGGAGTCTCAGAGGGTGCGGCAGCTGCACCGAAGCCCGGGCGTGTGCCTAATGGGCCTGCAGGGCTGGCCAGGAGGCCGGACAGAGCGATGGGGCAATGGGGGGCGAGGAGGGCAGAGAGGAAGGTGAGTAGAAGCAGCCTCGATGGGCATCAGCTCAGTCTTCGATTCCCCGTCCCAAGCAGGGGTCCTGGGAAGCAGGTGCAGCCCTCGCCCTTGGAGACGCCATGGTCTACCGCAAGGTGAGATGGCCGCAGAGGCCCGCCGTCCACGCTGGAGACCCACAGGGCCAAAGCCACCCAGCCACTGGCTGACACAGAGCCCAGAGGCTGCAGTGAGAGGCTGGATGGCCTGAGGGCAGATTCGGGTCGGCTCAGGCAGAGCCGGCATGGGGAGAGGCAAGGCCCTGACCCTGCCTGTGAGACCACACGGCTGTCTTCACCCCTTCTTCCCGTCCTTCTGAGCATGAGGCCTGGTATTTACCTGCCTTTCAGCTTTGTGAGGAGGATTAATTAATTACTGTTAGCGAAGTGCTTCAGAGATGAAAAGCTCCCTGGAAATGCCAGGTCTTCTAATAAGGCAGAATCCTTTGTGGAGACAGTTACGGGAGGGGGTGCTATTTGCAGATGGATAACTGGGTTTTCAGTTGTGAAAATTAAATTTGGACCGGTTTAAAATTGCATTTTGACGTGACAGACCCAAGGCTCCCCCAGACGCCCTCAGGCCTCGGGGAGCTTACCCGGCATCAGAGGGACTAAAAGGCTGCCGGTGTAGTTGTGCAGTGCACAACGTGTGCGACTGCATGGGGTGACATTGTGGGGGGCAGACAGTGGAACACAATTCATGCACAACACGTCAGAAGCTGATAAACATCGAGGGAAAGGAAAGCGCCCTGCGGAGGAGCGAGGAAGGGGAAGGGAGGGCACAGGGCAGAGGAGGCAGCGTCTTGTCAGAACAGCGCCGGCTGGGGACTGAGATGCCCCAGGAAAGCCGAGTGTGAGGGGAGAAGCCTGAGAGGTGCCAAGTCCCCACTTGAACCCACTGATGCTGTTATGGAAACCACGGACTTTAAGAAGCCCCAAAACGCCAGGTTCCCCGGGGACCCAGCAGGAGGCCCAAGGTCACATGCAGTGGGGTGTCCCAGCCAATCATGACAGTCCCAGCCTCCGTGTAACACTGAGATCAAACATCAGCTGGCCCTTCCCACCAAGGCCCCCTGCAGTGACAACAGCCCATATTTCCCTGAGTTGAAAAATGAGTCAGGAGAGTTGATATTAAATCTTCAGTTTTTGTTTCTCCAGGAAGTGGGGAAAATGTCCTCCCGGGTCTTCCTTGTGGTTGGGTGGACAGGGGTGGGTCCTGGCCCTGGTGCGGGGAACACCCTGTGCATTGTGGGCGCGGGGCCTGCCTGGGTGCGGGGAACACACCCTGAGCATTGTGGGCGCGGGGCCTGCCTGGGTGCAGGGAACACACCCAGTGCACTATGGACCCCGTAGGTGCCCTCTGTGGGGCTGGCTTTGGGGTTTGCCTGGGGGCATCCTGGACTGCCCCAACTCTAATGACAAGGGTCCTTGCATAAGGCAGGGATGGAGAAACAGACACAGGGAGGGCGTGGGGGTCGGAGGTGGGGGCTGCAGCCCTCAGGAGCTGAGAGAGGTGGGAGGGATCCTTAAGGGCCTGGAGCCTCTGGGGGAAACTCGGCCCTGCCCACACCTTGGAGTCGGGCCCTGCCCACACCTTGGAGTCGGGCTCTGGGCCTCCAGAACGGTGAGGAGGTGAAGTCTTGCTGCTCCGAGCCGCCCAGAAGGGGTTGCTTTGTGCTGGTGGCCCCAGGACCCCATACACAAGGTGACCCCCTCAGCCCAGAAGCTCACTTCCCACGCCCCTTGCACTAGGCTAAGGCCTCGGGGGCACTCGTGGCCATCTCCAGTGACTGAGCAGGGCCTGAGAGGCCGGACTTCTGCACCTTAGCCCCACCCCACCTGATCTGAGGTTCCCACCCCGCGGGGGACACACGGTACCCGAGCCTGCTGGAGTCAGGACAGGGTCACATTCTCCTGGGGCAAGGTGGGCACAGACCAAGCCTCATACACATGCCTGGGAGCTTCTAAGCGCCATGTCCTTGGGTGCGTGCTGGGCCTGCCCTCCCGTGGTTTTGCATTCAGGAGCTGGACACAGAGAGGCCGCAGAGGTAACCGCACAGGTGGACTCAGTGGTGGCTCTCAGTCCCAGATCCTGAAGGCTACGGCGAGTCTCCCAGCCCCGGGGCCAACCCAGCGGCCAGGCTGCAGCCGCACGGCGGCTTAGGAGGGGGATGGTGGAGGGGGACCCGCTGAGACTGGCTGTCCAGCCTGTTCCGGCCCTTACCAGCCCGTGTTGAACTCGACGTGGGCATCAAAGAAGCCGACGACTGGGGCGGTGGCCGCCTTCCAGCCCTGCAGCCGCGCGCGGATCAGTCCTTCCCGCCGGCTGTTGCGGACAATCTTCACGAGGCCTGGGTACCGCTTGTTGACGTACTGGTCCAGATTGAACTTGAGTTCCACTGAGGAGAGACAAGACTTTAGCACGCTGGCAGGTGCTGGCAGGCGCGGGGCCACCAAGACCCAAGGCTGGAAATGCTGCGTGCCGCGTGTGGGATGGGTGTATTGTAAACATTCTCTTAGGACCCACTGAACCACATGTGGTTCAGCGTGGAGGTCACAGAGAGATGAGACCCCAGCCTCATGATGCTGACATTCCAGTGGGAGACACAGCAAATAAGGAAACACACCAGACAGACAGACAGACAGAGAGACAGACAGCAGCCCATGCTGTGGAGACACAGGACTGCAGTCAGCTGTAAAAAACCAAGTCCATGCATGGATGGGTGGACACACAAACGTGGCCTTCCATGCTGGGGGCAGGGTGTCCTGATGGAGCTCCCTGTGGCCAAGGGCAAGACACAGGTAGCCGAGCTGGACTGGATGGTCCTCCCCACACACCACCTTCTCCAGCGAGACAGGGCTCAGGAGGGCAGCCACGCCATTCAGTCCTCTGCACACAGACCCCAGTGTAGACGGTGCTGCTGGGCTAGGGCACTGCTGCAGGCCAGAGCTTGCCCCACAGCCCCATGGCACAGCCTCCTGCCTCCACGAGGGGTCAGGAAGGGGCTCCCCATGTTTTCCTCCATTTCCAGAGGGAGTGTCACGGCTGCAGGCTCTCTGCTCTGCGCCTGGGAAGGGCAGATGGGGGACAGGCCTGGGGCAGTGCAAGATCCTTGTTTGGGGTTTCAAGCCTGTGTGCTACAGGGTGTGAGTAGCACTGCCCTCAGGGGACCTGAAGCTGAGGAGGGTGGCGCTGAGGAACCATGGGGCTTGGGCTCCAGCTGCGAGCTCTGTCCAGCCAAGCTCTGGTGTGAGCCTCTGTGGGCAAGAGAGGTGGGAGGCGTGACTGGCACTCTGGAGAGCTCAGCTCTACTGGCCTCTGTGGAAGGGGGTGGCTGACCCCAACTTCATCTCCACCCGGAGCCTGAGAGGAGAGGAAGCAGGGACTTTGTAGATGTATCCGGTTGAGTATCTTGAGATGAAATCCTCCTGGATTTGGGGTGAGCTCTGTGTCTAGTCTGGGTCCTCATGAGAAGAAGAGAGGATGCAGACACATGGGAGAGGCCGCATAATGGAGGCAGAGAGAGGCACTGGCAGCCACACACTGGGGACAGCACGTACGCAGCCATGACAGAGGCTGGAAGGCAGGAGGGACCCCCATAGGTTTAGAGCCCCTGCGGACAGATGGGGTGCAGTCCTCTGTCGCTCTGCCCCCGGAGGCTCCACCCAACCCCAACTCAACCCAGCCACAGGCAGCCGCCCGGCGAGCACCGTGCCGAGGCCCCGCCCACTCACCGTTGTCACTGTTGTCGTCCACCAGGATGACCTCCTTGAGGAGCTGGGAGGGCGTGTGGTTGACCACGCTGTGCACGGAGCGCAGGATGACCGACAGCGCCTCATTGACGAAGATGAAGACCACGGAGACCTGGGGCAGGTCCTGGGCGTAGCTCATCTGTCTGCACCTGCAGGAAACACGGTTTGGGGTGCGGTCAGGGCGCAGCATGAGGGACCCCGGAAGCCATAGCTCATCTGTCTGCACCTGCAGGAGACACGGTTTGGGGTGCGGTCAGGGCGCAGCATGAGGGACCCCAGGAGCCATAGCTCATCTGTCTGCACCTGCAGGAGACACGGTTTGGGGTGTGGTCAGGGCGCAGCATGAGGGACCCCGGGAGCCAGGTGCACCCTTCGAGGGTCACTGGACAAGGCCTGGACCCTACAACCAGACGCCAAGGGTGTACGGGGGCCAGAGCTGTTCCAGAGAGAAACTAGTAACAGTAACACAGCACTCAGCACACACATGGCCCCTGTGCCCACCCCGTGCTCACAGCGACCCCGAGAGGAGATGAACGTCCCCGTTCCACAGACAGGAGCCTCCCCTGTGGGCCATGAGTGCAGGTGCTTGGATTCCAACCCCAGCCATCAGCTTCAGGAGCACGTTGGGGACGGCGCTGCTGGGCACAGCCGAGGAGCTGGGCACAGCCAAGGAGCCAGCCACCCGCACAGGCAGCCACTTCCCGCCCTGGCTCATAGCTGGTTCCAAGCCTCTGGTGAGAATTTCAAAGGGACAAGGGCTGTGCGCCACCATCATATTTATCTGGGCTGTGGTGCTCAGCCAGGGAGATTTCATCACTCAGAAAAATGCTTTCTGACAAGAAAACGTCACTCCACTCATCTGTAGAGGAAAAAGCTTGGATTGCACAGTTTTCATGAACTTGCAAAATGTGTAAAACAGAAAGTCCTGAGAAAGGAAGTACGTCCTAGGACGGACTGCAGGAGCGGCTGCAGGTTGGAAAGGAGAGGTTTTGGAGTTGGGGTGGTGGGCAGAGGCACTCCCAGAGCCCAGGGGGAGGGGGGCAGGGCTGCTCAGAAAGCCTGTGGCAAGTCCTGTCCCATGGGGTGGCCCCCCTCACCGTCCTCAAGCGCACACCCTGTACCTGTTTGTTCCTGCAGGTCTGTCTCCCCCCGTGACCGGAACGTGAGCGCCCTGACAGCAAGCTCCTTTTCTGTCCCATTGACAGCTCTATACCAAGAACCCAGGCTGTGCCCGGCACACAGCAGGTACTTTATAAACATCTGTGTAATGAGGGGACAAATGAAGACTCAAGGGGCCCCACAGGCACCGGCTGGGCCCGTGAAGTACTCACGCCTGCCCCCTACGCCTCCTCGGAGCAGTGGAGGAAGCTGCTGGCCTCTGGGGGACAGTGGTGGACTCCACCCTTCTTTCTCCCTCCATCACTAGGTCAGGAGGCGTCTCGGGCCTGGCTGCGGGGCCACATGCACCTGTGCTGAAGAACTTGCAAGCAGCAAGGACAAGTGATTTATGGCGTGACCGTTCCCGGGGGCCTCCAGCCTCTTCAGACTTTACGAGGGCAGGTGGGGGCAGAGAATCCCTGTCACCTACAGCACTCATTCTCAATGACCTCTCATTTGATTTAGAATCCATGTTCGGTACCCACTTCTTGCCCCAGAATATCGACGGCCTTTTATTGATGGATCTCAGCGGCCACTCGCTTTATAAACAAGCCGCCTGCATGGAACAGAAGGCCTCCCTGCAAGCTCATGGCACAGGTTTGAGAGATGGACGCAGAGGCCCCCGGGACGCTGGCCACGCGGAGAAGCGTGTGAGGAGCCCAGGAGCGATCAGGGCAACAGAACCTTCCAGATGCATCCTCTGCTCTCCGCTCAGCAGCAACATGAAGAAGCCGAGCCGGGATGGCCTAAGCAGGAAGGGGGCTGGTGGCTCATCCGTAGGAAAAGTCCAGGTGTGTTTGGTTTCGGGCCCGGCTTGGTCGGGGGTCAAAACTTGTCAGTGGGACACAGGCTTCTGCCTGCCTCTCTTGGCTCCAGCCTTCTGGCTTGAGTTTAATCTCAGGAAGGCCTGTCCGCATGGCCGGAGGCCGTGTCCGCGTGGCCGGAGGCTGTGTCCCCGCAGGTCCAAACCTTCCAGGGGTTTGAGTCCAGGGCAGCAAACCCACCTGTCTTCCCAGGACACGCAGGAAAAGCATCCCTGTGTCTGCTGGGCTCTGATTGGGTGACGTGCTCTTCCCTGAACCAATCGCTGTGGCCAGAGGAAATAGGGCACTCAGATTGGCTTATGCTCCACCGCGTCATGCTGGACTCAGGGCCTGGCAGGTGCGGCTCCTAGAAGTGGGGCCCGTGGATGCTGGACCAGCCGTCAGCAGATGTTCCTGACAGGGAGCAGCGCCAGGGTCCGATCCAGGTTCGAGCCCAGGCGCCCACAGGCGAGACCGACAGCCATTGGGAGCCTCAGTCTCCGGCACAATGAGGATCCCAACCGCGTCCGCCTCGCAGGTCGTACGAGGGAGATCCTGCCAGGTCGTTTCCACACGCGCGGAGTTGAAGCGTTTTTATTTAACTCCCTGTCGCCCACCTGCTGGCAAATGGAAGACAATGAAGACCAGGATGACTCTTCCAAATCTCGCTTTTCTGCAAGGCTCAACCCAGCCCCAAGAAAAAGATAAAGGAGCGCAAAGATTTTCCAACAAGTCCCAAATGCCCATCAATGAGGAAGGCAAGTCGCTCACCCCGAAGTTCAGCCCCCAGCCTTGTCCTCCTGCGCTCCTGCTGGGGATGAGGGAGAGGCCACGGGGAGAAAATGACGGCTGGACCGGTCCTCCCCGTGGAAGCCTTTCCTTCCGTGGTGGGCTGAACGGTGTCCTCCTCCCGCGACCCAAGACACAGTGTCAGCAGGACATGGGCCTCTGTCTCCGATCTCGGAAACACATCTTCTGGCCCGGGTTTAATCTCAGAAGGGCCTGTCCTCATGTGACTTATTGCAACTAGGATCTTTGCAGATGTAATTGAGTTAGGGATCCTGAGATGAGCTTGAGGCAGGATCGGTAGGATGAGGAGGCCACACTGACGTCCTTGTTCCCTGTGTGAAGCCCCCGGGCCCCTTTTGCAGCAGGCTTCGCAAGGTAAGCAGCCCCACAGGACACCAGCCGACAGCCGGATGCTTACAAGTTCCTGATGCCCGGTACAGGCCCGGGAAAGACAATGAAGATACCTTATTCCTGATGTAGCTTCCCCAATCTCCAGCCAGTCAGCACCCAAAGCCCACCAAGCTCTTAGCCACACATTCCTGCCTCGGAGGGGCCAGGGGCTTCTCCAGGACACTGTACACACAGTTACACTCCAAGTTCAGCTCATTTTAATAGTAAGAGACACACCCCCAGGTGAGGATTCTATATGTAATGATACATGCAGTGTGTGTTGGAGCATGTAGGTACTGAGCATGTGTGCCAACCACAGGCCTGTCTGCCTTTACACGCCCGACCTCGCCGTATTTCATGAACAGGCACGCACAGCCAACCGCGGGCCTGTCTGCCTTTACACGCCCGACCTCGCCGTATTTCATCAACAGGCACGCACAGCCAACCGCGGGCCTGTCTGCCTTTACACGCCCGATCTCGCCGTATTTCATGAACAGGCACGCACAGCCAACCGCGGGCCTGTCTGCCTTTACACGCCTGACCTCGCCGTATTTCATGAACAGGCATGCACAGCCAACCGCGGGCCTGTCTGCCTTTACACGCCTGACCTCACCATATTTCATGAATGTGCATGCACAGCTCCCGAGAAAGGACTCCCCTCGAGCTAAGGGGCTGCTTCTCCCTCCGAGCAGCGCCTTTGCTTTGTGACAAACTTCTTTGCCTACTTGAGCTTTGGACTTGCTCTCAAATTCTTTTGTGCTGCAAAGTCAAGAACCTGACCCAGCCACCCACTGATAAAGAGATCATCCTGGATTTAGGGCAGGTCCTAAATCCAACGACGGTGTCCTTAAAGAGAGGGCAGAGGAAATGCAACACGGAGGCCCAGGCAGGAGGCCATGTGGAGGTGGAGGCCGAGACTCGAATGGCACGGCCACGAGCCCAGGGAAGCCTGGAGCCCCAGAAGCTGGGAGAGGCAGGAGGGATCCTCCCTGAAGCCTCTGGAGGGGCACAGCTCTGGCCACTCTGTGATCTTGGGGTCTGCCCTCCAGAACGGGGGACAGTGCATTCACATTGTTGGAAGCCACCTGCTTGTGGCTCCTTGTTACAGTGTCCACAGGAGATGTTTTGTCTTCTGCTCTCGGACTTGGGGCCTGGACCTCCCCTCCTGCAAGGTGGCTCTGCCAGCACAGCGTTGGCTGCTCTCGGCATTGCTGCGTGGGCCACCACCGAGTCGGGCAATGGGGATATGAGGGGGGTCCTGAGCCTCTGTCATTATTTCCTGCTGTCCCTAAACAGGCTCAGGGTCTCCCTTGGCTGGGGGCAGAGACTCAGGTGAGCATCCTGGCGTCTCTGAGAATAAAACGTCACAGACGCAGCCTCCACTCAGCGAGCGAAAGGGGCAGCCCGAGGTGTGATCCGCGTCTGGATGTGCGGTTGAGCTCTCTCCCCGAGGAGCAGTGAGGAGGTGGCATGTGGGCGCAGAGAGGGATGGAAGTGGGAAAAGCCGGCTTGTCTCACAAAAAAGAAGACACCTGAGCCCAGAGCTTGAGCAGCCGAGAGGAGGGCTGGGGAATGAGGGCAGGGAAGGAGGCAGGCAGGGGAACCAGGGCGGGGAAGGAGGCAGGCAGGGCCACATGGCGCCAGCTTGTGGCAGGGGTGGATGGGGTGGGCTCCAAAGCAGGGGCCACTGGAGCAGGCCACACTGGGAGGCATGTGACCAAACTCCCAGCCACTCGCTCCAGCACACAGGCTGGCCCATGGCAAAAACAGCAGACAGGAGGATGGGAGGTGAGCAGCCGGGGGTCCTTGGTGAGGCTAAGACGCATTCTCCCGTGCACACGGAGAACCCACACCGTCGCCCAGCACCCCAGAGGGCTTCACGGTAGAACCTGAGCAGCTGATTCTGAAATTCATGTGGAAATGCAAAGGACCTTGGAGAGCCAAAGCAATCTTGAAAAAGAACCAAGCGGGAGGACTCACACCACCTCAAGTTAAGACTGATTTTAGTACCACAGCCATTGGCAGGGCAACACTGGTGTGAAGCTAGACAAAGAGAAAGATGCATTGAAATAGATAAAGGAGTAAAGTGAAGAAATAATACTGCTTCGGAAAATGGGGAAATACACAAGCACACACACTCACACACACATGCACTCACACACACGCACACACACGCACTCACACGCACTCACACACGCACTCACACATGCAGTCACACACATGCATACAACCCACATGCACACACACACGCATACAACCCACATGCACTCACACGCACACACGCACACAAATCCACATGCACTCACACACATGCACACACACACGCACTCACATACAGTCACACACATGCACACAAACCCACATGAACTCACACACATGCACACACACAGGCAGATACACACGAACACACATGAACACACATGCACACAAACCCACATGTGGTCACACGCACTCACGCAGTCACATGCACACAAACCCACACGCGCACTCACACACACAAACCCACACACACACTCACGCTCACACACACGCAATCTCACACAAGCACACTCTCAAACCCATACATGTACTCACACACATGCACTCACACCCATACACACATTCACACACACTCATACCCACACATACACTCACACATGGACACCCACCCCTACACACGCACGCACACACTGAAACACACACGTATGCTCTCACACACACACCTTGGCAAGCAACAAACACTTCTTATTCTGGATAAATGAATTTTGATCTGTACCTTCCACCACATACAAAAATTAACCCAGAACGGATCATTGACCTAAATGTAAACCCTAAAACCATCAAGTCCCTGGAAGGGAATAGAGGAGAAAGTCTTTGTGACCTTGGCTTAAGCAAAGATTTCTTCACTATGGCAACAAAAGCATGATCCAAAACAAAACAAAATGGATAAATTGGACTTTATCAAAATAAAAAACCATCTGTTCTTTGAAAGACACTCAGGTGTAGAAAGCCAAGCCACAGCCGACTGGAGAAAATACTTTCAAAGCACGCATCTGATAAAGGACTTGTATCCAGAAGTAAGACAAAAGTAAGAAAACAAAATGTCCAATGAAAACTGGGGAAAAGACCAGAACAGACACGTCACCACCGAAGACGCCCAAGCAGCCATCAAGCACGTGCGCAGGTGCCCCCCTCGGCGGCCATCAGGGAGCTGCCACTCGGAGCCACACGGGGGCCGCTGTCTGGCTACCGGAAAGGCTGACGTGCAGCCGACGTACAAAAGCGGCGCCGGTGAGGGTCGCGGAGGGGCCGGAACGCCCACGTGTGGCGGGTGGGGACGGGAGGTGGCGCAGCTGCTTGGAAAACAATCTGGCCATTTGTTGAAACATAAAACGTGTGGATATCTGAGCCTGGAGTTCAAGCCAGGGCTAGAGCTAGACATCCAGGACTGTTTGCCTCCATTAGACAGGACTGAAAGACACAGAGGGAGGAGGCCAAGGCCTGAGCCCTGGAACCCCAACCTCGGAGCTCCGCAAAGGCACAGAGGGTGGGCTGTGCAGCCAGGGAGGACCCAGGGCGGCCTCAGCGCTGAGGCAGGGGGAGGCGTCGGGAGGCAGCGTCACCTGCCCGACTGCGGCCAAGGAAGATGCTGGCCGAGAATTTGCTCTGGGCTTGGTGATGGGAGGACTCGTCGAGTGTGATTTCCACGCGTGGCGGGTCCCATGCCCCCCGCGGGAGAAGAGCAAGCAGAGCCAGTGGCTGCGAGCTTTTCCGAGGAGCGGGACCGCCAGGCGGAGCAGAGGAAGGGGCAGGAGGTCAGCAGCGTCCTCCGGGCGGGAGCCACGGAGTCCCATTTGCGTCTGGTGCTGCTGGAAAAAGCAAGAGAAGGTGGAGGGGCGTCAGGGAGGAGCCCGTGCCGGTCCCGAGCCCAGGGCGGGGTGGCCTTTTCCTGGGGCAGGTGCTGCTCCGAGCAGGAGGGTGGGGCATAGGAAGCTGGGCCCATGGTCAGACATGGTTTCAGCTCAAATACCAGAAGTGACCGTGAAGAAAGCAGGAATTTGGCTCCATGGATTCGGGGCCGAGGGCGGAATCGTGAAATAGACGCCGCTGGGAACGCGTACCTGGGGCAGGTCTCAGACGCGTGGGGCCGGATCCCGGTGGGGTGGCACGTGGCGCCTGCTGGGACCCTGTCCTGGCCGCTCACTTTCCCGTGTCTAACCAGCTATGCAGGCCTGGCCTTTGCCTGCAGCACACACAGGCGAGGGAGATGGGCGCACGGGATCAGCCAGTTTCCCAGATAACTTAGGCCCAGCCTGTTCTACAAACAGCTTTGAGGCCTGAACAGCACAGACGGACCCTCTCACTGAGGGCACCCCCAGGTGACTTCGGTCTCCAGCTCTGTCTCAGGAGCCACGCTCTGGAAGAAACTCTTCAAAGAAAACTGCTCCTGAGACTGCTCTTGTTTAGTTATTCCAACAAGAACAAGTCCCATTTAGGGCCGAGAAATGAAACAGGGTCACACCTATTATAGGATATAGTGCTGAACAGACATCTTTTGTAAAACAGTCCATTGACTGTGGCCAAGACAGTTGTAAACTATGGAATCAATAACCACTGAGCTTGGCAACAGTGAGCACCTCTGATCCTGGGTGTGAGAAACAGAAGTTGTCACAGAGGCCCCGTGTCTCCCTGAAATAGCCCCGTGTCTCCCTGAAATACGATCACCAGGAACCTCCTCCAGAAGGCAAAGGCCGGCACAGAATCCTGCAGGCTTCACAGAGCCCTGCCCAGGGGCAAACCAGAGAGCTGGGGCCTGGAGTACCCAGCAGGTGATGCCACCTCTGTGCCCTGCCAGGTGCCACCTGGAGATAAAACCCCAGGGACAGGAGCCCCTGAGAACAGCTGGCTTCACGCGTTAGCTCTTGCGTACATAATGGTTCTGAGTCTACGACTGTAATCAATAGGAACTCAATTTGACTTCAATTGACTTCAATTCTTTCTTTAAGAAGAAATGGATTGGATGTGTCTGAGGTCCCAGGTGGAGCTGTCGGCCGTCATCTCCCGGCCAGAGCCCGACCACACAGCCACAGCCATGGCCACAGCCACAGCCACGGACACGGCCACGGCCACAGCCACAGCCACGACACCCTGCAAGGGATGCCAGGAAATGTGGTCTTCACTCTGGCTGGAGCCCAGATACATTTCAGAATTCTATCAGGGAGGAAGAGCGGGAGAAAAGATAAGAGGCAGATGACGGTCAGTCATTGCCACACACAGGGAGGAAGGGGAGTGGGAGAGGAGACAGGAGGCAGAGATTCAGAGAGAGCAAGGAGGAGATGGAGCAGAGAGACAGCGAGGGGGAGAAAGGAGGGAAGGAGGAGACAGGGGCAGAGAGAACGAGACAACAGCAGCACAGTCCTTAAAAATCAAGCAGAGGGGAGAGCAGGTGCCTCAGCTGCCGCCGTCCGCTGCTTCTCCATGACAGACGCTGCGCCCGTCACTCTGTGCCAGTCCCCCATGCGCCCTTCAGTGCCGTGTGTGTTACTGCGGCAGCAGTGGCCATGTGGGGCCACACGTTCTCAGCAGGGCGGTCACACGTGAACAGCCTGTGTGTGTCTCTGAGCCTTGGGGACACGTTTGCCAGCCGACGAAACTCCAGTCACCCGTCACTGCCAGGGCTCGAGGGTGGGGGGAGGAGGAGACAGGAGAGAGGAGAACGCTGCCACGCCCCGCCCGGCTCCCACCCGTCACTCTGCCTCCGCCGCTCCCACCCGCACACCTGTACATCTGCCTTCTTGTGTGTTTCTTCCAGGTTTCTTTATCCCATTTTGAACCAATTTTATCACACCATAAAATTAAGAGATTGTCCTCTTTAAAACAATGAAGCCAGGACAGATCCACCAAGCCTCCCTCCGACGCCCACCCTCAGGCCCCGCCCCTGTCCCCCGAGGTGACGCCGACGTGGGTGTGACAAGTGTCCCTCCAGGTCTGCCCACAAAACACTGGCCTGGCGCTGTGCCCTGCTTTTTAGACACAAACGGCGTTGGGGCAGCTGTGGCCTCGTGCCTTGCCGTGATGCTCCGGCATGGGGTCTGTAAATGGACCCTGCCGAAGGCTGTTTCAGGTTCAGGCTTGGCCGAGGTCCCAAGTCAACAGGGCCAGCGACGGCCAGGGCCCCAAGGCGAGCAGAGCCCCGCACAGAACGTGCAGGGAGGCTCCCACGCGTGGGAGGCCGTGGCTGCCAGGAGGGCCCGTCCCCCGTGCGCCCTTCAGTGCTGTGTGTGTTACTGCGGCAGCAGCCATGTGGGGCCACACGTGTTCTCAGCAGGGCGGCCACACGTGAACTGTGTGTGTCTCTGACCCTTGGGGACACGTTTGCCAACTGACCAAACTCCAGTCACCAGCCACTGCCAGGGCCAGAGGCTGCGCTCGAGGGCGGGGGGAGGAGGAGACAGGAGAGAGGAGAATGCCGTCACGCCCCGCCCGGCTCCCCCAACTCAGAGCAGCCCCAGAGCGGTCGGGGGACGCACCGTGGGGACAGATGCACGGCGGGGACCCCTCTGTGGGCCACGCCTGCTCATCACGGGACCCAGGCTTCTGTTACGAGCGAGCAGAACCCTGTGGGCCTGGCCCAGGTCTCACAACGACCCAGGGAAGCACCCCCTCAACGGGACAGAGTGGGCAATGGTGCGGGGCGGGACAGGGTCAGGGCAGGTGCTCCTTGGCATTCTGACGGTGGCTCCACACAGGCCCTCCACGATGCCCCTGCAGCAAACTTGTGCAGAAGAAAATATCACAGCGCCACCACCCTACTGCCGGGCGCTTAAATTAGTTCCCGGCTTCCCGTGACACCCAGCAGCTGTGGAAGTGCCTGGGCAGGTTGCTTGCACATTCTTTCTGGACTTTTCTGTGTTTTCCGCAGGAGAATGCTCTTACTTCATGCCATTAATGTGCACCTAACACCTGACACTCATCACAAACCTTTGTAGACAAACTGCTGTTTAAATTGGAAATAATGGAACACATACACCTCATTTTTCACCCAGCACTAGTTAGCATAAAATAATTTCTTTTACCCATAATACAGTACCCTTCTCAATTAACAAACTGTCTTTAATTTTTAAAGGGATATTTATCAAACATACATCAAATATGACGATGAATGAAGCAATACAAAGCCTGTGCCCAACGCTCAGTCTAGGAAAGTGGGTGATCACCCCGGCGTCCACCCTCCCTCCACTTCGCAGGCTGCCGTCTCTGGACCTCGTGTGCCTTCCCCGTGGCTCTGCGCCACGCCTTCCCATCCCCAGCCACACCCGGCTCACCTTTGAGCTCGACGCCATGGCCACTGTCTCCCGCACACGGGCCTTAGGGCCCCACTCCTCCTCCTGACATTGAGTTCCTGAGATTCCACCTGAGTGGCTGTGAGCACTGTGGTCATTCTCGCTGCCAGGCTGTGTCTGTTCTATGAAATCACAGTTCCACTCTGCTGGTGGGGGCAGCAGTGGCTTCCGGACTCTCCTTCTTTCTTTCTTCTTTATTTTTGAGACAGAGTCCTACTCTGTTGCCCAGGCCGGAGTGCAGTGGCACAATCTCGGCTCACTGCAACCGCCACCTCCCGGGTTCAAGCAATTCTCCTGCCTCACCCTCCCGAGTAGCTGAGATTACAGGTGGGTGCCACCATGCCCGGCTAATTTTTGTATTTTCAGTAGAGACGGGGTTTCACCATGTTGGCCAGGCTGGTCTCGTGTGATGCGCCCGCCTCGGCCTGGGGTTCCTGTTCTTGCTCAGGGCCGCTGCTGCTGGCTGCCTCCTGGTTTCCAGCTGTGCCCGAATCAGCTCGCCCCACTTCAATGGTGGCAAGGTGCCCTTCCTGGGGGCGGGCAGCCCAGGACCCACAGCCGGGACCCTGTAGGCTCCAGCAGCTCTGTGTGAGCAGCCCTGGCCCCTGGCCCTGTGCTGGAGGCAGCGTCCTCCCCACTCCGATGTCACAGAGGAAACAAATGCAAACCGTTCAGCAGTGGCCCCCGAATAACTCAGCCTGAGTGGAACCCGAGGGTTCTTTGCAGGACTTAAGTGGCGCCGTTTCTGTCAGACAGAAAATAAACTAAGTTTATGGTATTTGGAAAGCATCAGAGTTCAGCAAGATCACGGCACCCAGGACCACTTGAGAGCTGCAGTGATTGAGGGCTGGGCAGAGGCGACGCAGCTGGGGACAGGCCAGGAATGTCGGCCCCATCCAGGGAGCACAGGGCGCCCCTCCCAGGGCCTTGGAGGAAATTCAACCCTGTCAAGCTTGGAGGCCTTCGGCGCATTTAGCCGTTGAAGGAAGTACCCACCGTGGTGTGCTCCAACCAGCATTTTCACATTCACAGTGAGGCCAGCTCGCTCCTGCTCCCACCAGCCCATCGCAGGTCAGAGAAAAGCCAGACGCCCTGCTCCACATCTCTCTCATACTTCTCCGCTCTTCACAACAGGCAGCCTGGCCAGCCCCTTCTCACCTCCCTGGGCACTGCGGCTGCACCCCCAGGCCTGGCAAGGTCACGGTGACCTCCACACCAGCCCATGCAATTCCAGGCTTCCCATTGCCCCTGAGAAGGTCAAAGCCCCGGGTTGCTCAGCCAGGCCGCTCCCTCCACCATCCCCTCTTGGTTCCCTTTGGCTCACTCACCTGCGCCCGGCCCCTGGCTCTGTGGCCTGCGCTCCAGGCCTGCTCCTGCCCCAGGGCCTTTGCGCTCCCCACCCCCACCTGGATGGCCACACACGCCCTCACCCTTCAAGAGGCTCACCCCGTGCTCAACGTAAAATCCCACCAGAGCCCCGGCCTCCAGCCTGCTGCTCTGCCTCTCCCACCCCCACCCCCGGCTTGCTCTTTGCACCCCTGCCCTGCTCTCCTGCTGGCTGGGGCTCCTGGGGCAGGGGTTCTGGGTGTGGGTTTGCTGTTTCACCGCCTCATCTCGGGACCCAGAACTGTAGACGCACACAGGGCTCCATGTGTGGCCTTTATGGAGCTTGAATTCATTGCACTCAGCAGAGGGGAAGGCAGGTGATGAGCGGGCGTCGTCCAAAGCCTCAGAGCTGTGGGTGAGTCTCCAAATGGTTTTGTTTGAACGTAACATTAAAAGTCTAAGTTGTGGCTTGGGCTGAATTAGAAGCTACAGCACCACACACACATGCACACATAAGCAGACACCACACACACGCACACATGAACATATGCCACACACAAGAACATACCCCACACACACGCACACATGCACAGACACTACACATCTATGAACATACCACGTGCACACAGGATACACCACACACACGCACACACGTGCACACTCCCCCCGTGGGCTCCTGGCAGCAGGGGCTGTTCCCATCACTCTGGTGCTTGCCCCTGCTGGGGAACCGTCCAGTTGTCACCAACTCACTTCTAAGCCATGTATCAGGGCTTCCCAGCCTCAGCTCCAGACTGCACGCTCAGCTTCTCCATGTCCAGCCCGGCATGCAGGGCATGACGTGTGACAGGGCTCAGCCCCTCCATGTCCCTTCTTTCCCCCGTGTCTAGGCTGTCCTTGCCAGGCAGTGGACTTTCGCTCTTGCCCTGCTCAGCCGCTTCCCTCCTCCTTCCCATAAAACATGGGGCTCAGCCCGGCAGGAACTCCCTAAGTAGCTGGGTGGAGTTCCAGCCCTGGATGAAGGGGAGGGCACAGGACCAGGCTGAGCCAATCAGCATGGCAATAGGCTCAGGGAGAGACACACGGCCCAATCAGAGCCAGGAGAGGTTGGCTGGGCTCCGGGAGACAGGACGTGAGGCTGGAGTGGCTGCAGCCTCTTGCAGACAGTGGAGGCTCAGGCTAAGCCAGCAAGACCAAGAGGAGCACGGAGAGCTGGCAAGACGCTGGCCCGATGATATCGCCTGAGCCGTGAATCCTCCTGGCCAACGCCAGGGCTTCCTCAGGCTTTGTCATTGCAGGGACACTTCCCTCCCTCCCTCCTTCTCTGTCTCTCTCCCCACTGCCTCTCTTTCTAGCTTAAGCCAATTTGAGATGGATTTTCTGTCACTTGCTGTTGAAGGAGTCCTGGTCCAGCCCAGGTGGATTTCGTGCAAATGAAACCCACATAATGCAAGTCTGTGTGGAAGTGATCGTCTGCGATCGGCGCGTGCCCTTCGCCTTATGAACAGGAGCCATGGGTGACACGAGCGCCTCGGCTGGGCCGCCGGGGTCCGTCTGAGGTCCATCTGTCTCCAGGTGTGTGCTGGGTCTGTGGGTGAGATGCTGCGTGTGCATGTGTGTGTGCCCAGGTGTGTGTGTGGGAGCTGGATCCCAGGCCACCCGCACAGTGGGAGAAGGGGGAGCTGGATCCCAGGCCTGAGAAGGCTCTTTCTGCTTAGAGAGTCCAGGGCTGCCTGGCATCGAGCCGGCTCTGCCCCGCAGGTCCCAGTGAATCCACATTGCAGCAGGAAGCCACAGGGCAGGAACCTCAGCTTTCCGGTTGGCTTCCATGAACCAAGGACAAGCTTGCTTAAAGTTGTGCCCGGAGAGGCCGGGAGAGCTGCTTCAAAGGCAAAGACCACCCAGTGGGAGTGCATTCCCCTGGTGCTCACCCAAGGGTCCCACTCCCCCTGAGACATTTCCTTCCCAGGGCACAGACCCCAGGCCTGGACAGAGCCGGGCACGTGTGAAACGGGAAGATGTCAGCTGGGGAACCGGCCGCAGCTCCCAACCTTGATGAGGAAAGAAACCTGGTAGCTGTTCCTGCAGAAAAGCCACATGGCTCGCCGCCTATCTCCACGATGGTACCTGGCTTCTCCCATCCTCACCGTCCACGTCTACTCCCTTCCCATCCCAGACCCGAGACGCAGAAGGCTTTAGACAGAGCAGCTTCATCAGGAATCTGGACTGGGCTGAGGTACCTGCTCCCAGCTCCTCAAAGTGCCATCCGGTAAATCTGCATCTATTAGAGCTGACAGCCAGGCTGCTCAGGCTTAAACAATTAATATGCATGAGGAGTCCGCAAACACAGAGCAGGGGCATGTTACTGTGCTGGGATGTAGGACGGCTTCTCGGATAAGGTCATTCATTTTTATGATTCTGCTTAATTTGGATTTGCCAGTCTTCCTTTCATTATCCCATGGGCCAGTCTTAATAATCAAGACTATGTTATGTGCTTTGTGGCATAATTAAAGCCACTGCCTAATTAGACAAGCATCTACCGTCTGACAAAGAGAAATCAGTAATGCAGCTAATGGAGAAAGTGGTGAGGAGTTGGGTTTGAAAGTGGATGGAATCACCTGTTGGTGCCAGAACACACACACACATGCACACATGTCCACACATGCACACACATCTGTGGACACACACACACATGTACATACATCTCACACACACAGATACATGCACACATGTACACACGCAGATACATGCGCATGTACAGGCATGCACACATACACACACACACACACTCTCCTACATTCTATGTGTGTTTCCGATGACCAGCCCTGTCAAACCAAACCAATCAGCAGTGCAGTTTCTGCCGGGATAGTTGGCCTCTGAGGGGTTAAAGCCATGCAGGGAATCCAAGTCTGAGTTTCAAGTGGGCCGGGCTGAGCTTGCTTTTGTTTACTTCTTTAATCATCCATGGACGCTTGCTGGGGCCTGCAATGGCCAGGCACATCCACCCACGTGGGACAAGATGCAGCTTCCGTGGCTGCTTGCAGGGGATGGAAGACTCCCACAGACGCCTGCTAACATCACATGCCCAAGTGTCACCGCGATGCCACGTCCAGTCTGAGCCATTCCTCGCCCATGTCCCTGTCCTTGTTGCATAGCCGGCCTCCAGCGTGTGGCTTCGTGCAGCGACCAGACCGTCGTGTGACTTTCTGCCACGGTTGCTGGGGTTGGCACTGGGGCAGACCTGCTGGGGGGTTCTGGGTTGCAGCTGGAGCGCTGGGACTGGCAGGACGCCTCTCTTCGTGCTGCCCCAGGGCCCATCCACGTCGACTCCCGGCGTGAAGCGTGTGGGCTGCCTCACAGCCTGGCAGCTCCAGGACTGCTGGGGGCTCCCCCCGCGGCCCCGGCTCTGCTGGCAGCACTGGGCCAGAAGCAACTCACCTTCACACAGCCGCCCTGAAGGCACGTAGGTTCCGGAAGGGAACCTTGGGAAATGGGATTCGTGCCATACTCATGGGAGTCCCAAGCTCCCTCGCCCATTTCACTCCATGAGGATAGGAGGGGACAGCTGCTGACGACCTGGCAGAGACCCTGCGCCAGGCCCCACCCCACCGGCACCCTGATCTTGCACTTCCGGCCTCGAGAATGGTGAGAAACTCCTCGTGTTGTTTATAAGCCACCCGGTCAGTGGCCCTCTGACCAGGGCCAGCAGCTCTGAGGCCCTCCCCCCGCCCCGGCCCCCTCCCCCTCACTCCCACACCCACCCTCTCTGGTTTTTCTAAACTCCTCCTCCCCATTCTAACCCCTCTCTCTGGCCCCTGCGGGCTCTGGGGAAGCCCCGGGGACAGTAGGCAGGGGCCAGGCTGCTGGGCTCCCCGAGGCCCCCGGGGGCTGGGAGTGGGTTAAAGCCGTCCAGGGCTTCGCTAGGGAGGGGCTCCAGCAAGACCCTGTTTAAACCTCCTTCCCACCACAGCGTGGGCGCCACGTCGCACTCTCTGGGTATGTCTCAAGGTGTGGATAATGCAGACTTCTGAGTTTAAAAAAATACCAAAAATAAAATAATCAGGCATCAAACATACAAGTTATTTGAGGACTTAAAAACAGCACAGCAGGCTGGAACAGGAGGCCCCTAACCCGATGGTGTCATCTCTACATCCACAGCCCCCGCCCGGGAGGGTCTGAGCCAGGCAGCCTCCCCGGGAGCCGGTGCTGACACGGCCAGAGAAACCATTCCAGACCCGGACCCCACTGTCCCCAACACCTGCGGGCCAGTGACTCAGGGCGGTGGAGAGAGCCAAGAGGAAGTGGAGGCTGAGTGGCCCTCCCCGGGGCTGGGGCCCGCCGTCTGGTTGTGTCTCCAGCCGCTGGTTTAGGGGAATCGGGAGGGCTCACTTAAGCATCCCTTCCCTGCGTGCTCTTCCATCGCGGGACAGAAGACCCGACTGCTGCCAGCACCAAAGGGTGTTCCCACGGCACACGCCGCTTGGGCTCGGGCAGGCAGGGACCCCTCCTCGTGCCTCGGGAGCCTGGAGCTGTCGGCCCTGCAGCTGAGGACCACAGGAGGTCAGGGACATGCAAGCTCAGTGCCCGAAGTCACTTCTAGAGTGCGATTCGGTGTCCCTGAAGGTCCCAACTCTGCCCTGACACATTACAGAAAATGTCGCTGCCCCCTGGTGTGGATGCTGGCCCGCCCCCGGGGAGGCTTCTGCCCCATCACCCAGCCCAGCCCATCCCATCCCAACAGGACTCAGCCTCCAGTGGCTACCATCAGACCCCACGGCATGGTGACTGTCACTGCAGAGGGCTAGAGAGGGCCGCGTGTGGGACGGCAGGGGCCGACGGGGGGCTCTGCATTCCCCAGTAACCCAGGTTTCTGCTGGGGCTGCTCCCCAGCTGCTCTGCTCCCCAGCTCCCTACAACGCGGATTTATTCTTATTTCCCACAGGGAAGGCCTAACAAGGCTTGACCAATCAGTGAAGGGCATTCCCCAGACTGCTGGCTGTGACTGGGTCCCAGATAAGCACGTGACCCACTATGGGCCAATGAAAGTCGCCTGAGACTTTTGCTTGCATGGTTGCTGGGACGGTCCAAAGTCCTCAGTGGGGACGGCTGGCTGCAGCTGTCAGACTTGGAGCGTGAGGACAGAGCTGGGCCGGTTCCTCCCTGGGATCTCCCCTCCCCGAGCACAGGCTCTGCTCTGCCCAGCCCCATGCTGTCCCCTGTGCGACCGCTGTGGGCTTCCTGCCAGGCTCCTGCACCCTCCGGCTTCTGTTGGGTTCAGTTCTGGGAGGCAGCCCCGGAGTCTGGAGGGTGGAAGGAGTGAGGGGCATCCCCTGTCCCCTCCCCACAGTCTTGGCAGTGGTTTCTTCTCTCCAGAGTTACTGTCCCTACCCCCTGTCCTCTCTCTGCAGCTCCAGCTCTTGCTGGGCGCCTGTGATTCTCACCCCTGTCCCTTCAGGCCGTGGGGAGAAGAACATCCCAGTGCGGTCACTTCCTGGATCCAATTCCTGGATGCCCAGTGTCCGCCGGGTCTCCTGGATTCACCGTGGTCACTGCCTGGATGCCCAGTGTCCACTGGGTCTCCTGGATCCAATTCCTGGATGCCCAGTGTCCGCCAGGTCTCCTGGATTCACTGTGGTCCCTGCCTGGATGCCCAGTGTCCTCCAGGTCTCCTGGATTCACTTCCTGAATGCCCAGTGTCTGCTAGGTCTCCTGGATCCACTTCCTGGATGCCCAGTGTCTGCCAAATCTCCTGAATTCACTTCCTGGATGCCCAGTGTCCACCAGGTCTCCTGGATTCTGCCTGTGTCCACGTGAGGGCACCATCAATTTCCTGCAAGGATCCTGACAGTCAAGGTACATCTAACCTGAGAGCAGGCAGGGGCTGGACTATCCCCTAGATCAAGCCATGCCTGAAGCCCCACCTTTCAGTTGCCTGAGTCAACAGATTCCCTTTTTGGGTTGAGCCATTTCTAATTGGATTTTATGTCTTACTGACTGAACTATCAGGATGGCCAGCAGTAAGGGGTTTCGTTTTGGAGGATGAGGGACACAAATGTCTCTTCTCCAAGGTGAGGAGATGCCTGAAGGACAGGAGACACTCACAGGAGGCCCTGGAGACAGATGTGCCTCACAGGCATTCCTGAGGACCTGTGGCCTGGCAGCACAGAGACTGGGTGAAAACAGAACCTTGTGATCTGCAAGTTCTGCCGCTGCCCTGTCTGTGTCTGTGAAGCAAAGTGTCCAGAAGGGGCCCGCGTGGAAGCTTCTGAGAGCGGTTAGGGGAACGGGGCCCCACGTCCTCCCCGGAGGGCTGGAGACAGAGGCAGGCCGTGCCCCCAGCCCAGAGTAGGGAGGAGGCTGGCAGGCGGCAGCTGTGGAAAGGAGGCGGAGCCCCCAGACTCCTGAGCCAGCAGAGGAAGGAGTGGGACAGAGCCCACCCCAGAGGGAGACAAGACCCCGGGGAAGAGACCCCTCAGGGTGGCCCCCCAGCCCCTCCCAGGCTCAGCTTTCAGCCTGCACCCCCGTCTGGTCCCTCAGAATGACTGAGGTTTCCACTCTTTTTCTGCCAAATCTCTAGACTCCACGTCCCCGCTCTGCCACCTACTCTCTGTGGGATCTGAATAAAGAGACTTAACCTTTCCTGCCTCAGTTTCCCCATATGTAAAATGGGACAATAAGAGGCTCTGCCTCTAAGCCTTGCTGCAGGGATTAAGGGAGCGATGCGTGGTCTGCAGCCAGCCCCCTGCAGCCAGGCCCCTGCAGCCAGCCCCCTGCAGCCAGCCGCCTGCAGCCAGTGGTTCTTCAGTGGCCCCAGGGAAAGGCCAGGCACTGTGGAGACGCTTCCCAGCCACACTCGCTGAGCCGCGCCGGGATAGGGTCTCTCCACCCAAGCTCCTTTTAGGAAAGTGGTTCCTGGGAAGATGGATAAGACCCAGCGTCCACCGGGGTCTGCGTTCTAAGTGGTACGCTTGTGAGGGCTGTTGCACGTGAACAATTCCCTGTGATACATTCCGCAGGCACCGGGGAAGCTCCAGGCTGGGCGTGGAGCCTCAGAGACTGTGGGCAGGGCTCGTGAGGGGCAGGCGAGGGGCCAGGAGGCCTCCTTCGCATTCGAGCTTCTCAGCCACGTGTGCAGGGGTGGGCTGGGTGTGGGAGTGTGTGTGTCACTGGTGTCAAAGCCTCCTCACTTTTTTTGGGAAAGAAATGGGATATAAATACATGTGTAAATATCTATATAAAATTCACATTCTCTAATTCAGGAGGCAGAGAGCTGTGTGCCTTCAAACCAGAGTATCTATAAACTGGGTTTCTATCAGTGAGGGTATAGAGCAAATGCCGGCTCTGTCAAGGTTCATCCCGATGTCGTTCTCTGTGACGTAAAAACAAAGCTGGGACTGGCCACTTCTGCCAGACTTTATCTTGGCAGACAGGTTTCCTACAGCAGCGGCCACCTACACCTGGGGGGAGGCAGCAGGATGCTGAACCCTCAAAAGGAGAGCAAGAGCCCCCACTGTGCAGCAAGCCCAGGCCTGGGGGTCCCCGATCCCACAGAGGAGGAATCAGCTCCACTACAGCAAGCCCAGGCCTGGGGGTCCCACATCCCACAGAGGAGGAATCAGCTCCACTACAGCAAGGCCAGGCCTGGGGGTCCCCGATCCCACAGAGGAGGAATCAGCTCCACTACAGCAAGCCCAGGCCTGGGGTCCCACATCCCACAGAGGAGGAATCAGCTCCACTGCAGCAAGGCCAGGCCTGGGGGTCCCCGATCCCACAGAGGAGGAATCAGCTCCACTGCAGCAAGCCCAGGCCTGGGGGTCCCTGATCCCACAGAGGAGGAATCAGCTCCACTACAGCAAGGCCAGGCCTGGGGGTCCCCGATCCCACAGAGGAGGAATCAGCTCCACTACAGCAAGCCCAGGCCTGGGGGTCCCTGATCCCACAGAAGAGGAATCAGCTCCACTGCAGCAAGGCCAGGCCTGGGGTCCCACATCCCACAGAGGGGGAATCAGCTCCACTACAGCAAGGCCAGGCCTGGGGTCCCACATCCCACAGAGGGGGAATCCAATGGGACCCCTGCAGCTCTAAGAACAGAAAACCCAATTCAGATGTGCTTAAAGAAAAAACTAAAAATACGTGTGTGCGCGTGTGTGCGTGTGTGTGCGTGTGTGCGTGCATGCGTGTGTGTGCGTGTGCATGTGTGTGTGCACGCATGTGGTAATTTATTGCAAAGTCAAGTGGGTCTGTTTTGGGAACAGCTGGATCTAGGTGTTCAGACACTGGCCCCTTCTTGGGTTTCGTGAGGGACCCTGGAAGCTCCAAGCTCTCCCCTCTTGATGATAAGGTTGCTGCAGCTCCCCCAGCTCCCAGCCTTGGTTTCATCTTGTGGGAAAAGGCTGCCTGTTTTTTTCTCGATGGCCCGCTGGTAATTCCAGAATTCACTCTGACTGGACTGGCTTAAACCACCTGACCAGCCCTGAGCCAACCCCTAGGTCTGGGGTGACCTTCACGCTCTGACTGGTTTAGACCTGGGCGGCGGGATCTGCAGCTGGGCTGAAATGGATCAGAGCGGGGGGTGTGGACTTCCATCTGGAGCCGGGACAGGACCTCAGGAGGCAAATGACGACCGTCTGTGACACGCAGGCCCACGTCTGTGCTAGAAAAGCCACCCCTTGATATGGGGCGAGGATGGGACCCGAGAGACCCTCGCCCCACCCTGCACTGGCTCAGCAGCCGGGTCCAGACTCCCAGGCCTCTGGAAAACGAACCTCGGGGGGACGCAGAGGGTCACACAGGGCTTCACCCCCAGCTCGGGTTCAGTCCTGACTCAGAGACGACCCGGCCCCCACGACTGGACCCCACAACGCACAGGGCCCCCGCCGGCCAACAAGACCAAGGTCACGCACAGCGGTGCTGGGATCCTCCAGAGGACTCCACAGGGGACCGAGGGCCTGCAGGGATTCGAAAACCAGTGCCGGACGCAGCCTTCCTCCCTTACAGCAAGAGCTAGGAGATAAAACAGGCAGGCCGGGAGAGCAGGGCCCGGGTCGCGCCTTCCTCACGGCTGGAAGCCTCCCAGGTGACGGGAGGAATGATGGGGACGGGGCGGGGTACTTGGAGACCTTCCTCTGTCAGATGGCTCTGATGTTTCCACTGTTGCTGTGAGCAGGAAAGGGTTAACTTGGCAGCTGGCTCCTCCACACCCTGAGCGCCCACATCCGGCCCCTCCTTGCCCCGGAACCTCCTGCCGGAGAGGACAGCCCTGCTCACCTGGCCTTGGCAGCCCCAGCTGGTCTGTGCAATGGTGGGATTCACGGTGGGCACTTGGCCTCACGGCATCAGCCTGACCTCTGGAGGGTGGAGACCAAGGTCAGCCATGTCCACGAGACCAGCCCAGTGAGGACCATGGTCACCGAGGCTCGGGGGCTCCTGGCTGGCCTCGCTTGGCACGTGTTGTCACACATGGGTGCCGGAGAATCAAGTCCATGGGACCCCCCCCCAGGAGGGGACACCTGGGAGCTCGCACCTGGCCTCTCCTGGGCCCTGCCTGGGCATCTCTTCCCTCTGCTGACTTTAACCCATGTCCTCTGCTGTGAGAACCCACAGCAGGGAAAAGCAGCCTGTCTGGGCTCTGTCTGTCCTTCTAGCAAGTTGTGGACCGTCAAGGTGGTCTCGGGGGTCTTCCTGCCACACAGCTGCCTGGAGGCTCACAGCCAAGAACGGTGCTCACTCCAGCAGTGGGGCTAGCCCTGAGAGCAAACAGATTTCACCCCCAAATTCAGGACACACAGGAGCGTTCAAAAACCACACACACACGTGCACACATGCACACACACGCATGTACACACGCACACATATGCACACACGCACATGCACGCACACCCACGCACATGCACGCACACGCACGTATACACACACACGCACACCCACGCATGTGTGTGCACACGTGCACACACAGACTCCTGTGCACACATGCACACATGCGCACACACCCGCACACATGCAGGTGCACACGCACACACCCACACCCACCCGCACACAACGCGCGCGCACGCACACACACACACACCGTGCACCCTCAGTGCACAGGCTGGCTAACACACACGAGCCGCTTTCCAAACCGAAGTCATTCCAGCCCCATGCCTGTAGCTGGCGCCACATGAAAACACCACTGTGTTCTTATTTATGGAGCATGTTTCTTTAAACTGGCCTATTTTAAAACTAAATGCATTTTTTATTTGAAAGGGAATCTTCATTTCACCGCTGCAAATGGAAAGCTGGCATCACTTGTGTTAAATCATGGTAACCATGAAAATAAGTAGAATGAAAATAAAATAATGTTGTCACACTCTGGATGTGGCTGAGGTGTCCAAGCCTCCATGCCCAGGCCTCAGCCCTGTTTGTCTAAAGGACTCGGGGAAACCCCCTCCAGGAGGAATCAGAGCCTCGGGAGCTGGGCACGCCTCACTCGCACTGCCGTGCTGTCTAAGGAAGCTTCATCACACCTAGAATCAGTCCCCAGCACGCATTTGTGGGAAGGGTGTGAAGTGGGCCCCACCTGGCTAGAACAGGGAGCTCCGGGTTCCTGCACCAACCTCCACGCAGCCCGGGGCGCTCCCTGCACCCCTGGACCCTGCGGGCCTGTCCAGCATCTCGCCTCCCTCTGTCCACACATGGGGAACCCCAGAGCAGGTGAGTGAACGCCCTGGGAACCACTGCCTGAGTCACAAGGAATGGAATGGGGCTGAGACACGCCTTTCCTCCTCCCCTCTCTTCCCTGCCAGCCTCCTGATCCCCATCTCAAATGAGCTCCTGGCCCAAGAATCCCGGTGTCAGGGTTCCCTGGCGGGTGGGGCAGGCTGACCACACCAGGAGCTGCAGAGGGGGCTGCCCTCCTGCCTGCCCTCCCTCAGGCAGCTCCAGGAGGAGGCAAGTGTGGCTGAGGCCACCTGCCACCACCCCACGGTGAAACGCGGCCCCACTGGGCAGCCCTGAGCGCCCGGCTTCTGCAGGACAATGCCACCAGGGGCCCTCCCAGGGAGCATCCTGTCGCGGGCTGGGCTCTGCGGACAGAGACGCAGGAGGGGCTGGCCAAGCCTGCCAGTCGCTCCCAGGCCCAGAGGCCAAGCTCAGCCAAACTTTATCCGAGCAACAATGCCAATTAATCTGGCGCTTGTCGCGGCTACTCCCTCAGGGCAGGTGTGAGGGTCAGCGACCAAGCTCCATCCTGAGTGGCACTGAGGCAAAGCCGTGGCGGCCAGGGCCCGGCTCCTGATTCACCCGCTCTTGCAGCCTGGGGGCGACAGGATGGGAGGTGCGCAGGCCACGGATGGAACGGGAATGCCCTTCGCTTCAGACACAAGCGACACCCAGCTCAGCAGTGACTGAGGCCACAGCAGGTGGGACCAGGGCTGGCAGGGCCTGACACAGGGCGCCTCTGCTGCGTGAGCCATGGTGCCTCAGCCCAGCTTCCGTGATCCCCAGATGCAGCTATGGCAGGAGTGCCCCAAGCCTGGGGCTAGGCCCTGGGAAGGATGCCCGCAGCCAAAAGTAGGGGAGGGGGAGAGACACAGAGAGATAGAGAAAGACAGAGAGAGATACAGAGAGATTGAGAGAAGGAGAGAGGGAGAGACAGAGAGAGACAGGAGAGACAGAGGAGGAGAGACAGGGAAGACAGAGGAGGCAGGAGGGCCCCACAGGTGGGGGCTCCTGACTGCTCCACTTTCCCACAGCAGACCTTTGCGCGTTTCTCCCAGGAGCCCGCAGCTCGTGGGGGCAGTCCCCGGCCAGCACGGGGGAGCGCTCACTTTCCCGGCCAGCGTGGGGGGCGGTCACTTCCCCGGCGGGCGTGGGGGGCGGTCACTTCCCTGGCGGGCGTGGGGGCCGCTCACTTCCCCGGCCGGCGTGGGGGGCAGTCACTTCCCTGGCCAGTGTGGGGGGCGGTCACTTCCTCGGCGGGCGTCGGGGGATGGGGGGCAGTCACTCACTCACTTTCTGGGCCGGTAGTCGGGGATGCTCCGATCGAGGGAGATGCGGTCGCTGAGCTGAGCGTTGTAGCCGTACTCCTCATACTTGCCTTCCGCCTCCTGGCCGTCATCACGCAGGGTGGCCGCCAAGCCACCCTGGCCCAGGCCTCCTGGCCCCTCCACCAGGCCGATGGGCTTGGCAAGGCCTGGGGGAAAGGAAGAGAGGGAGGTCAGGCAGGCCCAGGACACGCTGCGTCTGCACCCAGGAGACGCCCCTCCCGCCCCTCTCCCCGACGGCCGCTTCCCCCGGTACAAGCCCAGCAAACTCCCTGCAGATGGCAGGCTGCCAGCTCAGGACATTCCAGAAAGTGCAAGGCTGTGCGCGGAGTGAGAGGGCGGTGCCAGGCGGAAGAGGGAGGGATGAATGGGTGGTACATGAGGCGTTGAAGGCAGTGGACTCTGTGTGATGCTGCAATGGTGGATATCTGTTATTATTATGTATTTTTTGATTCAGGGTCTTGCTCTGTCACCCAGGCTGCAGTGCAGTGGCATGATCTCAGCTCACTGCAGCCTGGACCTCCCAGGCTCAAGCAATCCTCCCACCTCAGCCTCCTGAGTAAATGGGTGGGCCTCCACAACTGGCAAATTTTTGTATTTTTAGTGGAGACAGGGTTTCACCGTGTTGGTCAGGCTGGTCTTGAACTCCTGACCTCAAGCGATCCACCTACCTAGGCCTCCCAAAGTGCTGGGATTACAGGCGTGAGTCACTGCACTGGCCAATACTTGTTCTTACGCAATTGTCCAAACGCACAGCAGGTGTGACACTGAGTGAGCGCCCCCCCCCCCCCCCGTGAGCCACAGCCCTCAGTGAGTCACCTGCATCGGGCAGCATCGGCTCATCGACGGTGACACAGTCACACTCACGCACGCCAGCCCCCCGTGAGCCACGGCCCTCAGTGAGTTTCCTGCATCGGGCAGCATTGGCTCATCGACAGTGACACAGTCACACACGTTCACGCCCAGGCGCTGTGCCTGCGGGGCAGAGGATGCGGGAACTCCGCTCAGTCTCTATCAACCCGAAACTGCTCTGATGGTCAGGCCTACTAATGTTAAAAATATTAACCCGAAAATTGCAACGGCTCTAAGATTAGGTATTTTAAACGCCATGCCGCCGCCACCATCCCCACCAGCCCTTGACACCATCCGCCTGTGTAACTTGAGCTGAACACACATCCACATGCGTGCTGCTACTCTGGGGTAGGAAGAACCGAGCCGTCGACACAGGCAGCAGCCGAGACGTGGCTCACACACGTGACGCCAAGCCAAAGATCAACACAGGAGACCTCATCCCGTGTGGCCGCCGGCGTGAGGTTCAAGAACAGACGGAATCACAACCCACCCCATGGCCATCGGGGCAGGACGGGGACCCCGGGGTGGGGCAGTGTCGACTGGAAAGGAGCCGGTGGAACTTCTGGGCTGACAGGGAGGCTCCGCAGCTTGGTCAGGGTGTGTGGAATGGGTGCCCAAGGGGGCCGGGCCAGGGAAAGTTCTAGGTGCTCAGTTGTGCTGGGCAAGCAGACGCGGCTTGGAGATGCTGTTCCCAGGGGGACGGGAGTGAGAGGGGTGTCTCCCCACAAAGATGGCACCATTGGCTGTCTCTGAGCTGGGAGTCTCTGGGGCATCTTGGATTTGGGGGCGGGTGCCTGGGCAATAGTTTTAAGCCAGAAAGAGGCGGCATGGACCCCTGAGGCTGGGCTGCCTTTTGTCAGCTTGCACAGAGAGGTCTCTGGTCCTCGGAGGAAGGCCAGTGGAAACACAAACTTGTGAAATACCCGATGCTAATATCCCACAACTGCCCGCCTGGGAGGGGACCTTCTCTCGCGGCGCCAGCTCCTGGAGCCTGGTGGGATCTCTGTAGGATTCCTGCTATGGGGAGGGAGGGACCGATGCCCTGGGAAGATTCCAGTCTGTGACCCTCCGCCCCCCACAGGGCAGTGAGTGGCTTTCTCCCCTCAGCAGAGCCGAGGCTTTGAGCCTCCCGGAACCTCTGGACTTTCTGGAATATTCCATTTTAAATGAGTAAACAAAGTGTCCGTATTTATGTAGGACTGAAGGATACAGATTGGACGTAGAATTGAAAAATGACACAAATCACTTCCCCTTCTTATTTTAATCCTGTGAGATAAATACGTAATCATGCTATTTTAAAATATCGATACTGCACTTGCATTTTTCACTTTGGAAAGTCTGGAATTGGATGTCTCCCAGAGGCAGGCACAGCAGCTTCTAACTCGAGAGAGAGAGACACCTCATCATCCGTGGGGCTCAGGCCTCAGGTGGGGATTGGCCGCCTGGCCAGAGGGTAGCTGAGCGTGGTTCCAGATGGCTGCCTGATGCCCAGCGTTGGGGGCAGGAGGGTGGCTGAGCGTGGTTCCGGACGGCTGCCCGATGCCCGGCATTGGACCCGGCAGGAGGGTGGCTGAGCGTCGTTCTGGACGGCTGCCCGATGCCCAGCATTGGGGGCAGGAGGGTGGCTGAGCGTGGTTCTGGACGGCTGCCCGATGCCCAGCGTTGGAACCGGCAGGAGGGTGGCTGAGCGTGGTTTCGGACGGCTGCCCGATGCCCGGCGTTGGACCCGGCAGGAGGGTGGCTGAGCGTGGTTTCGGACGGCTGCCTGATGCCCAGCGTTGGACCCGGCAGGAGGGTGGCTGAGCATGGTTCCAGATGGCTGCCCAATGCCCGGCGTTCTGAGGTCAGCAGGACCCTCTTTCTTATTCAGACTGGCATTTTGTTTCTGCCTGTCTCTGGAAACTGATTTTTTTTGTTGTTGGGATCCTAGATTTGGTCAGGGCATATCTTGCCGTGAATCACAGTCATGCGTGGCAATCCACACTCATGCCAACGTTCAGCTCCAGGAAGTTTGCTCTGTTAATGATGTGACTGTATTCCCATCTGCCATCCCTGTTTTCTCTTCTGTAACCCCTGTTAAGTGAACGTTTCCCCTCCCGGTTTATCTCCTGCCTCCCAACGCTTCATTCTCCGTTTTCATTCTCTTGGTTTTCATCTCATCGGCTTGATCTTTTGTCGTGCCATGTTGCCAACTAGCCTGTCCATTGAATTGGTTTTGTTGTCATATATTTAATCCCAAAAGAGGCTTCTTGCTCTCCAGTCGCCCCTGCCTTGCATGAATGGCAAACTGGTTTTACTTTATGTGGTTGGCAGTAGCCCCAAAGCTGTCCACACCCTAATCCCTGGAACCGGTGAGTGTCACGTTACACAGCTAAGGGGACTTGGCAGACGCCCCCTGCTTTGCCTGAATCTGCTTCATTGGCCAGAAGGAGTGGAGGAGCTGGGCCTTCACTGTGGTCACCCGTCACTTGCATGGGGGTTAGGGGACACCCCAGCCACGCTGCTGCTCACAGCTTCCTTGCGGAGGAAGTGAGGGTTGCCAGGCCTCTGAATGAGTGTGTTTTGAAGAGAGACGCTGCCATTCCCATCCTCCCTCCACCCGGGGCTCCATGCCTCCCCTCACTGCTGCGTCTGTGCTTAAGAGAACCAAGCAGCCCCTGGTCCAGACGCTGCTGCCCACTGAGCTGCCTGACTTCTCCTGGCTGAGGGTCCTCCTTGGTCACAGGCGGGTCACCACTGAGTCCCCGTCCCAGGACTGTGCAGATGGTGGAGATGGAGCTCAGGGGTCCTGAGCCCAGCACTGGGCGTGCACTGGGGGTGAAGGAACTTTTGCTGCCTCAGATCCGATCTTCTTCCTTGGCTGGTGGAGTCAGTGCTGTCACCGTCCCATAGCTGCTGAGAGAAGCTGCTCGGGGGACACCAGTGCCAGCAGCACCCACGTTCCTGGCCATGGTGCTTCACTGCTCTCTGCAGTGGCTTCATCAGGGGTGCCAATTTCCCACCTCCCTGACTCAGGGCTTGGTCTCTGAGCTGCCTGTGGAAAGAGGGCCCAAGCGATGATGTCCCTGTTCCCAGCCTGGACCTTGCAGAGCCAGGTGCCTGCCCCGTCTGCCCTCACCACACACAGAGCCCCCATCATGACTGCCCAGCCTGGGCCCTAGGACAGGCCTCGCCATGCAGAGCGGACCGGCCAAGCCACGGACCCTCAGTGAGAGGCGGCCCCACCCCTGCGGCACCATGGGAGTAAGCGAGGCCGTCCCAACGCGCTGTGTCTTGGGGTGATGGGCACGGAGCCATTGCCACCCAACAGGCTGTTCTCTGTGCTGTCCTCTGCCCAGTCCAGGAATAGACAGCACAGGAGGAGGAAGCAGAGGCAGAAACAGCCACAAGCTCATGTCCACAGCACCCACATCCAGAGCACCCACGTCCACACCACCCACATCCACAGCGCCCACATCCACAGCACCCACAACCACAGCACCCACAACCACAGTGCCCACGTCCACACCACCCACATCCACAGCGCCCACGTCCACAGCGCCCACGTCCTCAGCGCCCACAACCACAGCACCCACGTCCACATCACCCACGTCCATAGCACCCACATCCACAGCACCCACATCCACAGCACCCACAACCACAGCACCCACGTCCACAGCACCCACGTCCACAGCACCCACGTCCACAGCACCCACGTCCACAGCGCACACGTCCACAGCACCCACAACCACAGCGCCCACGTCCACATCACCCACATCCACAGCACCCACGTCCACAGCACCCACATCCAGAGCACCCACGTCCACACCACCCACATCCACAGCGCCCACATCCACAGCACCCACAACCACAGCACCCACAACCACAGTGCCCACGTCCACACCACCCACATCCACAGCGCCCACGTCCACAGCGCCCACATCCTCAGCACCCACAACCACAGCACCCACGTCCACATCACCCACGTCCATAGCACCCACATCCACAGCACCCACATCCACAGCACCCACAACCACAGCACCCACGTCCACAGCACCCACAACCACAGCACCCACAACCACAGTGCCCACGTCCACACCACCCACATCCACAGCGCCCACGTCCACAGCGCCCACGTCCTCAGCGCCCACAACCACAGCACCCACGTCCACATCACCCACGTCCATAGCACCCACATCCACAGCACCCACATCCACAGCACCCACAACCACAGCACCCACGTCCACAGCACCCACGTCCACAGCACCCACGTCCACAGCACCCACGTCCACAGCGCACACGTCCACAGCACCCACAACCACAGCGCCCACGTCCACATCACCCACATCCACAGCACCCACGTCCACAGCACCCACAACCACAGCGCCCACGTCCACACCACCCACATCCACAGCACCCACGTCCACACCACCGACATCCACAGCACCCACAACCACAGCGCCCACGTCCACACCGCCCACATCCACACCACCCACCTCCACAGCACCCACGTCCACACCACCCACATCCACAGCACCCAGGTCCACACCGCCCACATCCACGGTGCCCACATCCACAGCGCCCACATCCATGGCGCACACATCCACAGCACCCACGTCCACACCTGTGCTGGCACCCCTGGAGACCAGATGCGCTCAGTCCTTTCCTCCCCCCTGCTTCCCCATCCCCTCCTGTCCCCACACCCTCAGTTGTCCATTCAGCAGCCAGTGTGAGCTTGTAGAGGGTTCCAGAGCCGCTCCCCTGCTGGGAGCCATGGGCCCCAATCCTGCTGCACTTGCGGTTCCGGCTCCTCACGGCAGCTGTGGCCCCCCCAGCCCCTGCAGCCCTCGTGGGTCGCATCCTCACTCACAGTATGCCAGCCACGCTCCTGCTTCCTGCCCCGGGGCCTTGGCTCCTGCCCTCACTCGGACCTCAGCTCTGGGTTGCACCCTGGAGACCTCCCAGGTTCTAACCTGAAGCCATTCCCGGTGACGGCACCTCAGTCCCTGCCTCATTTTCCTCCCTGCCTCATTTTCCTCCCAGAACTCAGAACTCATCACCATCTAAAATCATCCCCTCCGCTACGCTCTCTGCTTCCCCTCAACGTGCAAGAGACAGGACTTTGTCCTGCCTTCCTGCCATCTACCCCAGCGCCTCATGTGTTCACAGCATGTACCTGGAGAGCCGCCTGAGGTGGGTGAATGGATCCCTTCCAAGCGGGTGCCAGGGCACTGCCTCCCCCCATCCCACAGGAGAGGCGGGATCTCCCTCCCCATCCCCGCAATGAAGAGACAGAGATGCCGAGCCACAGACAAGCCCACCCAAGGCTTCACGGGCTCTGCTGGGCCGGACCCGAGTCTCTGACTCCCTCGAGGGCCCTGCTGTAAGGTCCTGGTCTCCACACAAAACGGAGCAGAGCCAGGCAGCACCATCCTGGTCCTGGCTGGGCCCAAACCCCTGGCCCCGGCATTCACCCTACAACACTGCGCAGAATGTGGGAAGAGCCTTGTCTTTGAAGGAAAGTCTCGAGGCCCCACTGAAGCCGGACACCAGGCTCCACTGCCTCCTGGGCCAGAGCTACAGCATCCAGCAGGGCGGGGCGTGCGAAGGAGGCACTGCTTGCTCTGAGGGAGTGGGTGTGAGTCCAGAGAAAAGGGAAGGGAAGGAGGGTGGGGAGAGGGTGGAGTCGGTGAGACGGGAAGTCTGGACCACCGTTGTTCGGTGGAATCCATGGGACACTCATGAGAGCTGTGCGGAGGACGCCGCCTCGCATGTGCAGGGCTTTCACGGAAAATACTAGAAAGAGAGACTTTCCCACCAGGAGGAGAGTCTGAGATGGCACAGGCAGAGGGAGGGTCCAGAACGCACATCCCTAGGAATTCCGCACACTTGAAGGGGTATTTGGGGTTTCAGCTCTGTTCACCAGGTGTGGGAGTGGCGGGGCCAGGGCTGCCATAATCAGGGGGCATTGAGCCTCACCCCACAGTGGGGCCGAGCCGGCCAGGCCTCAACCTTTAGTTGCTGACTTGTGGGGACGCAAGGGGACTGAGTGGGGGGGCTCAGGCAGCTGGGAGGCTGCAGGGAAGGGGCCTCCAGGCAGCATTCACTTGACGCTTCCCAGGGAAATACAGTCAGTTCTTGTCATTTGCAGTGGTTTTGGCTCTAGAGACACCGTGGATGCTGAATGGTGGCTGCTGAGCACTTGCTCCAGGGGGAACTCTGGGCTCCGGGGAGCCTCTGGCCACAGGCTTTCCCCAGCCCCTCAATAGGTAACTTGGTTTTCCATGTGTTTCTGCATAAAGATGCCTTATTTAATACCTATTGACGATTCTTAGAGCCAACAGCTCCATGACCCATGCTGGAGCCAAGCTTCTCCACACACGCATTTCCTGCGAGGCGTATCTCAGACACTTGTGCCCTGGGTACCGACAGCACCTCAGCCTGTGGTTGGTGTGTTCTAAACATTGAAATCACCAAAGCACAAAAAGCACAAAAATGTAGACAACGTGCCACTTAAGCAGTAGTAGGGACCCTGTGTACAGTCGGAGCTGGATGGAGAAGGCAGGGGACCCCCTGCACATTCAGAGCCAGAACGAGAAGCTGGGGGACCCTGTATACAGCCAGGGCCAGAACGAGAAGCCAGGTGAGCCCGTAAACAGTCAGGGGCAGAACGAGAAGCCGGGGGGTCCCGTATACAGTCAGGGCCAGAACGAGAAGCCGGGGGATCCCGTGTAGAGTCAGGGCCAGAACGAGAAGCCGGGGGATCCCGTATACAGTCGGGGCCAGAAGGAGAAGCCAGGGGACCCCATCTACAGTCGGAGCTGGAACGAGAAGTGGAGCCTGGCCCTGTTTGACCAAAGATCTTGCCCCTCCGAGCCTATCTGTGAATGGCCGTGGAAGACCACGAGCATTTGGGGATTACAGATGAATTTTAGGGAGTAGGAACATTTGCAAACACAGAATCTGTGAATGATGTGGCTGACAGTACTTTGATATCCTGGTGACCACTATGGACACATTGGTGGGGCTGGTGGGACTGGGGGGCACAGGCCCTCCTGGGGCACCAGGTCTTCACCATTGACCTCCCCCCAGAGCTGTCCCTGGAGCAGGTGGGTCCAATGAACGAATGACTCTGACCAGAGTCAGCAGAGAGATGGGAGTCGCCTCCCCCACAGCCCCCAGCCTGTGCCCCTGAGGCCCAGTGAGGCCCCTGATGGTGTGAGGCTCCTCCGTGAACAGCAGCCTGAGAACAGTGCTTCTCAAACCCAGCTGTATCACCCGTGGTCCTTGTTAAAACACAGCCCACCAGGGCCCTCCAGAAGTGTCTGATCCACAGGTGCACGTCAGGCAGGAGACTCAGGAGCTCTGGTGACCTCCGGGTGATGCTGAGGCTGCCAGGCTGGGGACCCACTCAGACTCTGGCCTTGGAGCCAGGTCTCAGAGGCTTCAGGCGTCCTGCTCAGGGTGCCAGCGGTCATGTAGCGCCAAGGTGCTGGCAGAGGCTGGGGTCAGGACTAAGAGGGCAGGGCAGGAGCAAGGAGAGGCTGGGGTCAGGACTTCCAGCCAGGAAGGCAGGGCAGGAGCAGGTGCAGACCCGGGGCAGCCTCTGGGAGGGCGGGTGGGGTCAGAGCCGCTTGGCTTTCCCAGTCACGTTCCCTGGAGCGGGAGGGATCTGTTAATAGCTCTGAAAAGTGAAAATCCCACGGATCTGATTTTGCCTGTGCGGAAGGTTGCCGTGGGCGCCTCGCAGCAGGATTTCTGGAGCTCTCATCTTCCCTGTCTCTTATCTCCAGCGTGGCCTCATATCTTCTTTCACAAAGAATTCCTTCCAAGAGGCAGGATTGCTTGATCCCACCAGGAAGCAAGGACAAACGATGAAGAAACTGGTAAAAGTGTGGAGACGCCCGGCCTGCGGCTGCAGGGCTCAAGACCAAATCCCTCTAAACGCACTGTGGGATGGAGCCACCAGTGGTCCCTGTAGCTGCACTGGGGGTCACAGGAGCGGCCGGTGCTGCCACAGCCCAGGGGCCAGAGATGGGGCCTCCAGCCTGGGAAGCCAGCGGGGCCTTCAGACGGGCACCCGGAGAGTTTGCTCTGCTCTTCCCACCCCCAATGCCCTGGCTTCCCCGACAGCCCCATGCCGGGCACCATGCAGGCAGGGAAGGAGAGGCCCAGCGCCAGGCGCTGTGCAGGCAGGGAAGGAGAGGCCCAGTGCCGGGCGCCGTGCAGGCCGAGAGCCAAAGTCTGTGCAGACTGTTGTGGGTTGAATTGTGTCCTCCAGAAAAACAGGCAGAGTCCCAGCCCTGGGGACCTGTGAACAGGATCTTATCTGGAAACGGTCTTCGCTGACGTCATCAAGGTAAGAGGAGGTAGTGCGGGAGTCGGGTGGGCTCTGAGCCAAACATGGTATGTCCTTCTTAGAAGATGAGACACAGAGACACACGCAGAGAAGGGGCACACACGTGAGGGTGGAGGCAGAGACCGGAATGATGTGGCCCCCAGCCAGGGATGCCCAGGTCACCAGGAGCTGGAAGAGGCAGGAAGGATCCTCCCCTGGAGACTATGGAGGGAGCGTGGCCCAGCCAGCACCGTGATTCTGGACCGCCGGCCTCCAAACAGGGAGAGCCTCCAAAAGGGAGAGCCTCCGAACAGCGAGAGCTTCCGAACAGGGACAGCCTCTGAACAGGGACGGCCTCCGGAACAGGGAGAGCCTCCGAACAGGGAGAGCCTCCGAACAGGGACGGCCTCCGAACAGGGACGGCCTCCGGAACAGGGAGAGCCTCCGAACAGGGAGAGCCTCCGAACAGGGACGGCCTCCGAACAGGGACGGCCTCCGAACAGGGACGGCCTCCGGAACAGGGAGAGCCTCCAAACAGGGACGGCCTCCGGAACAGGGAGAGCCTCCGGAACAGGGAGAGCCTCCAGAACAGGGAGAGCCTCTGAACAGGGAGAGGCTCCGGAACAGGGAGAGCCTCCGAACAGGGAGAGCCTCCGAACAGGGAGAGCCTCTGAACAGGGAGAGCCTCTGAACAGGGACGGCCTCCGAACAGGGAGAGCCTCCGGAATAGGGACGGCCTCCGAACAGGGAGAGTGTCCGTTTCTGTTGGTCTAAGCCACGCAGTCTGTGGTGATCTGTCACGGCAGCCCCAAGAGATGACCGCACAGCCTCATGCTCACGCCAGCCGTCCAGCCCACTCAGACCAGCGGACACAGGTCTGTCTGGGATCCAAGAGCAGGAGATGCCCACGCTCACCACCCCATCCACTGATGGCCCAGCTGTGGGCTCTTCCCCGGATCTCATGGGTGTCTTCCTGGGCTGCGTGATATCAATCCCAAGTTTTCCTCTTTGAAATCCCAGCTTCCTCCTCCAGACAGAATCAACACTGCAAGCTTGTCATCTTATCCTTGAATAAGATGTAATTTTGAGAATAATGGGAAATTTGCATCTATTAGCTCAGCCTTTGAAAGGTCTGTCCCACAACTTTCATGAAAAACAAACCAAGCTCAATATCCTGCTGTTCTGAGGTCACAGGCTGGTGGTGACAGCTGACCTGTCACACACCAACTTTCAGCACCATTCCTCAAATGTGGCAATTCACAAGAAAAGACCTTATTTCTCACACTCTGGGAGGCTGGGAAGTCCAAGATGAAGAGGCACGGATCTGACTTCGGCCTCTGTGCTGTGTCATCCCATGTGGACGGCGAGAGCACACACGCATTGGGGGCTGGGCGGGGGGAGGGTGGAACTCTTCCTTCCATCAGGAGCCCACTCCCACACAAACCAACTCACTCCCAAGATACCCAACTCACTCCTGAAATAACAAAGCCACTCCTCAGATAACCAACACATTCCCGAAATAAACAACACACTCCCGAGATGACCAAGTCACTCCCAACACAACCAGCTCACTCCTGAGATACCCAAACTCACTCCCATGATAACTAACTCACTCCGAAGATGACCAACTCACTCCCGAGATAACCAACTCACTCCCAAGATGATCAAGTCACTCCCACCACAACCGACTCACTCCCAAGATACCCAAACTCACTCCCATGATAACCAACTCACTCCCACAATAACCAACTCACTCTGAGATGACCAAGCCACTTCCATCATAACCAACTCACTCGAGATAACTAACTCACTCCCAGGATAATCAAGACACTGCCAAGATAACCAACTCACTCCCATGATAATGAAGTCACTCCAGAGATGACCAACTCACTCCCAAGATGACCAAGCCACTCCCGAGATAACCAACTCACTCCCATGATAACCAACTCACTCCTACAATAACCAACTCACTCCTGAGACAATAAAGCCGCTCCCGAGATAACCAACTCACTCTGAGATGACCAAGTCACTCCTGAGATGACTGAGTCTCTCCCAAGATGACCAAGCCACTCCCACAATAACCAATCACTCCCGAGATAAACAAGCCACTCCTGAGATAGCCAACTCACTCCTGAGATAACCAACTCACTCCCATGATAACCAGCTCACTTCTGAGATGACTGAGTCTCCCCCAAGATGACCAAGCCATTCCCACCATAACCAACTCACTCCTGAGATAACCAACTCGTTCCCAAGATAAGCAAGCCACTCCCAAGATAACCAACACACTCCCATGAAAACCAACTCCCTCCTGAGACAACCAAACCGATCCCACAATAACCAACTCACTCTCATAATAACCAACTCACTCCCAAGAAAACTAACTCACTTCTGAGAAAACCAACTCCCAAGATTACCAACTCACTCCCGAGATAACCAATTCACTCCCATGATAACCAACTCACTCCTAGACAACCAAGCCAATCCCACAATAATCAACTCACTCTCATAATAACCAACTCACATCCAAGAAAACTCACTCACTCCTGAGAAAATCAACTCCCAAAATTACCAACTCACTCCTGAGATAACCAATTCACTCCCATGATAACCAACTCACTCCCACAATAACCAACTAACTCCTGAGATAACCAAGTCATTCCCAAGATACCTAGCCCACTCCTGAGATAACTAACCCACTCTCATGATAACCAACCCATTATTCTGATAACTAACTCGTTCCCAAGGAAACCCACTCCCAAGTTAACTAACCCATTCCCATGATGACCATTGCACCTCAGAGACAACCAAGTCACTCCTGAGATAACCCAGTCCCATGATAACTAACCCATTCCCACCACACTTAACCCACCCATGAGATAAACAAGCCACGGCTGAGATAACCCACTCCCATGATAACTAACCTGCTCCCACCATACCTAATCCACTCCTGATAACCAAGCCACTCCTGAGATAATCCACTCCTATAACTAACCTGCTCCCACCATACCTAACCCACCCGAGATAACCAAACCACTCCTGAGATAACTCACTCCCATAACTAACCCACTCCCACCACACCTAACTCATCCCTGAGATAACCAAGCCACTGCTGAGATAACCCACTCCCATGATAACTAACCTGCTCCCACCACACCTAACCCATCCCTGAGATAACCAAGCCACTCCTGAGATAACTCACTCCCATAACTAACCCACTCCCACCACACCTAACCCACCCCTGAGATAACCAAGCCACTGCTGAGATAACCCACTCCCATGATAACTAACCCACTCCCACCACACCTAACCCACCCCCAACACACCTAACCCATCCCTGAGATAACCAACCCACTCCTGAGATAACTCACACCCATAACTAACCCACTCTCACCACACCTAAACCATCCCTGAGATGACCAAGCCACTCCTGAGATAACCCACTCTCATAACTAACCCACTGCCACCACACCTAACCCATCCCAGAGATAAACAACCCACTCCTGAGATAAATCACTCCCATAACTAACCCACTCGGACCACACCTAACCCATCCCTGAGATGACCAAGCCACTCCTGAGATAACTCACTCCCATACCTCACCCACTCCCACCACACCTAACCCACCCGAGATAACCAAGCCACTGCTGAGATAACCCACTCCCATGATAACTAACCCACTCCCACCACACCTAACCCACCCCCAACACACCTAACCCACCCCTGAGATAACCAACCCACTCCTGAGATGACTCACTCCCATAACTAACCCACTCCCACCACACCTAACCATACCTGAGATGACCAAGCCACTCCTGAGATAACTCACTCCCATAACTCACCCACTCCCACCACATCTAACCCATCCCTGAGATAACCAAGCCACTGCTGAGATAACCCACTCCCATGATAACTAACCCACTCCCACCACACCTAACCCATCCCTGAGATGACCAACCCATTCCTGAGATAACTCACTCCCATAACTAACCCACTCCCACCACACCTAACCCACCCCTGAGATGACCAAGCCACTCCTGAGATAACTCACTCCCATAACTCACCCACTCCCACCACATCTAACCCATCCCTGAGATAACTAAGCCACTGCTGAGATAACCCACTCCCATGATAACTAACCCACTCCCACCACACCTAACCCATCCCTGAGATGACCAACCCATTCCTGAGATAACTCACTCCCATAACTAACACACTCCCACCACACCTAACCCATCCCTGAGATGACCAAGCCACTGCTGAGATAACCCACTCCCATGATAACTAACCCACTCCCACCACACCTAACCCATCCCTGAGATGACCAACCCACTCCTGAGATAACTCACTCCCATAACTAACCCACTCCCACCACACCTAACCCACCCCTGAGATGACCAACCCACTCCTGAGATAACTCACTCCCATAACTAACCCACTCCCACCACACCTAACCCATCCCTGAGATAACCAAGCCACTGCTGAGATAACCCACTCCCATGATAACTAACCCACTCCCACCACACCTAACCCACCCCTCAGATGACCAACCCACTCCTGAGATAACTCACTCCCATGATAACTAACCCACTCCCACCACACCTAACCCATCCCTGAGATGACCAGCCCACTCCTGAGATAACTCACTCCCATGATAACTAACCCACTCCCACCACACCTAACCCATCCCTGAGATAACCAAGCCACTCCTGAGATAACTCACTCCCATAACTAACCTGCTCCCACCACACCTAACTCATCCCTGAGATAACCAAGCCACTGCTGAGATAACCCACTCCCATGATAACTAACCCACTCCCACCACACCTAACCCACCCCTGAGATGACCAAGCCACTCCTGAGATAACTCACTCCCATAACTAACCCACTCCCACCACATCTAACCCATCCCTGAGATGACCAAGCCACTCCTGAGATAACTCACTCCCATAACTCACCCACTCCCACCACACCTAACGCACCCCTGAGATAACCAAGCCACTGCTGAGATAACCCACTCCCATAACTAACCCACTCCCACCACATCTAACCCATCCCTGAGATGACCAAGCCACTCCTGAGATAACTCACTCCCATAACTCACCCACTCCCACCACACCTAACGCACCCCTGAGATAACCAAGCCACTGCTGAGATAACCCACTCCCATGATAACTAACCCACTCCCACCACACCTAACCCACCCCTGAGATGACCAAGCCACTCCTGAGATAACTCACTCCCATAACTAACCCACTGCCACCACACCTAACCCATCCCTGAGATAACCAAGCCACTCCTGAGATAACTCACTCCCATGATAACTAACCCACTCCCACCACACCTAACCCACCCCCACCACACCTAACCCACCCCTGAGATAACCAACCCACTCCTGAGATAACTCACTCCCATAACTAACCCACTCCCACATTAAGGGCATTAACCCCTTGGAGAGGGCAGAGCCCCTGCAGACCTCTCTCAATGCCATGGTGGGGGTGAAGCTTCCCATGTGGGGGCAGCGGGCGACGCATTCACAGCACAGCACTGACCGTTCCTCGTGCAGGCGTTGCACAAGCTTTGCTTCCTTTAATCCCCAGGGTTCCCTCCGAGCCAGCTGCTTTTGTCACCCCCATGTAACTGATGAGACTCCTGAGGCTGAAGTTTGGGCCCATGGCCAGGAGGCAGTGAGCCCCAGCCACACTCCGTCACAGTGCTCCGAACTGCAAAGCTCTCAAAGAGGGTGTCCAAAGGGACCAAGAAAGGCACCACCCCTGTATGGTGGCAGGCAAAGGCGTTAAATAGCCACTAAACCATGGTCGCTCCACTTTCAGGAGAGGAAGGGCATCCTCTCCCAAAGAAGCAGGTGACAGTGCCTGCCTGGCCTTGGGGACCACGGCTGTGCTTCCACTCCGCGCCCTGTTTCACAGACAGAAGTGCTGCTGTGGTGGGCACGTGGGAATGGTCCATACGAGAACCACACAGGGGTTTCTGAGCCAGACCAAGGTGCCAGCTGGACACTTCCCCTCCGGGGCACATAAAGGGTCCCTGTCCATGGGGCTGCCCCATCGTCGGCCCCTGCCCCTCCCAATTCCACCCGGAGGTAGGGATGGCTGTGCGAACATTCACCGCCGGCACAGCAGGAGGACTGCCTGGTGGCCGCGGAAAAGGAACATGCCATGTGGACACATTCAGGTTGAACCAGCCCTTGGAGGAGGGACCTGGGGCCCCACTCGCTGGCCAGAGAGGGAGGCCAAGCCCTCCCTGGCAAATGCAGCCTCCCCCATGCCCTGCACAACCTTCATGACCCTGGACAGGGCAGGTGATTTGGATGCGGCTCCAGGGGGGCACGGAACATTTGTGTGCCACCTTCAAGATGGAGGGGTCTGCATTTTGCTTTTTGCCTCCACATAAAGTTATGGCCACAGATGCCTTCTGTGCCGTCAGAGGTAGAATTCAATTGCAGTCGTAGCAATGACCTTCCAACCACTAGGTAACATCCATCAGACGCTTGTCCACAGAAACACCTGCCTGACAACCCCGAGGGGCTCACGTGTTTATCACTTATTTATTAATTACATATTTAGGATTGCTTATTTCAGAAATTGAACCACTGTGTCAAAGATAGAGAAATTTCATGAATCTTGGTGCCAAGTCATTTTCCAGAAGGTTTAGATTAGTTTTGTTTCACTGCCAGCAATATATGCTTCCACTACTTTAATTAGAAAGTGCATCACTTCTGATTGGAAAAGTCATAAATGCTTTTGGTAGAAAATTCTACACACACACACACACACACACACACACACACACACACAGGATCACCTGGGGTCTCTTGCTGCAGGGAAAACTAGTATCAGTATTTTCACACTCCATATTATTCTGTAAGATCACGTAATGCCTCAGCGCAGTTCGATCCATGTATCTGGTGTCTGCCGCCTGCATTCTGTTTTTATCACTACGTCTTGAGTATTTCCCCACGTCACTAAAAATTCTTCATAAACATAACTTTGATGGCTGCAAACATAAAATGTCAATTTGTAGCCGTGCCATTTATTCACCCATCCATTATCAAAACTCACGGAGCGTCTGCTAAATTCCAAGAGCTGCCTGGGTGGGGCAGGTCCAGGTGGCCCTGGTGAACGCAGCACACACCTGCCTGCCCCCCAGAGCTCATGCCCCATCATGCCCACAGGTGAACAGGTGCCAGCCCAGGGCAGCCGCTTCCACGCAGGTGTGGGTCAGAGGCAGGGGCAGGATCCCCAGGAAGAGGAGTCGGAGGGAAGAGAAAGGCCAGGAGGGCAGGAAGGTGTCCTGTGAGTGGCTGCGCATGCAGGTCAGGGCTGTGGCAGCAGAAAGGGGACGGGACGGGGTGGGAGCTTTCTGTGCCGCTGGGATCTTGCTTTGAGCCTTGTAGGAAGTGGGAGCGCAGAGGAGCTTTGAGCTGAGAGGGAGAGAGGAGGGTGGGCACAGTGGTCAGGTTTTCTATGCAGAGGGACCACTCCGGTGACCGTCTAAGGGGGGCGAGGGTGGAACCCAGGGGCCTGTGCAGAGTCTGATGCTCCGATCAGCCCTGGGGTGAGACGGTGTGTGGACATGGAAGACGCGGTTTCCCACCCTCTGTCTGTCTCTCTCTCGGGAAAGCCTCCCTGTGTATTTCAGGACTAGCCGTCCCCATGCACACTGTGGCTGTCACCCCTGTGGCCTTCACCCGGTAGTCCCCGTCAGACCCTCCACCGCCGGGATGCAGTGACTGCCCAAGGCTGGGCAGGCGCCCTGAGTGGATTCGTCACCAGGAGAGAGGCCCCCACCCCGGGCACCTTGAGCAGCACAGGGCCACCAGGGCATCTTCATTTAACACGAGAGGCAGCTGCCCAGAATCCACCACCAAAAACGGAAGCAGAGGAGAGATGAGAAGCAGCACCCTCTCCGGGGCACAGCCTCGCCCGGGCACACCCTCACCCGGGCACAGCCTCGCCCGGGCACACCCTCGCCCGGGCACACCCTCGCCCGGACACACCCTCACCCGGGCACAGAATCGCCCAGACACACCCTCGCCTGGGCACACCCTCACCCGGGCACAGCCTCACCCGGGCACACCCTCACCCAGACACAGCCTCGCCCGGGCACACCCTCGCCCGGGCACACCCTCGCCCGGACACACCCTCACCCGGGCACAGAATCGCCCAGACACACCCTCGCCTGGGCACACCCTCACCCGGGCACAGCCTCACCCGGGCACACCCTCACCGGGGCACACCCTCACCCGGGCACACCCTCACCCAGACACACCCTCACCCGGGCACACCCTCACCGGGGCACACCCTCACCCGGGCACACCCTCACCCAGACACACCCTCACCCGGGCACACCCTCACCGGGGCACACCCTCACCCGGACACACCCTCGCCCAGACACACCCTCGCCTGGGCACAGCCTCACCGGGGCACACCCTCACCCAGACACAGCCTCGCCCAGACACACCCTCGCCCGGGCACACCCTCACCTGGGCACAGCCTCACCGGGGCACACCCTCACCCAGACACAGCCTCACCTGGGCACACCCTCTCCGGGGCACACCCTCGCCCGGACACACCCTCACCCGGGCACACCCTCACCTGGGCACAGCCTCACCGGGGCACACCCTCACCCAGACACAGCCTCACCCGGGCACACCCTCTCCGGGGCACACCCTCGCCCGGACACGCCCTCACCGGGGCACACCCTCACCCAGACACGCCCTCACCCAGACACGCCCTCACCTGGGCACATCCTCACCGGGGCACACCCTCACCCAGACACACCCTCACCCGGGCACACCCTCGCCCGGGCACACCCTCGCCCGGACACACCCTCACCCGGGCACAGAATCGCCCAGACACACCCTCGCCTGGGCACACCCTCACCCGGGCACAGCCTCACCCGGGCACACCCTCACCGGGGCACACCCTCACCCAGACACGCCCTCACCCGGGCACAGCCTCGCCCGGGCACACCCTCGCCCGGGCACAGCCTCGCCCGGGCACACGCTCACCCAGACACACCCTTGCCCGGGCACACCCTCGCCCGGACACACCCTCACCCGGGCACAGAATCGCCCAGACACACCCTCACCGGGGCACACCCTCGCCCGGACACGCCCTCACCCGGGCACAGCCTCACCCGGGCACAGCCTCACCGGGGCACACCCTCGCCCGGACACACCCTCACCCGGGCACAGCCTCGCCCGGGCACACCCTCGCCCAGACACACCCTCACCTGGGCACAGCCTCACCGGGGCACACCCTCACCCAGACACAGCCTCGCCCGGGCACACCCTCACCCGGGCACACCCTCGCCCAGACACACCCTCACCTGGGCACACCCTCGCCCGGGCACACCCTCGCCCGGGCACACCCTCACCCGGGCACAGAATCGCCCAGACACACCCTCACCGGGGCACACCCTCGCCCGGACACGCCCTCACCGGGGCACACCCTCACCCAGACACGCCCTCACCCAGACACGCCCTCACCCGGGCACACCCTCACCCGGGCACACCCTCACCCGGGCACATCCTCACCGGGGCACACCCTCACCCAGACACACCCTCACCCGGGCACAGAATCGCCCAGACACACCCTCACCTGGGCACACCCTCACCCGGGCACAGCCTCACCCAGACACGCCCTCACCCGGGCACAGCCTCGCCCGGGCACACCCTCGCCTGGGCACAGCCTCGCCCGGGCACACGCTCACCCAGACACACCCTTGCCCGGGCACACCCTCGCCCGGACACACCCTCACCCGGGCACAGAATCGCCCAGACACACCCTCACCGGGGCACACCCTCGCCCGGACACGCCCTCACCGGGGCACACCCTCACCCAGACACGCCCTCACCCAGACACGCCCTCACCCGGGCACACCCTCACCCGGGCACACCCTCACCCGGGCACATCCTCACCGGGGCACACCCTCACCCGGGCACACCCTCACCCGGGCACAGAATCGCCCAGACACAGCCTGACCTGGGCACACCCTCACCCGGGCACACCCTCACCGGGGCACACCCTCACCCGGGCACAGCCTCACCCGGGCACACCCTCACCCGGGCACACCCTCACCGGGGCACACCCTCACCCAGACACGCCCTCACCCGGGCACAACCTCACCCGGGCACACCCTCACCCGGGCACACCCTCACCCGGACACGCCCTCGCCCGGGCACAGCCTCGCCTGGACACACCCTCACCTGGGTACATCCTCGCCTGGGCACAGCCTTGCCTGGGTGGCCTCCTGGAGCTCAGTTTGGGGAATGTTTGGTCTCAGTGGGCCCTGAGAGGGAAGCCAGTGAGGCCCTCGGGTGGAGAGCGCGGCCCGAGTGCAGATGTGAGTGCCAGGCCTGGGGTTTCCCTACTGGCTCCTCACAGCACTGGGTGATGGGGACCAGGGAGCCCTGGGTGGGGCTTGGGTCCAAAGGAGCTGAGTCAGGGCTGGCAGCACAGCCTTTAGGACAGTGGCTCTCACAGTGGCACCTGGGCCGGGGGGCTCACGGCGGGGCCCACCCTCAGGACAGGGGGGCTCATGGCGGGGCCCAGACTCAAGACAGTGGCTCCCGCCCTCAGGACAGCAGCGGCCACCTCACCTGGGAGCCTGTGGGGACCACACGTTCTTGAGACCCTCCCCAAACCTGCCGGGTCAGAGCCCCCGTGGGGGGCCTGCAGGGGACCCTTACACAGGCAGCGTTGGAAGCGGCTGTCCGCACCGGAACCGCCTGCGGAGTGTGAGGGCGCCGGCACCTGCCCGGGCCTCCCCACGGAGCTGACATAACTGCCGGGGCGTGGCCTGGACGCCGGACGGTCTAAACCATCCCCAGGTGACTCTCAAGCGCAGAGCAATGGGAGCTGCTGTCCGGGATGGCGAGGAGTCAGCCTGGCTCCAGGGCCCTGGCCAGGAGGCGACCCACTCAGGGGCGCCCCGGAGCCATGCAGAGAGGCCTGTTGGGGGTGGTTCTCCTGGGGTCTGGGGGCCGAGGTCCAGGTGGGCGGGCAGAGCGGGGGTCTAGACTGTGGGCAACAAGTTCTTAAGGCGAAGTCAGTTCGGACATAGTGGCTTGGAGGACACAGGTGCGTCTCCAGGCCTTTCTGGGTACCCCCACCTGCCCCGGCATTGCTGACGGAGTGCCATGGGGCACCCACTTTCCCCAGGACGTTCTCCACGCCTTCCCCCCTGCTCAGAGCCAGGGACACCGCTTGGTTTTGGAGGCAGTGATGTGACTTGCGCGAGGAAAAGCAGCTTCCTTTCGAGATTCAGGGCTGAACACAAGGCTCCCTCCCCGCCATTCATCATCACTGCGGTAATGGAAAAGATGGCTCACTTCCGCGCACACCCGCCGCGTGCCCGTGGTCATTCTGCTTTTACGGAATCGTCATTTGAAGTTCCTTTCCCATGACCCGAGGGAGCGCACTGTTCTAATTACGGGAGATAATCTGGAAGACAATCACAGGGGAGGAGACGGCTGTCTGGGAGCGTGGCGGGGAATCTGATTTCCATGGGGGCTGACTCTGTGAGTAGATGGCCAGGTGGGGGTGATCTGGGCTGTGAGGGGACCTGTGCCCGCTTCCCAGCCACCTCCTCTCGATGGACCCTGAGGAGAGCAGTCAGGGAAGTTGAAGGATGAACAGATTGTCACTTGGCATGTGTGTCTGGGGCAATGGGGAGTGGTGGGGACTGCGGCTCAGACCCACGGATTACTGCCACCCAGGGACTCGGGTCCAGAGATGCCAGATCTTCTAAAATTCCAACAGGAAGTGCCAGTGTACAGATTTATATCTCTACATGTCAGCAGTGGATTCACATTTTGGAAGAAATGGCATTAAGTTAACAAATACGCACTGGGTCTATCTAGATCTGTTCATTAGGCAGGACAGCTGTGGTGGGATAAATAACCGATTCCAAAGGCATCAGGTTCTGATGTCTGGAACCCATGAGTCTGTCAATTTCCATGGTCAAAGGGACTTTACAGACGAGATTAAGTTAGAGACCCTGAGACGGAGAGTGCCCTTGATCACCCAGGTGCACCCTGAATACAATCACCAGTGTCTTATAAGAGAGAAGCGGGCCGGACACAGTGGCTCACGCCTGTAATCTCAGCACTGTGGGAGGCCAAGGCGGGTGGATCACCAGGTCAGGAGTTCAAGACCAGCCTGACCAACATGATGAAACCTCATCTCTACTAAAAAAAAAAAAAAAATAGTTGGGTGTGGTGGCGGGCGCCTGTAGTCTCAGCTACTCGGGAGGCTGAGGCAGGAGAATCACCTGCACCTAGGAGGCAGAGGTTGCAGTGAGCTGAGATCACACCAATGCACTCCAGCCTGGGCGACAGAGTGAGACTCCGTCTCAAAACAAACAAACAACAACAACCACAAAAAACAAGTGTCTTATGAGAGAGAAGTGGGCTGGGCGCAGTGGCTCACACCTGTAATCCCCGCACACTGGGAGGCTGAGCCAGGAGAATCACTTGACCTTAGGAGGCTGTGGCTGCAGTGAGCTATGATCACGCCACTGCACTCCAGCCTGGGCAACAGAGTGAGACCCTGTCTCAAAAAAAAAAAAACAAAAAAACACACAAACAAGAAAAAGACACATGGAGGGAGATTCGACACAGACAGAAGAGGAAACAGCTGCGTGTGACGGAGGCAGAGGGTGCAGCAGCGTGGCCAACGGCGCCTGGAGCCCCAGGAGCTGGGAGGGAAGGACAGACCCTCCCTGCGGCCTCTGGAGGCTGCACAGCCCTGCCCATAGCTCAGCTGTAGCTCAGTGAAATCCACTCTGGGCGTCTGGATGCCAGAGCTGTGAAAGAAGAAATGTGTGTCATTTTAGGCTGCCCCGTCTGTGGTGAGCTGTGACAGCAGCCCCAGGAAAATAATACAGGAGGCTAAGCTGGTGCAGCAAGCAGACCCCGAAACACCCTGCCCCGGGCCCCAGCGCTGCCCTTGCTGGGTGCTGCCGCCCATTCTGTTTGCTGGTCTCGTTCCAGCAGCCCCCAGGTGGTGCCTGCACCTACCGGGTTCCCAGACACTGCTAAAGGCAGGGGGAGGCCTTGCGGGATGTGGGGCAGCCCCACGAACGCAGGGTGGGCCGGGGAGGTAAGGTGGGGTGGGAGGGACCCTCGACCGCCAGGGCTTTCCCAGGCCAGGGCTGAGACAAAGAGAGGGGCCCGGGACCCACCTGGCACCTCGGGGTGCCCATCCTGTAATCCTCACACTGCCCACGATGTCAGCACCATGCTGTCCCCATTGCATAGACAGTGAGGCTCACCGTGGCCATGCAGACCTACCAGGCTGAGACTCCTGGGCCCTTCTGAGCCACGTGTGCACCGGCCGTCCTCACACCTCACCCACGGGGCTCGGGATGGCCGCACTCACGCCTTACCCACAGGGCTCGGGATGGCCGCACTCACGCCTCACCCACGGGGCTCGGGATGGCCGCACTGTGACTTCCGTGCCTGAGAAGGCAGGAGGCGGCTGTGGAGCAGGGGTCAGCTGGTGCCCGGGAGGACGCTGACAACCCCGCCCCTCTGCCCCCAACCAGGGAGGTTCCTAGAGCCCCTATTTATGGCCCTGCAGGGCGGTGGGCAGAACCCGGCCCCACCCATTCAGCCCACATCCACCGGGCTGCAGGCGTGTCTGTCCCACGCGACACTCTCAGAATCCTGAGTTTTTGCCAACATTGAAACCCCCGTAGATTTCACCTGAAACCCTGGAGTTTCCACTTCCTCGGGAGGATCCAGCAATCTGACAGCCTGGATCTGCCATGCGGGGCAGAGATGGGCTGGAGTGGATGATGGCCCCGGGACACCCACGGCTGACTGGCCCCACCCCTCTAGCTGCCCGTGGACCTCACGCAGCCGCCCTGGAGGTCGAGGGGTCGTGCCCCAGTTTAGATGAATGCAGCAGGATGGTGGGTTGAATGAGGGCCCCAAAAGCTATCTCCACTCTGAACCTGTGGATGTGGGAGTAAGGTCTTTCCAGGTATAATTAAGGTAAGGATTTCAAGATGAGGTCATCCTGGACTCGGGGCAGCGGGGTGTAAATCCAGTAAGAAGCATCCTGATTAGAAAATGAGAGGGCTCGGATAGTCACAGGCAGAAAAGAGAGGCCACATGATGTCAGAGGCAGAGACGATGCCACGACTGCCCAGTGTCCCCTGAGCAGGACAGGCCTGCAGCAGACCTAGGCCCCCAGGGGAGCTGCCCCTGCCGGCACCGTGACTTTGGACTTCCGGCCTCCAGAACAGAGAGAGCGTAAGTCTCCATTGTGTACAGCCACCCGGTCTGTGGTCAGTGCTACAGCAGCACCAAGAATCGCACAGGAGGGCAGAGAAAGAGACCATGCCAGGAGGGCAGTTAGAGGGCAAGGGCCCAGCAGACGCCCGGGCCACCACCCGTCCCCTGTTCTTCAGCAGCAGAACGACAGTTTGCTTGATGGCAGCGGGCGCAGGTGAAACCCCGGCCTCCCCGGGTGACCTCGCCGCTGAGGGTGGCGCCCGACCAACACCCAGTCAGCAAGACTCGAGTGGAACTTGCTGGGTGGAATTTCTGAGAAATATGTCTAAAAAAGGAGACTGCTGGAATCTGAGGTTTTCACCTTTTATCCACAGCCCTGTACTGTTTTTCGTGCCTGGAACCAGGACTCAATGCTCGGGGCTGGAGCAGCCAATGTGTGACCATGAGACCGAATGCCTCCAGCAGGAGGGGAGGAGCTGGGATTCACGTGGGGCTGGGCTTGTGAGGGTGCCACCAGCCCTCCAGGTCTCACCGGCCACACCGCGGTTCGGCATTTCAGTTGGGGTCGGTAACACGCAGAAGTAAAGGAACTGAGGCATGCAAAGGCCAGGACTGTCAGGGACTCTGAGTTCCCTCACCCAGAGGAGCCGGGGCTGAGTGCCAGGAGTGAGAGCGCACCCACGTGAGGTCAGGCTGCCTCCCACCCAACAGCCCCACCCAGAAGGACGGGGCCGGCCATCTCCTGGAGGCTGAGAGCCCTCCGGGAAAGCAGGCATTTCTGCCGGCTTCCTCTGTGTCCCTGCCCCCTGAAGAGTCATTTCACACTTGGCCGCCTGCTTTCCCAGCACACGATACCTGGGATATGTGGGCGGCTGTGATTTTTCAACTTGGAAGGAAGTGGGCTTTCAAGCTCCCAGCTTCTCTTTGAGTCACTGATTTCCATCTGTTACAGTGACTGAAGCCAATATTCTGAGAGAGGAAACAGCACAAATTGAGAGGCGGCCGGGCACAAGATAATCGGGGAGGAAGGGGCAGAGGGAGCGCGCGCTGGGAAGGTGGGAGCCACGCTGTCCTCCCACGCAAAGAGGAACTAGGTGTGGCTGTGGCCTGAGGGAGGTGATCCCCAAACAGCCCAAACCCGGCTGTCCTGTTTTGGAGCCTCCGCCTGTCCACAGCCATCCTTCAGGGCACCCACTCTCCCTGGGCACACGGTTCAGGGCACCCGCTCTCCCTGGGCATGTGGCGCTGGCAGCCCAAGACAGGGACTCGGCCGCAGCTAAAGTTTCCCATAATTGCGGCCTCTGTGAGCCAGACCAACCTGCCTCCCGCTGAAAAGCACTAAGAATACTGGATTTAAACAACAACATCAACTTCTAAAAAGCAATAAATACCTGACAAGATGGCAAGAAATTGCTAGGCCAGAAGTGAAGGGAAAATGGGAATCAGAGAAATGAGTGGGCCTGCAATTTGCTTTTTCCCTAAGAGGGTGTTCTGAATACTGTGACTTTGACATTTCAAAGAGGGAGAAAGGGGGAAGAAATCAGAGGTGCCAAATAGAAAACTCTCCCTCCGTAAACAGGGGTGAGGGTGAAGCACTGGGGGACCTGCCTTCAGGATGTGCAGCCTCGGCGTGGTCCAAGCAACCATCAAGGCCTGAACTCGGCGTTAGAGGAGCAGCACGGGCAGGGGCAGCAGGGGCAGGGGTAGCACAGGCAGCCCCCAGGAGCCTAGAGGAGCAAACAACCCTCTCCAGAGGGGAGTGCCTCCAGCCTAGGCCTCGGGTTATGCCTGCAACTCAATGTTCAACAACAATGACCAGCACACAGTCAAACGTAACAAGGCACACAAGGGAAAGAGACACTGTGAGCAAGTGCCGGCAGAGAGAGCAGATGTGGACTCCAGGCCAGGGCAGCTGCCGTGGGACAGCGGGCCCTCCCTCCACCCTCAGATCCCAGGACACCAGCAGCCTCCACCGTGACCTTTGTCCAGCAAGCAGGACTCCACCCTGTTTGTAGTGAGGGAACCAGCAGCACCATCACCTTCCGGCAATCCAGGCCCTGCGTCCTTCGTGTGCGTGCGACCTTGGCTGTCCACTTCAGGGAGTGTGGAGGGTGGAGGGGAGTGTGGAAGCTACAGCAGGCAGAGTGTCCCACCAGCTCCCTTGCCCCTCTCTTTATTTCCACTATAAAAATGTAAACCAATTTAACGTGCCTGGCTATTAATTTTGATGATTACAAAGTGAAGATAAAAAAGAGAGACCCTGGTTTGCCTTTGTAGATAATGTCTCTCTCTCCCAGCTTCAATTTTATCCACTCTCTCCAAATACAACAGCTAATTTCATTACAGACTGGTCTTTTAAGATTACCTGGGGACCCAAACTAATAACATATTGTCAATAGTGAAAAGACTGACTGCCCTTCTGATACCATGAAGTCATGAATATTTTGCAGGACATGGCAATACCTGTAAAATATATTCTCACTGAGACTAATACAGCGTTTGATAAATCTTCATACATAATACTTGTGTTCAACGAATATGAATATTTATGGGGCCAAAGCAAGGGAGATAGGGAATGACTGGAAGTATCTGGGGAGAAGGATTTCCTGGCCCTCTGCTTCCCTTTGGAAAGCATGCAGGGCTCTGGAACAACCCACGGCTGCTCCATGCAGCAATAAATGCCAACCTGACCCAGGTTTGGGTTTAAGGGCGGCTGGGAGCAAGGGTGTCCCATCACCTTGGTGGCCACCTCTGAGAGAAGCTGCTGAGAGGACCAGAGTGGTTGGGCCCCCACCCCTCCCCATGCCCACGCTGTCCTCTGATGGTGCACACACCTGGGTCCACTGGGGTCAGCTCTCTGCTCAAATCCTGACTCTGGAATCTCCTGGAAATGCCTGTCCTTTGGACGCAGCCCAGCCTTGAGGGTCAAAGACAGGAGGAGACCTCAGGAACCCACACACGGAGGATGGGAGGGGAAACTGGCCCTGCCCTTGCTGAAGCCCCCAGTGGAGTCCAGGGGACCTGGCTTTCCCTCAGCCGCTTGCTGAAGGAGAGCCTGCCCTGAACCCCTGTTGTCAAGGGGCAGCAGAGGCTCCACGTCTCTGCCCCCAGGGTGGATCCCCTTCTGCCGGGGCCCAAGCCAAAGATGAGGTTGTCAGCCCAAAACTTGTGTCAGTCTGGGCTGCTCAACTCCACATGGATGCACTGGGACCCAACCTGCCTTCCTCGTCTTCTCTCGTAGTCCAGCATTCCAGATCCTGTCTTCCCTTTCTCAATGCTTGTCTGTCCTCACTCTATAGAGTCTCCTACTATATTTATTCACCCTCCACTCATCTACCCACCCATCCATCCACCCACTCACCCACCCATCCACCCACTCACCCATCCATCCACCCATCCACCCACCCATTCATCTCTCCACCTACCTACCCACTCACCCACCCATCCATCCACCCACCCACCCATCCCTCCATACATCTGTACATCCATCCATCCACCCACCCACCTGCCCATCCACCAACTCACCCATCCATCCATCCATCCACCCACCCATTCATCTCTCCACCCACCTACCCATCCACCCATCCATTCACACACCAATCCATCCACCCATCCACTCACCCATCCATCTCTCCACCCACCCACTAATCCACCCATCCACTCACTCACTCACCCATCCACGCACCCATGTATCCACCCTTCTACCCACCTACCCATCCATCCATCCATCCATCCACTCACCCACCCATCCACCCACCTAATCCATCCAGCCATCCATCCATTCACCCACCCACCCATCCACTTACCCACCCACCCATCCACCCACCCATCTACCCACCCATCCATACATCCACCCAAGTACCCAGCCATCCACCCATCCACCCAGACATCCACTCACCCACCCATCCATCCACCTACCCACTTATCCATCCATCCACATATCCACCCATCCACCCACCCACCCATCCATCCATTCACCCACCTACCCATCCACCCACTCATCCATCCACCTGCCTACTCATCCATTCATCCATCCACCCATCCACCCAGCCATCCATCCATACATCCACCCATCCACCCACCCATCCACCCATCCACCCACCCAGCCACCCACCCATCCATCCACATATCTACCCATCCACCCACCCACCCATCCATCCGTACATACATACATACATACGTACATACACCCAACCACCTGCCCATCCACCCACTCACCCATCCACCCACCCATCCATCCACCCATCCATCCACCCACCCACCCATCACCCACCCACCCATACATCCACCCACCCACCCATACATCCATCCACTCACCCACCCATCCACACATCCACCCATCCATCCACCCACCCACCCATACATCCATCCACTCACCCACCCACCCATCCATCCACCTAATCCATCCATCCACCCACACATCCACCCACCCACCCTTCCATCCACCTACCCACCATCATCCATTTATCCATCCACCCACCCACCCATCCATTTATCCATCCACCCACCGACCCATCCCTCCATCCATCCTACCAGTCAATCAATACTTACTAAGCACATACTATACATCAGGCATCATGTTATCTGTCTGTCCAAATCCTGCCCCACTTGAACTCTCTTTCTGTCTCCATCTTTGCTAACTTTTCTGGGACCTACCATGTGGGAGGCACTCTGCCAAGCGCTTCATATGCACCATCTTGTCTAATCTTCTCCATGATCCTGTCATGGAGGGATAATCATTTTTCACATTTCACAGATGAGGAAACCAAGGCTCAGAGAGGAGTAGTGACTTGCCCGAGGTCACCCCATTGGGATTAGGACTCAGATCCATCCAACTCCCAATGTGCAGCTCAAAGATTCCTCTTCCATGAAGCTGTCCTGACCTTCCCCTTCAAAGCAATCCCCTCTCCTGCACCTTAGAGAGCAGAGAGTGCAGGCTGCTGCCCCCCTGCCTGACTGTGAACTCCCAGGGGGCAGCTGCTCAGGGCACTGGGCACACCCTGCTGGGCTCTGCACAGTATGGCAGTCATTCGGTGAATGAAGTGTGAATCGGATCAAACCCTCTCCCCGATGCCCCCTCCAATTTCCCGTGGAATCCTGGCATTCATGCATCTTGGGCAGAGCGGAACTAGCTTCCGTGCAGTGGAGTCGGGCTGGAAGGTCGGGTGGACCTCGGGTGGCGGAAATGAGAAACCACAGTAACATCTGCCGAAGCAGCGCCATCACTTATCAAGCGCGACCGGGTGCCGGGCGCTGCTCCCAGAGCTTTGCAGGCTCCCCTTGTCCAGCGTCCTCACAACAGAGGTGAGTGCTGTTCTCACCCCAATTTACAGATGAGGAAGCTGAGGAGCGGGAGACTGGGCGGCCTGACGGAGGTGGCCCAGGGGGAGGTGGTGGGGCCGGGCTCTGAGTCCAGGCGGCCCAGCGCTCTAGCCACATTTTAACCACAAGGCTCTGCACCGAGCAACTAAGATAATCAGGGTGGCCTCCCCCGTGTCCACTGCAAAGTGCTGGAGCCTCAGAATATAATCAGGGCGGCCTCCCCTGTGTCCACTGCAAAGTGCTCGAGCCTCAGAATATAATCAGGGCGGCCTCCCCCGTGTCCACTGCAAAGTGCTGGAGCCTCAGAATATAATCAGGGCGGCCTCCCCCGTGTCCACTGCAAAGTGCTCGAGCCTCAGAATATTAACAGGCATTTTCCACCATTTTCTCAAAATAGTGTGAAAATAGCCCCTTGCAGAATTCAGACCCCGTCTGTTCTTTTCTGACTTAGAAATAAAATCAGGGCTTGCTGGGTTTCACGCCGGAGCTGCACGCAGAGCTGATGCGACTGAACTATTCTGTGGAAAGTAAAAATAGCCCCTTTCTGCCGTGGGATGTGGGCGAGGTTGCGCCGCGGCTGCTGATCTGAGAAGGTCGCGTCTTCTGGGCCAGTCTCTGTGAAGGCCACCAGTTCGGATCCCAGTTCTGCCATTACCAGGCTGCGCATCCACACTCAGCCCTGGTGTCCTTGCGGGAACACAGGGTCCAGAGACGGCCTTCCACACAGAGCAGAGAGGGCTGAGCCACCCACTCATACTCCCCACCGCGTCACACAGGGTGTGAGTGACACGGCCTCAGGGGAAGACCCCTCTATGCTGGGGCTGCAATAAACCCCTGTGCTGGGCCCATTCCGAGATGCCAATGGGGACTTGGAGCATGAGAAAGCGGACAGCCTCTGGCCCTGAGAACAGTCTCCAGAATGTTCGAGAGTGGAGGGTGGTGGGGACGCGGGGTCCTGGAGAGGGCACGGCAGGCAGGCAGCCCCCGAAACGGCCGCCCACCCCCTCACGCCTGCAGGTCTTGGGTTCCGTCATGTTTCCTCATCAGCCTTTCGCCTCCTCTCTCACTGAAAGAAGAGGCAGGCAGAGGCAGGAGCTGGCCGCGGGCTGGGAGGCGACCCCACAGACCCCAGCGTCCCAGTCCAGGCTCGGCTCTCCAGCAGAGGCATGAAGCTGGATCACAGTCAGTGCCTGCCCCGGGCCCCGACCTGCAAAGGGGGGTGCCATGATTCTCTACCATACAGCCTGTGGGTTCTTCCCCAGCCCGACCCCACGTCCCCATTTCACGATGCATTTTTATGCCCCTATTCTGGGAGGAAACAGAGATCCCCTATAACCGAGCATATACTTCCTTTAAAAATCTATTTAGTGCTATAGCTTCACTAAAAAAGGAAAAAGAAAGAAAAGGAATTTGCAGTTCTCAACCTCAGATGACCTTGCTTCCTTCCTCCCTGGGAAACGGAGAATCAGGAGCACCCGAGCTTCCCACCCTAACCACCTGTGCTCAGGGAATGGCCGTCTGAGGTGCGAGGTGCTGCCAGGACCTCCCGGGTCCTCATCCCTCCTCCTGCCAGGGTGTGTCCCTGCTCTCTTTCCTCCGCTTCAGCAAATTCCCCCGTGCTCTGTGTAGTCCCTCAGCCACCCTTTCAGATCCGACAGGGACGCCCACCCCAGCCCACTCCCTCTGCAGCCACCCAGCCTCCTTCCCATCACGAGCACTGGCGCTCACATGGGGTACTCGGACCCATAGGGACATTTGGTGAGACCTGGGCAGGTTTGGCTGTCACACCTGGGGAGGGGTGGGGCAGCTACCAGCATCTAGTGGTTGGAGGCCAGGAATGCTGCATGGCCTGGCCCCCATTCTACACCCCACAGAGCACAGCCTGCATCCTACACCCCACAGAGCACAGCCTGCACCCTACACCCCACGGAGCATGGTCCTATTCTACACCCACAGAGCACAGCCTGCACCCTACACCCCACGGAGCATGGTCCTATTCTACACCCCACAGAGCACAGCCTGCACCCTATGGAGCACGGTCCCATCCTACACCCCACAGAGCACAGCCTGCACCCTACACCCCACAGAGCACAGCCTCATCCTACACCCCACAGAGCACGGCCCCATCCTACACCCCACAGAGCACAGCCTGCATCTTACACCCCACGGCACATCCCCATCCTAGACTCCACAGAGCAGGGCCTGAATCCCATACCCCATGGAGCACAGCCCCTGTCCCACACCCCACAGAAGCAGCTGGTGGGGTCAGCTTGCCCAGCTTCGGGGACAGGAGCCTTGCACTGCCCCCCCAGGCCACACCCTCTCTCCTGCTCCTTCCACTCGCGTCCTCACAGTGTGTGCCCAGGCCCAGGCCTTGGACTTGCCACTCTTCCGTCCACACTGGCTCCCTAGCGTGGGGTCAGCTCCTCTCCAGGGCCACCTCACCAAGGAGACCTGCGGTTTTTATGAATTCCAGGATCACCTGCGAACAGCACAATTGGATCACACTCCAGTGAGTCTGTTAAAAGCATTAATTTGTTATCCATAAACGTGTAAATACAACATAATTTTGGTAAGCCTGTGTTGAGATTTTGTGTTTTTAAAAATCTTCCTAAAAGCTCAAAAACACGGTGGCCAGACCCCCCTCGCTCAGTAGAGGCTGCGCCCAGCCCTCCCCAGCTGGCCCCACCTTCGGGCCCCTCCAGCCCCGGGGCCCAGCCTTGTCCCTTCCAACCAGGGCAGGGAAAGAAGGAGGAGGGGTATCGGTGGGGCTGCACAGGGGCTGCTGGGAGCCTCAGGAAGATCCACGGTCGACCTGGCACCTCTAGATTTCATTATTTCCCTGGCGCTCCACAGGGTCGAGGATGGCGTTTCAAAGAACAATTGCACTTGGTTTATTTACTTAAAAATAAAACACTGATGGGCACACTGGCTCATGCCTGCAATCCCAGCACTTTGAGAGGCTGAGGAAGGTGGATCACTTGAGCTCAGGAGTTCGAGACCAGCCTGGGCAACATGGTGAAACCCTGTCTCTATCAAAAAATACAAAAATTAGCCGGGCATGGTGGTGAGCACCTGTAATCCCAGCTACTCGGGAGGCTGAGGCAGGAGAACCACTTGACCCTGGGTGGTGGGGGTGAAACCCTGCCTCGAAAAAATTAAAAAAATAAAAATAAAATGCTGACAGCCAAGGGCCTGAGCACAGCCCCTCTGGCCAGGCAAGCGTGGGCGGCAGGACGCTGACCAAGAACGCTGGATGATGCATGGGGCTGGGCGGGCACTGGGCAGGCCTGACCCAGAACGAGAGACAAGGTGGGTGCTCGGGGAACCCACATGGATGCCTCTCTTCAGGGCCAGAGCTGGGGCCCTAAGAGCACCTGCCCTTCGTGACCCAGCTTTCAGTCCAGCCTCCAACACAGGGGCCTCAGGCCACCAGGGACATGAATCCGCCATCCCATCAGCACAGGGCCTCAGGGCCTCACAGGCAGCATCCACGCTTGAACCCTGGTGCAGTGTCGCAGCTGCAGCCGTAGGATCACGCAGAGCTGGTGATTTGCAGGTTCAGGGCCGCCCTAAACCTCCTGGTGGATCCTGGGATGTGCACCCCGACTGACCTCCCAGCTGGGCCTGCAGCCCCGTGTGTGGCCAGCGTTGATGCACAGTGCACGCCGTGGGCCGCCTGCCCTCCTCTCGTCTGCCTGGCAATCCCAGCTGTGGCCGGGTCCACTCAACCCTACACATCGTGGGAGCAGGTCCAGCCCTGCTCCTGCCCCAGCCCGGGCCAGTTATGACCAGGCCAGTCCCACAGGGCACTCCTCCCGCCCTCTGCCAGTGGCTGGCTAGGTGCTCAGAGATGACAGTCCTAACGGAGAGGCAGGAAGCCTGCGTGTCCCCAGACATCCCTGCGGGGCCTCCCGCCTTTCAGGGCCCTGCTCATGCACACCGGGCAGCTGCACGGGTCCTTTGGACTTCGGCAGCGACTCTCTGGGAGGGAGGAGCAGAGACAGACCTGGGTGTCCGTGGCCGCCACCGAGCCACCAAGCCTGCAGCGTGCGTGCCTTCATGTGAGGTGTGCTCCCCATGGTTGAAGCTAGTTGTGATGGTGAATTCTGCATCCATAGAGAGGGCCTTGGATGCCCAGGTGGCTGGAAGTATTGCTTCCAGGTGCGTCTGTGCGAGATTTGAGTCTGAATCAGGGGGCTGAGGAAGAAAGGTCTGTCCTCCCCAGTGCAGACAGGGATCAGCCCCTTCTCGGAGGCCCGGCTGGAACAGAAAGGCAGAGGAGGGCAGCTTCATGTCCTGTGTGAGCTGAGACCTCCCTCTGCTCCTGCCTGTGGACATCGGGTGGAGCTGCCAGGTCTCGGGCCTTTGGAGTAGAAGTTATGCCGTTTTCCTCAGCGTGACCCTGGCTCTTAGGTCTCTGCACTCAGGCCAAAGGACCCCACCCAGCTTCCCGGGCCTGCAGCTTGCAGACGGCAGATGATGGGGCCTCTTGGTCTGCACAGTCACGGGAGCCAATCCTCACCCTACATCTCCTCTTGGGTCTCTCTCTATCCGCCGGCTCCTTTCCTCGGGAGAGCCCTGACGCACACACTAGCTGAGTTTGCTTTTCAACAGGCCTTTCCGTCTGGGGCAGGTCAACACCCCACTCCGCCACACACACAGCTGTACCCGGCACAACACGCGGCCACAGGTCACCTCAGGTCGCCTCGGGTGCTCCTCCCGCAGCCCCACGTAGACAGAAGACATTCCTCGGGCCTGGGTGCCCAGCCTCCCGCGTCCTTCTAGGGAGAAGCCGGATTTCCTGTAGAACCTGTGTCTTCTCCACCCTCAGCCTCCGGAGGTTCGGAGGCACTCACTGACCCCGCCATGCAGGCGGGCACACGAGGCAGGCGCTCCTAAGGAAAAGGGGGCGGCCAGCGGCCCCCACCGCTGGGTCACGCTATCCCCTCTGCCAGAACCACTGGGCCACTGGGTCCCGTTAGCGTTCACTCTGTCAGACTTGAGTTTTCTGTAGCTGAAAATCAAAGATCTCAGCTGCTAACAGGGCTGGCGAGCCTCAAGCTGCTCCTGCAGCGACATCCCCAAGTCCGTGTGGGTACAATGTGCCAGGGCCGGCCGCCAAGCCCAGGAGCCTCCCCACAGCACATCCACACACGCGCTTGTTTTATTTTTATTTGTTGTTGTTTAAACTCACACTGAGAGGCACAGAACGCCCGGGGAGGGTGCTGCGTGCAGAGCCGGGACCTCACTTCCCGGGTTCCGATTCCGCCTCGAGGACGCGGGTGCGGCAGACACGGCCCAGAGCCCTCGAGGGCCACGAGGCACAGACGCCCCCACCTCGGATCTTTCTGGATTCCTGGGGAATCTGTCGTCTCTACAGAAGCTTGAGTTCATATTACTTAACAGTTTCTTTTAAATCGACTCATCTTTTAAGTTAAATTAATTCGTTTCTTAAATAAGTGATGGATTGGCACCAACAATAGAAAACATGTATCGTTTTACTAGTAAATATCAGTAAACAGAATGGAAATGGGATGCTGCATTGAGAGTATGGCCAGGTGTGTCTGTTAGCAAAGCCCGTGTGCCTGGATCCGTGGGACACGGTGGAGGAGGTGGAGGGAAGCTCCCTCGGCATGATCTGATTCTCTCCAACTCCATGTCCCTGGGCCAGCTCAAGGCCTCCGCCCCCACCAGGTGCCCTCGGGGTTGGAGAATCATCAGCCCACCCTCATCTCAGAGGCGAGGGGAGGTGGGCGGCGCCAGCGGGGGGGTCCTTCTGCTGTGCCGCGTGCCTCCTTCAGTGCCCACAGGGCCCCCCGAGGCTGTTGCTCCGGGCATCCCCCCTTTACAGATAGGGAAACCAAGGTGCAGGGGTCGTGTGACCGGCCCACAGTCGTGCAGCTGAGGAGGGAGGAGCTGGGTTTGAACCCAGGCGGTCGACGCCACAGTCAGTGAGGCAGGTGCCCAGGGTGGACTCTCGCTCCAGGGGCCTCCTGGCGTCCCAGCGGGGAGGAGGGTGCCTGGCAGTGGGTGGAGCCAAACGCTGCTCAACATCCACAACCCACCCAGGGGGCGGCCCCGCCAGGAAGAACTGCCCCACCTGTGTCAGCCCTGACTGAGGGTGCCTGTGGGTCCGGAGTCGAGGCCCCTGTTGGTCCAGAGTCGAGGCCCCTGTGGGTCTGGAGTCGAGGCCCCTGTCGGTCCGGAGTCGAGGCCCCTGTGGGTCCAGAATCAAGGCCATGGTACACCAGCTGCTCCGGAGACCTTGGTTTCCCGTCTGCTAATGAGTCGCCCGTCTCATCTGGGTCCTGGCAGATCCGAGTGAAACTGAAAATGTGCTTCAAGCAGCTAGTGAGACGGGCACCACCAGAGATGGGACCTCAGTGCCCCCACAAAACAGGCACCCACAGTGTCACATCCCTCGTCAAGAACCTTCTGGCATGGTCCGGAGCCTGGGAGTGCAGCCAGCACCCTTCCGGGGCCAACAGGCTGTCCTGGCAGCCCCCTGCCCTAGCACCTCACCATCTCCCTCACTCACTTCGCCCTGACCACCCCAACCCCAGGGCCCACTGTGGCCTCTGCACCTGCCACCGACACCCAGCACTTCCCCCGGATTCTCTCCTGGCAGCTCCTTCTCCTCATTCACAATTCAGAGAGTGGCTCCCTCCCCACCCACCTGTGTGTGTCCCAGGTCACTGCAGTGGCACCGAGTGGGGAGGCTCCACCCCACACACCTGTCCCCTCACACACCTGTCCCCTCACACAGGAGCCCACACACCTGTCCCCTCACACACCTGTCCCCTCATACAGGAGGCCGGGAGTTGGATGTCAGGCGCGCAGGGCCACACTCCCTCTGAAGGCAGTGGGTAAGACACATCCTGCCTCTCCCCAGCCCCCGCCTCGGCCCCCTGCACCACCCCAGCCCCCGCCTCGGCCCCCAAGGGGCGTCCTCCCCTCCAAACCCCCACTGTCTCTCCTCGTCTTAGAAGGGCCACAGTCATTGGATTTAGGGCCCACTAATCCCCAGTCCTGGCTGAGGGCATCTTATCTAATTACTTCTGCAAAGACCCTGTTTCTAAATAAGCCACATTCCGAGGTTCCAGGTGGACGTGAGCTTCCGGGCGGGCCCCGTTCAACCCGTAACCATCCCCGCCACCCAGATACCCATTCGTCCACGTCACTCAGGCCTCCTCGTAGGTTTGTCTGAGACCATCTGGACCATGCAACTTACTCACTCCCCGTCTTCCTCCCTGGGATGTCAGCCCCTGAGGTGGGGACATCTCTGCTCAGGCCCGCGTCCTCAGCGCAGTTCAGGAATGCAGCAGGTGCTCACGAATTCGCCAGGAAGGAACGGACATGCGGCACATGAGGTGGTGCCGTTGCTCACTGAGACAGGCCCTCAGCTCATAGGGGCTGGGCCCGCAAATGCCAGTTCGAGCACAGCAAGCACCCAGCATCCCCGTCCGTGACTCAGTTGCCCCACAGAAGGCTCCGGGAGGGGTGAGTGTTTGCACAGGGAATGGGGGCGTCTGCCCAACCCCAGCTCCTGTCACCCCTTCACAGTTTGCCCCCTCCTACTTCCAGAACGTAGGAAGCACCATGGCGTCCCCAGGCATGGGAGGGGGGTTTGCAGGCTCTGCGAGGATGGAGGTGGGAGCAGGCCTGGGCGGCTTCCTGGGAGGGCCTGGTGAGCCCAGGGGACCGGGCGCAGAGCCCAGGGCCGAGCTGCTTCCGTGCTACGAGATGATACAACCCTTGGCACCTTTTAAACGACTGGAAAATGAGTTTCTCCTTCCTGTGAATGGCAGCTAGAGGGGGGACTGTCAGACTTAGGCTGACACCAGTCCGCTTGCTGAGTGGCGGGGCGGCCATCGCTCTCCTGGCCGTCCCGTACGGGAAAGCCCAGGCCACAGGGGCACTTCCTCGGGCTCGAGAGCCGTGCGTCAGCCTTGCCCCCTCCTCCAGCGCCTCCCGGCTTCTCCACCTCCTTGTCCCTTCACAGGCATCTGTGCTTGCTCAAGAGAAAATGGGCTGCTGACCACACGGGTCTCAAGACATGGATCCCATCCTGCCCGTTTGTCCTCAGTGGGAGATCTGACATGGAAATTTACAGACTTATTTTTGTCAAGTTTCCAGCCAATGAAGGATAAACTGTCCTTTCAGAAAATAGTTCCAAGACTCTGAAATATGCAGGTTGCTGTGCTGAATTGTAAATGCAAACACTCAGCCCAGCACACGCCGACGCTGGGGATCACCGCCTGCCTGGGTCGTTCCTAGAAGCTCGGGCTGCTGCGTTTGCAGACAGAAGGCTGCCGACCGGGCCTGCTCTACGCAGGTCTGCTCCGCCCCAAGGGAAGTGGCTGACAAGTGTTTAGGAACTCATCTCCCCCAAGACTCAAAGGGGCAGGTCTGCACAGAGGCCACCCTCCGGGTTAAGGGAACGGGCTGAGTGGCTCTGAGTGGTCAGATGGGGTCAAAATCCCCAGCGAATCTGGGGGCAGCGATGGGGAGGACAGCTGTGTGTGAGTGCAGGCAAGGAAGAGAACGCACAACCAAAATGTCGTTCATCTCAGCCAGGAAATGCCAGGCTCCTCCGAGTGCCGGGAGCCCCAGCGGACGTCAGAAAACCGGAGAGGCAATCCCCGTCCAGTAGCCACGAACCAGCCTCATCGTCGGAGTCAGAGTGGGGGCTCTGGCCGTGGGTAGTAACTATTTTTTCAGTTTTTGTAGTAAATCCACAATCATGGGGAAGCTGTGAACCTCGGCCGGGGCGGGGGCCCGGAAGTTAATGATCCGGGTGGAAAGACGGTCAACGCTGCTGCCACTGTGGAAGCGAGACCTGCCGGGGCCGGGACTGAAGCCTCCAGGGCGCTGCAGCTGTCTTCCCGGCCACGGCCACTCCGGCTGTTTGGATCAGCAACGTGGGACGTTGTAATACACGGAGGGAATTCAGGGGAGGGTAGAGACGATGAACTCAAGCTGGAAAGGCCGCCTGAACCAGCAGGAGCCATTTGGGAAATAAAACTCACAAATGAATAGGAAAAGCTTTCTGCTGGAAACCGCACTTCCTAGCAAGGAGAATTTCTCAAAGCGTTTCCAAAATGGAAACGCTTACGCAGAGCAGAGCAGACGCTTGGAAAGCCCTTTTTAGAAACCCACACCTGACACCCTCCGGAGCTCTCGAGGGAGAGTGTGCCGGAGCCGGCAGAGTGGGGGCCGCAGGACATTCCGAGACGCACGCGTGGCGGCAGCCAGGCATTGCCCGGGCCGAGCCTGTGCGCCTCCAGCCGCGCCTTCCGCACGACCCCGCGCGCTCCGACGGCGCTGTCTGTGAGCTCCTACCTGGCCCTCACTCATCACGCGGGACTGACGGGGCACGTGCTTTGTGCCGCGCGTGCAAGAGACGCTGTCCTCGTACGGCTGACCTGCCGGGGCCGCGTCCGAGACCCCGGACCAGCGGCTATGGATGGGACTAAGGCAGTGTGGGCCGACTGCCTGTCACTTGTGGCAGCGGGGGGTCTTTGGACTGGCTCCCCAAGTTCACGCTCTCAGCTGTGCAGTCTGCCTGCTGCTGAAGCAGATGCCATGGCCCCGGCTCTTGTCAGGGAGACACCCTCCCATCTAGACCGCCGCCCTCTGCAGCCGGGTGCAAGGCAAGTGTTGGGTGGCCTGGCATTCTCCCCCCACCGCCCCTTTCTCACCCCCCAGCCTCTCCATTCTGGTTCAGCCAGGTCTTCACTGGTGGTCACTCATGGTGCCCGGACTCCTGGCAGTGTTTTGCGTCCGGATTAAAGGTCTGGGACCCCACTGTGGCGAAGGCAGCCTGGGGAGATACGCCCCTTGGCAACCTGACCACCCCTTCCCCAAGCCCTCCAGCCCCACAGGAACGTCCCCTCAGCTGCTGCTCTGAACACACACTGGGGCTTCCCAAAGCAGGGGCTGCGTCCCGGTGGGCCCAGCTTGCAGACATGGCTGTGGGCCATGCACGGGCACAGCTTTATGAGATGCCACCCCACTTCAGACCTTGCTCTCCCAAGTTCTTCCGGCGTCGTGCTCATGTGGCCCCGGCTCAGGCCTCCCTGGGGGACAGGGCAGGCCTTGGTGGGGTGACGCCTGCTGGAGTCTCCAGGCTGTTCCCACGGCACTCAGTCACCTTCTACTCACGGGTGCGCTGGAGACACACAAGTGTCTCTTAAGTTCATTTAAACAAAACAATGAATTGTTTGGAGAAAAACCCTCTCGCTTGCTCACTGGACAGATATTCGTGGAGTGCTATGTTCACAGTACCGCCAGAGGCCTTGGGCATCAGAGCCAGGACCAGACAGACACAGCCTCGCCCTCAGTGGACACGAGCGAGGTGTCACACAGTCATGGGGGGATGCATGAGGCACGTGGGAATTCCTGAGGCTGGAGGAAGCCTGAGTCCATGTCCCCAGAGGGGGGGCCGTGGGCAGGATGAGCGTGCAATGAGCGTGCACCACACTCCAACCTTCTCTGACCAGCAACTGGCTGGCCACAGTGGGGCCTTCTGCTTTTTTAATGTAAACTTTTAGTAACTACAGAAACCTAGGTCCCTCTGAAACCAGCGCCACCTCGCTGGACCTCTCTGGGCCCCGTGGCCCACCCCGCTCCAGGCTCTCAGCTTTCCTGCTGCTCAGGCCCAGACCTCTCAGACCTGGGACCTGGGCTAGGGCAGGTCAGTGAGAGGGAATTCACACATGTGCTCTGAATTTTAGAAACAACCTCCCTCACAACCAACCAACAAAAGGAAAACTTCCCATCGCCATCCCTGGCTCCATCCTCCATTCAGAGCCTTTCTTCCTGAGGGGCAGGAGGGCCAGGACCGCGCCAGGCAGGGGTGATTCTCCTCTCCCAGCAGAGTGAGTCCAGCCGCTGCGACGCGGGCGACCGTGCTCCCTGGCGGTGACCTTCACTCGCTCCACGCCCACAGCAACAAACAGCCTGGCATGCCTTAGCGCTGCCCAGGCCTCGCATGGACACAGGGGTAGGCCCTGCAAGCGCCTAGAGAAAGTGGGGGCTCTTTGTCTCTCTCTCCCCTTCCCATCTCAAGGGGCTTGAAAATTTTCTTAAAGGCAGAAGGGTTTGAATGCCCAGACAACTGAATGGAGACAGTTCTTCCCCTTCTTTTCCTTGAGTTTAGAGGCTCTGAAATTTAGCGTTTATGAGACTTACTGTGTCTGCTGCGCACAAAACCATGGATGCTGTCTTTTATGTGCAACTGAAGATATTCAGAAGGGTGGTTTTTGTGTATAAACATTTTTTCCTTGCCTTGAGCGCTGAACTTAGAAGCAAACCTTGATGTACACATAGGAGTGACTACACAGAGCTTCCTTAATGAACATCCCTCTGGGGCCTTATGAATTTGAATCTGCACACATTCCTTAGGAGTTCTTTGCCAAGGTCAATGGATATCCCAAAGAAAGGCCACTGGACCAGCGGAGGCAGGGTGTGGGAAGAACTTTGGATTCTGGGCCCCTCCCCACCCCAGTGGCCCTCCCGCTCCTCCAGCTCCCATGAAGACGTGGACTTCCTTCCACCAGGCCCCTCCCAGCCAGCAGAGGAATTCCAGGAAGCAATCAAGGCAGGGAAAAGGGATCAATCCATTTTGTTTCGGATTTCCCCCTCTCCTTTCTGAACTCGGATGGATTAGTATCGAGTGGGAGCTCCCAGGAATCAATTTTGCATCCTGGGATGTCACATTCTGGAACAGGCTGTGATCTAAGAGCTGGCCGCCTCCTCCAGGGAGCTTCTTACACACCTTTTAGCACTGAGAGCCTGTGCCAACATCAGAGCGGGTAATGCTGTTTCAAAGGGCCTCATGGCGACAGACATCAGGCCTCTACGGCACCGCCCTCCCCGTAGGGCCCCACCGGGGGTGAGAGTAATTTTGGTGTCTCCCATCATTTCCTGGGGCAAAGATTGACTGACTCTTGGGTTTAGACACTGTGCCTGGCCTGCTGGTCACAGAGAGGAACGCAGCACAGCCTCATCACAGAGGGGGACGAAACTCGGCCTCATCAAAAGGTTGAGGGCAAAGACAGAGGCAGACAGATGGCAGGGGCCGTTCGGAGAAAGGCTGACAAGGGAGGACAGCTAGGATGAAGGAAAGAAGGAGAAACAATTTTAAAAGAAAGAAAGGAGGAAGGGGGAGGGAAGCGAAGAGGAAGAAGGGAGGGGACAGAGGACAGGAGGAAGCGGGATGGGAGAAGGCAGTGGGGGCGGTGGGCGGTGGGGGGAGACACACTTTCCCGGAATGCTTCCTTATCTCCCGCCAATGTCAGCAAAGCGGATCATGGGTCCTGGCTTTTTCCACCACCAAGAATCCCAGCCGATTCTCACCTTGAAGGGTGAGGCAGGGAAAACGACTCACAGGGCCGAGCTGCCCTCGTGGTGTTACACAACCTCAGTGTGCTGCCAATGTTTTTATGTAATCCTCTGGCTCTCCCCATAAAACAGACCATAACACCATGGCGAGCACACTTCAATAGAGCCATGTGCTATTGCCGGGCACACCGCCTTCCGGGAGATGAATTGCTCTGCCGGGCGGCTGGGCGGCTGCTTGAACTACTTTTCTCCCCTCGTGGCTCCAGCTGAATCAGAAAGATCAGAGAAGCCACAGAGCTCACCAAGCACAGCTCTGCGGGAAAGTCAGGGATTCTGTGGGTGATGGGAAGGCGCTCAGGAAGTCAGGGTGCTCTGAGTCAGACAAAGCTGGGACAACCCCTCCTCATGGGGATTCACCTCCCCCTCCCACCCCACGGCCTGTCTGCAGCCCACCCTCAAGAGAGGGTGTGGCTCCTGAAGGAAACGCAAGACCACCCCCCGCCTTTGCCCCCACACACAGCAGGCACATCCGGAGCCCCCGCCTGCCCGCGTAACCCCAGCTCCCGTCACCTCCCACTCGAGCCTGTTACGGATGCTTTCTGGAGGAGGTTTGCTGGGGCTGCCAAGGCAGAAGCCTGAATCATCGGCACGGAACGGAAAGCCACACCAGCTAGTGATGTAGGCACATGCAAACTTTCTCCTTCCTGGCGCCCCGGTGCAGAGTGGCCTTGGGGGCGGCTGCTCCTCCGGGAAGGTGGAGCAGCTGGAAAAGTGCTTGCTCTCAGCAGCTGTGGCCGCTGGCCCTGACCTGTGGTGATGCCGGTGCTGCTCCTCGGGCTGACCTACGTCCGCTCGTGATGAAACAGACCCACCGGGAGCTGGAGGCTTTCATGGATTCTGGGGCTCCCAGGTGCCACAACTTGGGCCCCCCTGGGTAATGAGTCCTGCCAAGCCCTGCATGATCCTCAACTCCATCCTCCCAGGAGTCTCAGGTCTCAGCTTCAAGCTTCTCCCATAACAACTTTCTAACGCGGCCTCGGGCACCCCCAGGACAGGGGGCCGCCTAGCCCAGTGGTCGAAGCATTTGGGGTGCCTTCGAACCTCAGGGGCAAAGGACACTGCACCAGCAGCCTCCCAAGTGTGGCGTCCCCACCCTCCTCTTTCCCCACCTTCAAGAGTGGAGGGGTCGGCGCAGCCTAAACCTGACGGCCCCCACTCCTGGAGCGCCAAGCCAGCCCCCCACCCCACACTCCTGGACCTAGGCACTGCCTGCTTCTAGAGCAGCTCCAAAGATCCTCTGCAGAAGTTCCCTCGGAGAGCAAGTTTGCGTCATTGTGGGGGCAGGGGGATTCCTCAAGTCTCCACTGGAGGGGTGGGTGCCCGGTGCGGGGGGAACCCAGGTTGCTGCCCGCTGCTGAAGGGGCTTCCGCGGCCCTTCCCTCTCCTCTCTCCTGTATATTCCCTCCCACAGGGGCGCAGAGGGGCGCGCACCCGAGGCCGGCCTGACCCATCGCGCCCGGGGTGGCCACTGTCCCGGGCAGGGCTGCCCCCACTCCGCCCCGGCGCCCCCGCTCACCGTTGAGCTGGTTGTAGACCACCTCCTCCAGGTGGTCCAGGCGCTGCAGGATGGCCTCACGGTCCCCCAGCGTGCCCACCTTGGCGTGTCGGCTGCGCACCCGGCGGTCGCCGCTCACGATGCGCACGAGCTCCTGGGAGCGGCCCTGCAGGCGGCAGTACACGGAGAACAGGACGATGCCCACGAACACCAGGATGTTCACCGTCAGCAAAGTTCGGATCTTCCTGGCCACCGCCATGAACACGGCTGCAGCGGGGGCCTCACCCGCGGGGCATCCCCAGCATCCCCGCCCGGGCCTGGGCTTCAGCTTCGGCTTCGGGGACCATGAGCCGCCCGGGGCTGCGGGGGCTGCGGGGCTCGGCCGGAGCTGTCCCTTCAGCACCAGCTCAGCGCGCCGGGCCACGGCCGCCGGGGGTCCCCCAGAGCGCAGAGGGCTGCCCGGGGCTGGGGTCGCGGGGCGCGGCCGGCATCCCCCGCTCAGAGGGCGCGGCCCCGCCCCGGGGAGCGGTGAGGGGGGCCGGGGGCGCCGGGGGGCGGCGGGGAAGGCGCGGGCGGGCGGCGCTCGGTGTCTGTGCCGGCTCCTGTCCTGCCCGCCCCGCAGCCACCGCGCCGGTGCAGAGTGACGCGGCCTCACCTCACCTCATCTGCAACCGCGGCCCCAGGACCGCCCCGCCCCGCCTCCCCCACCCCTCAAGGCCGCCCCCCGGGACCGCCCCGCGCGCCTGCCCCGCCCCCCCCACCGCGCCCCCCCGGGGACCCCAGGACAGCAGGTCCGGGGGGCGGGGGACGGGGGGCGGGGCGCGCGGGGTAGCCTGGGCCAAGGGCGCGCGGGCGCGGGGAGCGGGGGCGGGGCAGGCGCGGACCCTCCCTCCCCAGGACCCGCCAGACGCCCGGGGCCCCCAACGGCCAGCACGGTCCGAATCGACCCCAAGCTTGACCCGAGGGCAGCGGGGCCTCCGGGAATGCCTGGCCAGGGCGGTGTCGCCGGGAGTGAATGGGGGAGGGGGCGGCCGGGGCAGGACCCGGGTCAGGGCCACTCTGGTAGTCTCCTGCCCACCCCTCCCCAAGCCGAGCTCCCGGCCTCCCTCCCTCTCCCCCGTCCAGGGCTGAGGACTGGGGAAGCTGAGTCCCGGGACGGGTATGGGGGGGTTGGGGCTTGGGATGCAGCCGGACCTCCGGGAACAGCAGGGGGCCCTGGAGCCACCAGGAGGGAGAAGGCCCCGTCCCTGAGCCAGGCTCGCAGGTAAGACCCGAGGCCGCAAACCCCGGCTGCCCCCACCCCCAGCCCAGGCTCTGATCTGGCCCCACACTGGCGTTTTGTGGAGGAGACCCTGGAAGCCAGGGGAGATGTCAGCCAAGCCGCGCAGCACAGGGGCCCAACTTCCACTGGCAGAATGCAAGCACCCAAGAGGCAGGAGTTTCACCCAAAGGCAGGGTTCACCCCTGTGTTCCCAGAGATTGGACACATAGCTGGTGTTCAGTAAACATTTGCGGGATGAGTGAATAAATGACGGAGCATTTATTAAGAGCATGGCTGTGCTTGGCTCTCCATACAGAGATGAGTAAGGCAAGGGGCTTCACAGCTCTTGGCTGTGTGTGTGTCCGTGTGTGTGCATGAGTGTGCATGCATTTGCCTCTGTGTGCCTGTGTATCTGCATATGTGCATGTCTGTGTTGTCAGCACGCATGCATGTGCATGTGTCCACGTGTTTCTGTGTGCATGTCTGTGTGCCCGTGTGTGCATGTATCTGTGTGTGCATGTGCCTGTGTCTGTGTGCATTGTCTCTGTGTGTGTTCATGCGTGTGCATGTGTCTGTCTGTGCCTGTGTGTATTTGTGTATGTGTCTATGTATGTCTGTGTGTGTGTTCACATGTGTGCATATCTCTGTGTTCATCTCTGTTTGTTCATGTGTGCATGTGTCTCTATATCTGTGTGCATCTATGTGTCTGTGTTTGTGTGTCCATGTGTGCATTTGTCTGTGTATCTGTGTACGAGTGTCTGTGTGTCTGTGTGTGCATGTCTGTGTTTGTGTGTTCATATGTGCATGTTTCTATGTATATATGTCTCTGTGTTCATGTGTGTTCATGTCTGTGCATGTTCACATGTATGCATGTTTCTCTCCATGTGTCTCTGTGTGTGCATGTTTCTGTGTATGTATGTCTGTTCATGTGTGTGGTCTGTGCATGTTCAAATGTGTGCATGTCTGTGTGTTCATATCTGCATTTGTTCATGTGTTCATGTGTCTATGTGTGTGTTTGTATGTATATCTGTGTGTGCATGTGCCTGTGTGTGTGTGTCTGTGTATGCACATGTGTGTAGGGGGATCTGGGGGGTTCTGGCTCTGAGCTTAGTACTCTATTCTTCAAATATCCGTTTCTTGGCATCGGGCATGACAGCCTATCCAGCTTGGAGGTTTTCTGCCCCTTGGCTGAGGCTGGGCGAGCCGAACACCCATTTCTCCTTTCTTTGTTGAGCCATTCTTTTCTTCCTCAGGATGTTTATCCCAGGAAATCCAGAGGATCAGAACCAGGCAGGACCCGGCACTGGGACGGAGGCAGCTGTCTGCGGGGCGTTTACCGTAGATACGTATCACCTGTTCTGAGACAGAGCCTGGGAGGCTGTTTTTAATCATCCGGGAGGTGATTACTATGCAGCCAGTGTGATAAACCCTGGTCTGTTTTTGATCAATAGCCATTCCCGTGTCCCTCCTGAAAATGCCGTATTCTTCTGCTTATAAAATGCAGGTTGTAAAATGTTTCCCGACGTTACGAGGACAGCTGCTGGAATAATGATGCAGGTAGCTGGCACACACGCAGTGCAAAGGTTTCACCAGACATGGTCTTCTATGCCTATCACCTGGTCAATACGAGCAGCAGCCACGTTAAGGTGTAATACACACTGGCGTCATCTAACGTTCCATGTGAGGAAACTGAGGCACACAAAGGGCAACTGGCTTGCTCAAGGTCGCGTGAATGGCAAAGCGTGGATCTGGGATTCAAGCCCAGACAATTGGGCTCCAGAATTGACTTTATTAGTCATGATCACTCCAGAGAAAACATCAAGCACTTTTCATTACATGTTTAATGAAAATGATGTTAAAGTGGTTTTGTAGGAGAAAACATTTCATTCATGTAAATACATTTTACTGCATTCTAAAATCTAGCAGGAAAAGATGTGGCCTAACTACCGTCAAGATCTGGGTACATTTCATTGGAAATACAAGCACATTGGACATGGGAAAATACTGGGGAACTTTACATGGAAGAGAATGCATCTGATAGTCTGGCGCACTAGCATTTGCTGGATTTTTAGGACATATGGGAGGCCGGGTGCGGTGACCTCCCCCAGCAATCCCAGCAATTGGGGAGGCTGAGGCCGGTGGATTGCTCGAGCCCAGGAGTCCAAGACTAGCCCGGGCAATATGGTAAAACCTCATCTCTATGAAAAAAAATACAAAAAATTAGCCGGGTGTGGTGGTGCACAGCTGTAGTCTCAGCTACGTGGGAGGTTGAGGTGGGAGAATCACCTGAGCCTGGGGAAGTCAAGGCTGCAGTGAGCCGAGATTGCACCACTGCACTCCAGCCTGGGTAACAGAGTGAGACCCTGTCTCAACAAACAAAACACAAAAATATATATATGCTGAATGCTCAGTGAGCTGTAACATGTGAGGCAGCCCCCAGGGGTGCCGAGATGAACCGCTAAGAAGGCGTATGTTCCCACGGGGTGCAGAGATGAACCCCTGTCTGAGAAGGCGCATGTACCCATGGGGTGCAGCGATGAACCCCTGTCTTGAGAAGCCGCATGTACCCACGGGGGTGCAGAGATGAACCTCTGGGAAGGCGCATGTACCCACAGGGTGCAGAGATGAACCCCTGTCTGAGAAGACGCATGTACCCACGGGGGTGCAGAGATGAACCTCTGGGAAGGCGCATGTACCCACAGGGTGCAGAGATGAACCCCTGTCTGAGAAGACGCATGTACCCACGGGGGTGCAGAGATGAACCTCTGGGAAGGCGCATGTACCCACAGGGTGCAGAGATGAACCCCTGTCTGAGAAGGTGCATGTACCCACGGGGTGCAGAGATGAACCCGTCTGAGAAGGCACATGTACCCACGGGGTGCAGAGATGAACCCCTGAGAAGGCGCATGTACCCACGGGGTGCAGAGATGAACCCAACTGAGAAGGAGCATGTACCCACGGGGTGCAGAGATGAACCTGTCTGAGAAGGCGCACACACCCACAGCTGCCCCTCATCTTAGCACCACAGTGCCAGCCCCACCCTGTCTTTGATAAGCCCTGGCCTTCCAGGGCCTCCCTCAGAGAACCAGCCCCTGCGGAGTCCCTGAACGTAGCTGCGGTCTGGGGTGCCGACCCTCGGCACTGGGAGAAACCCTCACCAGTAGCATCACCCCCCAGTGAGCCAAGATCGCACCACGGCAGCATCACTGGGGAGGGAGTCACGTGGTTGTCACTGCAGAACTCTGGAGAGGCAGGCTCTTGCGTGGGTGGGGGCCATGGAGGACGCAGCGTGGGATTTAAAATGAGCCCAGTGAAGGGAAATGCTGGTTCTTCAATGTCCATGAGCTCAAGCCCTGTGGGAGGTGTAGCCTCGATTATTTTGCACAGATCTGAACAGCATTCACCCCCAGTTGGATATGGCCCTTTCCTCGAAGCACAGATTGGAACTCAAGGTCACTGAAGTGCTTTCTGGCCGCATCATGGAGAGAAAGGCATTTTCTCACTCAGGCATCACCCCGGGAACGTGGCGTGCCATGTTTTAGCATCTAAGTGTGTCCCCCGAGGAGGCAGGGTTATGCCGTAATCACAAGCAAACCCCAAACCTCAACGGCATAAACGACACAGGGTAATTTATCATGGGATTGCGTGTCCACCTGGGTCCCCGCGGAGCTCTGTTGACTGGAGTCGCTCGGAGCCCCCGGCGCGAATGCTGGATGGCTGGGCGGGGAGGAGCGCTCAGGGGCTTCACGCTGTCAACACCCCACTCCGAAGTGACTCCCGCTGCTTCCAGCAGTCACCTGCTGGACAGAGACCGTCACACGGGCCCCTTCACGCAGTGGGGTGGGAAGGGAGATCCTACCGCGTACCTGGAAGACGGGAGAACAGGGGTGTTTCGGTGAGTAGTGCTCTCTCTCAGTCCGCACGGCAGCCTTCCAGCAAATCGGGATTTTATGCCAAACTCGCCCCACGCCCCCAAATGCCAGGTTCCCCGGGGTAGCAACGAATGACACGTTGTCCAATCAGACTTCAGTGTAACCATGTCACAGAAGACATGACTAAAGCAAAACAGGACTGGGTGGGGCGCATTTTGGTTTTGACGAGGTTGGGTCTGGGTCTCTGCTTCCCTCTCCTGGGCCAAGATCCTCTGGGCGTGGAGTTCAGGAATGAGGGTGGGACCTTCCCCAGGAGACCCAAGTATGGGCAGCGGTTGCTGGGACCAAGTCCTCACTGAGAGTGACTTCGACAAACATCCATTGGCAGCTCCAGCTTAGGCCCAGGAGACAAAGTGGGGGTCACTGACACCCCGGATTTTTTTTTTAATGACTGAGTCATGATTTGAACACTGGTCTGTTGGATTTCAAGATCTGTGATTTTCTCACTGAACACGCTAACTCCTGGGACAGCAGAGAGTTCCTTAGATTGGACCTAATAACACACTGATCCCCTCCCCTCCTGCTTTTCTGTATTTTTTAAAAATTATTTTGTTTTTAATTCACAAATATTGTATATGTTATATGGGGTAGAATGTGATGTTGATATATGTTTAAAATGTGGAATGATTAAATCAGGCTAATTTACTTTTTTTTCCTAAAAGGACCTTGGCTTCAGAATTAACTTTAATTTTCATTCCACTTTGCTTATATGGCCTTGGCAAGATCAGTCCTTGTAGCACGGCCGGGACTTAAGCTCTGAACCACCAGTGAGGAGGTCGTTGGTCTGAGCCTGCTTTTCCAAGTCCTATCTTCCCTTCTTGGGTTCAGACAGCAGATCCGACTGTAAGTGGCTTTAAAGAGACAGCAGACATGTTTGTGGCAGTTTATTCATTGCCCCTGGATGCCACCCTTGCATGCCCCCTATGTGACAGCTAGCGGCCCACAGCCCATTAACCCTGCAGATGGGCACAGCAGGCCTCAGGGAGGTGATGTGGGTTCAGTGTGCCGAAGATGAAGAGATGCAGGGGACTCAAACCCACTGGCCGAGGCACCACCCGTTTCTCCAGGCAAAGAGGTGAGTCCCAACCAGTGAAGAGAAGGGAGAAGTGGTGCCAGGGCGAGAACGTGTGTGTGCCTGTGTGTGTGCCTGTGTGTGCTTGTGTGTGTGTGCATGTGTGTGTGCACATGAGCTTCTGTATGTCTGCAGCTGCACATGTACATATATGTGCATGTGTGCATGTGTGCCTGAGTATGTGTGCATGTGCACCTTTGTGTGCCTCAGTATGTACACGTGTGTGCATGCATGCATGTGCATTGTGCTTGTGTGTGTGCATGAGCCTGTCTCTGCCTGCACATGTGCGCCTAAGCATGTACCCGTGTGTGCATGCATGTGTGTGCATGTCTTTGTGTGCCTAAGTATGTACACGTGTGCATGCATGTGTGTGCATGTGTGTGTGCGTGTGTGCCTGTGTGCCTATGTACGTGTACCTCTGTGTGTGCCTGCACATGGACACGCATGTGTGTGCATGTGTTTGCCTGAGTATGTACATGTGTGTGCATGCATGCCTCTGTGTATGACTATGTACATGTGTGCATGCCTGTGTGTGTGTGAGAGAGGGAGAGAGGGAGTGAAGGAGGGAAAAAGAGAAAAAGGGAGAGAGGAAGATGGAATGGGGATAGAAGGGAGTTATAATAAAAATGGAGGACTTTGGGTGCATTTTCTGCTATTTTTTTCTCCCGAAAACGCTGTAAAGGGGTTATATAATTTGAGTGTCCTCAGTGCTGAAATTGCGTTTACCCCTTGGGTCCTAACCCAGCTTTGTGACGACTGTGGTGCGATCCCGGTTCCCTGGCAGTACTTGTCAACAGGGTCAAATGCCTGTTCCTTGCCGGTCTCTTCTGTGGAACAAAACCCTCACCTAGGAGGGTTTCAGGTTTTGCCTTAATTTTTATCAAATCTGTAGAGGATATTTCTGCGCCAGATACTGCTCCAGACACTTTTCAAAAATGCATTCTCTGCAGCTTCAGAGCAGCCCTTTGCGAGGGGGCATCCGTGCCATGCCCGTGGTATAGATGGGGAAGCAGAGGCAGCTGGAGTTTCCATAACTGGCCTGAGGCCGCGCAGTTACAGGAGATGGGGCTGGGGCTCTGCCCGGGCAGTCTGGCTGCAGAGTCCAGCTTTTAAGCTCGTCTCTAAGCTGCCTCTGCTGCCAATGAACCATCATAAAATAGATTTTTTTTTTTTTATCCTACAAAGGGTTCATTTTTCCTGTTTCCTTCTGGCCCATAATGTGGATAACTTGCCCCTTCAGCACAAGTTGGTGAACAATTCATCCACCAGCATATTCAAACCACGGCCAACCAGTGGCTGAAAACAACAGCAAGCAGCCGCCTAGCACAGGGATCTGTCCGTGGGCTGGACGCGACAGGGAGGACTCGGCTCTGCGCCTGGGGCCCGGGACCCCGACTGGAGGTGGGGTCGGCTCTGCTCCTGGGGCCCGGGACCCCGACTGGCAGTGGGGGCTGGAGGAAGCTGTGCTCATCGGATGGCTTGGCACTCACGCGTCTGAGGGTTGTGGCTGGCCTTGGCAGAGGCCCGCTCCTGGCAGTGGCTGAGCTGTCGGAATCCAGCACCCTCCCCTCCACATGGCCTGAGCTTCCTCACAGCATGGCTGCCAGGTTCCAAGCTCCAGCCCTGGGAGAGACGGCCAAGCGGGAGCTGCATCATGCTCCCACATTTCCTGTTCTTGATTTGCCCCCACTGGGCACTGTAGCCTTCCTGCCAACGCAGCTCTCAGGAGTACGGCTGCTGCATGCCAAGGCATTTCCCCACATGGCCCTCCTGTGTGCTGTAAATGCCTTCAGCTCCTCAATGGAACGCACGTGTGGTGAGCACTGCTTCCTCGGTGTAAATGCTCCCATCATAGCTGGTTTCAAGCCGACAGTGCAACCACTGAGTCCAGAGTCAGGAACAACGGCTCTGCACACTGGTGGGAATCCACCCCGGCTTGCGCCTGCGCCCCGGCCGTGGCTCTGTGGAGCTCTCCGTCCCAGGGAACCTTCTCCTGGCTTTCGTGTCCTGCCCCTTCCCAGATTTCCCCACCCCTCTGGCTGTGCCTTCTGTGCCTTCCCCGCCAGCCCTGATGTGGGCACGGCTCACGCCCAGCACTCCTCAGCGCTTCCTTCCTTCCCAATTCCGCCCATGATTTCCCCCACGCCTGCTCCGTTTCTGAGTGCAGGCCACTCCCAGGTTGACACCTGCGTTCCATGTTGCACGGCTCAGCATGTGGGCTTGGACAGTGGGAGATGCGGCTTTCCATGAACAGCCCCAGTGTGTGGTCCGGCGAGTGGCGAGGCAGCTCTGTGGTGGCCAGGACCAAACCCAGGGTCTTGCTGTTCTACCACCCTCCACCCAGATCTGAAGCTCAGAGCTAAAAGTGACATTGTGCCTTCTGGCCAGTGGGAAGGAGTTAGGAGAGAAGAGGGAGGGACCTGCTTCGCGTTGAGGGCATGGGCAGGAAGCACAGGCTTCACTCCCCCTCCACAGCCAGGCGTGCGGGTGACGTGGCGACGTGTGGGTGACGTGGCGACCTGTGGGTGACGTGGCGGCATGCGGGTGACGTGACGACCTGTGGGTGATGTGGTGGCGTGCGGGTGACATGGCGACCTGCAGGTGACGTGGCGACCTGCAGGTGACGTGGCATCCTGGGCATGGGGAAAGTGGGAAGCATCGGCCTCGGCTGAGCAGCTGCGGCCGCCCGTCCCTGTGTGAGCAGGAGAATGGCTCACGGTTTGCGTGTCAGGGTTCTCCTGAGGAACAGTCACTGGACATGTGCAGATGTGAAGGCAGCTCATTCTCAGGAATGGCCCACGGGATGACAGAGCCTGAAAAACCCCAGATCTACAGGGAAGACCCTCAGGCTGGAGACCTGGGAAGAGCCCGTGCTGCCGTTCAGGTCCAAAGGCCAACTGCCAAGGAGGCCCCCAAGTCAGGGAGGGAAATCGGTGCGGCTCACAGTCCACGATTTAAATGTCAGTCTCATCCAAAAACACCCTCGCAGAAAACACCCTCATGGAAGCATCCAGAGAAACGTCTGGCCAAATGTCTGGACCCTGCGGCCCAGCCAAGTCTACACATAAAATTCACCACAGGCCACACAGACGCCTCTCTGGGTGGTGCCGACTGTGGCGGCCTTCACAGTTCTCTTGGGCTAGAACTTCCCGTCCACAGGCAGAGCCTCCCAGCAGGTCCACGGCCCACACACCATAGCCCCACAACTGTCATCCTGGGTGCAGGGCTTGGTCCACAGGAACATGTGCACCAGCAGACCCCACGAGGCCGCCCACGCGTGTGCTGTCCCTGAGCGAGACACGCTAGACCACGACCTCACAGCCGCTGCCGTGCCTGTCACGTGGAGAAGCAGGCTGAGGGCACAGAGACAGAGCCGGCCCTCCCCAGAGGAGACCTCGGATCTGGAGAGAACAGGGGTGAGGGGCCGGCGGGTGACAGGTTTCATTTCTGGCTCCAAGGAGGAGGGTTGCTGTTGCCTCCGACTTCCCAGAAGTGGCACGAACAAAATCCTCCTCTCCCTTAAGCTGGGTTGAGCTGGGTCCGCATCGATGCAGCTGTGTGTGTCCGGCTGTCCCCATGCGGCGTCCTGAGTGAACATCATGTTCTGCTTAGGAGGGACGTGTCGCCTGGGCAGCATTGCCTCACAGGCAGGATGCTTCCTCCTTCACCAGGTCCGCCTCCTGACAAGATGCATGGCCGGGGCCCAGGAGCGCCGCGTGGCCGAAGTTTAGGTCCCTTCTGCGGCAAGTCTTGCTCTCCCCGTCAGCTCCTTGGACGTCCCTCCCTGTCACAGCAGGTTAAAGTGGGCTCTGATGCGACCGCTGGTGTCCTTGTAGCAAGAGAGAAGTTTGGGCATGGACACACAGAGGGAGAAGGCCGCGCAGAGACCGGGGCAGAGGCTGCGGCGAGGTGGGGCCGGGAGGGCATGGCGCATCCTTCCCAGCTGAAGGCCGGCTGCCTCCGGTGGGCCTCGCCGGCAGGGCTGGAGAAAGGTATCAGCCGGATCAACGGCTGCACAGCCGGCACCACGGTGAGTGGATCCGCTCGCAGCGAAGCCACACCTGGCACAGCAGCTGCAGTTGGAGGCCCCACCTGGGCCAGCCTCCGGCGCCCACTGCTTCCCCAGGACACATCTGTCTTCTGCGCAGGCCAGAGGCTGAGCCGAATGGGGCTGGGGGTGGGTCACCACCCCTGCATCTTCCAAGGGCCTGGTGAGGACACCAAGCTCTGCGGCCCCTCGGCCATGTGGTCTTGCTTTTGATTTATGGCTTTTTTCAAAAGGTAGAATGAGCTCTGATGTCTCCCACCAGCATCTCCCTCCACCCAGCCCTCACGTCGCAGGGCAGGGAGCGGACGTGGAGTCTGCCAGCTCTAGTGTGTCTGCTCCAGTTGCACACCTGGAGCGGGGAAATGGCCCTGGGGTGCATCCCGGGACCCACTGGGCCTGTGGTGTCAAACCTGAGCTAAAATGGCACGGCCACCTGCCCTCCATAAGCCCCTTTCTAACTGGAGGGCCGCAGTGATGCTTTGGGGCTCCCAGAACCAACGTCAGTTCAGAGCCTTCAGAGCCCGTGTCCAGGAGTCCCCGAAAGGTCTAGTTCGGACCCGGTCACTGAGGCAGAAGCCCCACAGGTCCCGTTGGGCAGGGCGGGGAAGAGGAGCCCACACTTTTGGGGGGCCCAGGGCCCTTCCTGAGGGGGTTTGGTCTGTAAACCGCTCGCATCTGAGAACCTGAGACCTGCTGGAGGGGCCGAGACTGGTTTGATGACTGCGCTAGACTTTTGTTCACCTAAAACCTTCCTGTTTATGTCGATTAGGTAAAGATTTGGGAGGCCTCCCCTCGGTCCTTGGAAGGAGTGCGGTGGTGGGTCGCCGATGCCGCGGGTCCACCATGTCCCCTCACCTTCAGCTTCACTCCAGTTTCTGTCACTCACAGTCAACTGCAGCCAAGAATACAAAAGTCCAGGAGGAAGTCACTCACAGGTTTTAAATCGTGCTGTTCTGAGCAGCGTGATGAACCCTCGCACCGCCGGGTTCTGTCCTGCCTGGGCCGGGCACCCTCCCTGCGTCCAGCGTCTCCATGCTGCGCACACTGCCAGCCCGCGCGGGGTCACTCTACAGGAAAATGCATCGCGTATGAGACTCGGAACCACCTGGGGCTTTGGACATTCACTGGGGGTCTTGGAAATAGCCCCCACCCGCCATGATGAGGGGGACGACCGTGCACGCATGAGGCTACCCTGACTGCCACTCGGCCTGGCCGTCCACGTGGACACACCTCCCGCCCTCCCTTGGCAGTGGGTGAGTTCCGCCTACGGCTCTGCCTCCCGGGATCCGTTCATCCCGTGGTGCTCCTGCTTCCCGAGGCAGTGACCGCGTTTCCCACCAGAAGGTCTGCCCTGCAGAAGGAGCCGTCACGGAGCCCTCCCAGGTGTGAGGCCCCCACCAATGTGTTTCTCCCAGCCGTGGTGACAGCCTTGTCCCCGGGCCCCTTCTGGGGTGGCCGGCAGGTCTAACGACAGGTCCGGCCTGACACTGCAGCCTCCCTGGGCCTCTGGATTCTTCCCTCCAGTTACACCAAGGCAGGTGCGCCATTTCCAGCCCTCTCACTGGGCCACCGTGGGGCCTGTGTTCCACACAGCCAGACAAACAGCTCGCACCAATCCTGGCCCCCGGCTGCGGCATTCAGCACAGCAGCTCTGCGTAGCGAGCCCACTTCCAGAGTCAGCCCGATGCTGCGTTCTGTTCCTCCATTACCCACACCCTTAATATCCACCCCGCATGCTCACCCTGGCCCCTGATCCCTGGAACATGCTGGAGCTCCGAGACGAACCCTCCTTCCCGTGCCTGATTCCTGGCATCTCAGCCTTTGCCTGCTGTGGACCGTGTGTGCTCCAGCATGTGGATGAGCTGCTCAGAGCTGTGCAGTGTGTAGACATGGGCTCTGAGCACTTGGGGGTCTCCCCGAGGAGGGAGGACCAGCCACAGGCAGCTGACGAGCATGTGGGAGGCTGACGGAGGCAGAGTGGAGCGCCGACATCTGACTTGGGGTTGGGGGACCCAGGCAGGGACTGGAGGAGGGTGGGGGTAAAACATTGGGGGAGGGTGGGGGAGGACCTGCTGGAGGCTTCCGCTGGGCTGGGGCTGGGGGTGACCTGAGGGGTTCCCAGGAGCTCGGGTGGGACCGAGAGTCCCGGCACAGTCACCAGGGCTGTCAGTTCCGTGTGGTCGGCTGGTGTCTGGGCGCAGGCGCCTCCCGGGCCAAGTGTGTGCAGATGAGACTGTTACACAGAGCAGCCCCAGGCGCGTGCCTGGCACCACGACAGCTGTGCGGGCCAGACAGGGCCTCCCGCAGCCTCTCCAGGGCACCCACGCACAGCACACGTGGCAGGCAGCCTCCTCCTCCCGCTTGACGCCTCCCATGCCCCTCCCTGTAGCTGGTCGCAAAGTCCAGGAAACACCTGCCCGGTTTTCTGTCCTGTGGGTGGCTGAGACCCCGGCATTGGACCCGTGAGGCGACCTGTCTGAATGCAGAAGACACACAGGCCCACAGTCCTGGCCACGCCCCGAGAAACCCGCTGCTTTCCCCTGGGGACTATTGACCGGCCGCCTCTGTGGCCAGGCATAGGCCAGGGAGTGCAGAGAGGCCCGTCCCCCACTGCAAGCCTGGGATGCAGCGACCTCACCGCAGAGCAGAAAGGCCTCACTGCAGTGGGCGCCCGGGGCCAGGATTTGGCTATGCCCGGGGCAGGTATGACAAAGGGGGCCACGTACACGGCGTTGTCTCTCGCTGTCCTGCTCCGTGCACCACTTTGGTCCAATCAAATCCCACGGGGTGGGGAATGGGAAAACACCAGAAATGATTTTCTTTGCATGTACAAAAGAGCCATGACTTTTGTTGCCCTAAAAATGAATTCATGGAACAAAGACAGTGCAGGAAGCAGGTGTCCTCTGATGCACCGGGCCACCCGCCTTCCCAAACCCAGCCTGCCTTCCCCTTCTCCGTGACCTCCCTCGCGGTGGAGGCTTGGAGGGAGCTGCTCACTGAGCCTACCTCTGCGCACACCCAGCTGCCACCTCACCTTCCCCTTCGCCCTGGCTCAATCCCAGGCCTCGGTTTGCAGATGCGGCTCCGTCCTCCCCTCCCAGCCCAGAGGATTCCAGCTGGGAAGGGCAGCGAGGCCGGCAGTGTCCCCTCAGGAGAGTCCTGCCCTCTGCAGGTGATTCCCTGGTGGCCACAGGAGTCACTGCATCCCTCCGTCCCTGCTCCACCCTCAGCCCCTTGAGAGGAGAGAGGCCTGGGGGTCACCGTCTCCCCTGCCCACCTGCTCTCAGCTCGGGTTCCTGCCTGTCCTTCCCAGTGGCTCCTCCGAGGAAGAGGTCTGTGGCCACCTCCCCCCTAGGCCCTGGGAACAGGAAGCTGAACTTGCTGTGAAATTATCTCCTGCCACTCAACTGCTTCCCCCTCAGCAAGGCCCCGCCCTCAGGAGAGAAAGCACAGGAGACGCTGGAGTGCTGTGAAGGAGACTGGGGTACGGGGACCCTGTGTGTGCACATGTATCTGTGTGTGTGCATGTGTGTGTACAAGTATGTGCACTGAGTGTGCACGTGTGTCTGTGTGCTCATGTATGCATGTATAAGTGTGTGCAAAGTGTGTGCATGTGTGTATGTGTCTGTGGGCGTGTGTATACACACATGTGCATATGTGAAAATGCACGTGTGCATTGTGAAGTGTGTGCATGGGTGTGCAAGTGTGTGAATGTATGTGTACACACGTGTGTGAGCTTGTATATACAAGTGCATGCATGTGTGTATAAGCACGTGTGCACATGTGCATGTGCAGATGTGTGCATAAGTGTGAGCATGTGTGTATACGTGTCTTTACGTGTATGCATGTGTGTACAAGTGCATGCATGTGTGTACAAGCATGTGTGCACGTGAATCTGCATGTTTACAAGTGTGTGCATGCAAAATGTGTGCGTGTGTGCATGTGTGCACATGTGTGTACAAGCGTGAGTGCAGATGCATCTGTGCACACATGCATGAGTACGTGCATGTGCACAAGCATGTTCGTGTCTGTGTGTGCATGTGTATGTGAGTGCTATGGTGAGTGTGCGTGTATGTGTGTATGTGTGAGTGTGTGTGTATCTTTTGCCCACCTCAGGAGGGTGGTGGGGAGCTGCTCCCTCTGGGGAAACCACATCTGAACTGGATGGTGAAATGCGAGACTGAGTTGTGTAAAAATTGGGTGAAGTGTTAGCAGGTCGCAAAAACCCCCAGGGCAGAGGCCTCACAAGGGATGGACAGAGAGAGGAACTTTGGAAACGTGAGTGCTCCCTCGTTTGCTGTTCTAAGCCCTTGCTGAGTACAGCTTTTCTGTGCCCAGGATCTGAGCTGAGCAGGGATGTTCTGCTCCATGCCATGCCAGTGCTGACGGGCAGCCACTGGAGAGAACAGGCCGCCCCTGGAAGGTGCTCCAACACGCATGATTTATGAGGCTCCCCGATGTGAGCTGGAACAGCTTGCTCCTTCACACTAAATAAAACCAAAAGCGGCACAGGAGTGCGGCGTCTGTGAGCGCCTCGTGCGTACAAATGACCATCATAAATCTTTCCGCTCTGCGACGCATCTTTGGGGAGTTTGGCTGAGAAGCCAGAGCTGGAGAGCGGGCGAGGAGGGAGAGGAAGCAGAGTCTGAATGTCCTGTGCATCCTCTGGGGTCCTCAGGGCGGGGCGGGGGGTGCTGTCCTGCAGGAGGCGGGACAGGATCTCTGTTCCTCTGCCCCTCCCCACTCCTGCTGTTCACAGCTACTGAACAGCACAAAGCAAGCCTGTCTGTGCGGACCACTGCTGCTGGCCAAGGCGTCCGGCTGAAAAAGTTCTTGGGAAGCCCAGTGAAGGTCCCTCTGTAACAACCTAGAAGGCCACTTCTTAGAACAAAGAAATCACCCTGGTGTTCGGGCCCGACGGGATTTTGTGTTAGGGTAGATTTTGTCAGCAGCAGCAGAGATCCAGCACAAACCAGCCTAAACAAAGGAGGAAAGAAGTTGATTTCTAGAACCAGGACTTGCGTAGTAAGTCCAGGGCCTCGGGCACAGCTGGATCCAGGAGTTAAATGAAGTCATCGTGATCCCTCCATGGGTGCATATGGCTGACTCTCCCCATTCTCGGTGGCCACGGTCTGCAGCGTCACCACCGCGCGGGCAGATGCTGAGCCTCTGGTCCTTAGGGAACAAGATCAGGTTCCTTTGAGCCTCTGGTCACCACATTTTCACCACCCATCAGTCTGTCACTTTGGTCTGTTTCTGCTTAAAGACACTGTATTTAGTGTATAGAGTTGATTCATTAACGTTGAACTCACGGCCAACAGCACCTACACAGGCCTGAGCGAAGCGTCTCCATCGCATGTCACAGCTCCTGCACTCAGGGTCACTCGAGAGGACCTCAGCTCTGTTCCTGAGGCTACTTTAAGCTGCAACATCACCGACAAAGAGCATGAAAATGTGAATGACAGGACTCTAAAAAGAACGCACGTTTACTCCGAGAGCGGAAACAAGAAGGCGGGTGCGGCCTCACTCCTTCCCGGCCAGGCACGCACGTGGGTGACGCGGCTTCCAGAAGCTCTGTGCACGCCTGTGAATGACCAGGAAAGACCCCGGTACTGATCTGGGGATTACGAATACGTTTTAGCAAGTAAGCGGATGTGTCTGCATCTCTGCACCCCCTTCCCCGCTCCCTCCCACCTCCCCTCCATCCTGCCGCCCCAGGGCTGACTTTATTCCCGGACAGGGCCCCCCAAGGGTTTCTACCAGCAGCTCCAGATTTGCCTCTTACCCCCTAGAGTTCCCCACCTGAAAAACCAAGGGCCTCTTCTCAGCAGCCCCAGGTACAGCCGCGGGCCCCTGGCAGGCATCTTGTTCCACCCCAAGAATAGGAAGTGTCTGGGCCTCATGGGCTGTGTAGGCCAGTGGACTGGAGGTGGAGAGGGAGAGGCCCACTGCTATCGGAGGGCGGCAGGCGACAACCCGGCCTTTACCCTCGGGGTCTCTTTGCAGGAGGTCAAAGCCCCCACACTCAGCGTCCGGAGCTCAGCACCTGCCTGCCCCAACCTGCCTGACCCTCCATCCCTGCGCCGTGAACGGTGACTCTGTCCCCGCTGTGCCTGGTGGCAAAGGTGACCCTTGACTTCCAATCTGTCAGCAAACACCGTGGGTTCCACCCCCAGGTTAAGTGCAGAATCTGCCCAATTCTGGCCACCTCTGCGGCCCAGCCTTGACCCCAGGCACCCTCGTCTCTCAGCCGGACGACGGCTGAGACAATGGCCGCAGCACCCACCGCCCTCCCCAGGTCTCAGTCGGTCCCAGACAAGGGCCGCAGCTCACCGCCCTCTCGCCTCTCCCGGGTCTCAGTCGGTCCCCGGCACAGCAGCTGCCGCCACACTGAGGTCACTACACTGCCCTCCGCTCCTGACCCTGCAGCGCCCCCTCCCCCCGAGTCAAAGGCTTAGTGTTCACAGAGGCCACGCAGCCTTCCCGCCCTCCAGGCAGCTCCCACCCAGAGCCCTCCCGCGCCAACCCCTCTGCCCGGCGCTCCTCCCTCCAAGGACGACTCCCCGTGTCCTTCTCCTGACCTGGCTGCTCACGGCCACGCAGCAGACACAGACACTGTACACCCTCAAGGACTCCCGGCCCATTCACATGCATGTCTGTGATGCTGTGGTCAGCGGTCGCTGGGACCCGCCAACGTGGGCTCCATGTGCTGAGGCCCCGTGGAGGTGACTGACAGGGCAGCGGGTGCCTCAGCCAAGCCGGGCCCTCTGGGACCATCATAGGTAAAGTCTTCCCATCTGCAAATGAGAACCCGGGGATGCTGACCCCGCACCGTCCCCCTGGGACTCTCCGGTGCTCTATGGGTGGGTGCACGACCCAGGTGGGGAAAATGGAAGAGAGCAGAGGTCGCCTGGGGGCAGGAGCCCAGGACACCCACCCCGCGACCACACTCAGAGCCGACTCAGCCCATGGACGGCTGCAGTTTCCTTGTGTGCAGCCCCCATGAGGAACCTGACTGCACGAGGCTCCTCCAGGGCTCCATGAGACTCCGTCTCAGGGGCCTTCACCTGCTCTCGGCTTTAAACGAACCACTGAGAATCACCTGTAACAACCTCACAAAGAAAATAAATCTCTGCACGGGCTTCAAGGCTCTGGGGCCAGGGCTGTGGGCTTTTCAAATCCTGCAGGCTGTGGCCTGGGCATTTGCCAACTGTCACTACTGCATAATTTAATCTAATTGATCAATTAAATCCAGATAATTTTTAAACAAGCTGTAATAACAGTTATATAATTTCAGTACCATGTATAATTATTCTAACTTTACTGAAGGAAATGGCTTTCTAAGACATGCCATCTGCATTCTGGAAACTGTCACCTCTGGAGCCGCAGGACTGGCAGGCAGCTGTCCTCTGAGCCGGCCGACTCTGGGAGGTCAGGGCCGCCCTCAGAGGAGGCTGTCGCTGTGGGTCTGAGTCCCGCAGCCCTTCTGAACCACCGTGTTGCGTGGCCTGTGGGGATGCTGTGGCGCCTTCTATGTCATCCGTAAGAATGCGAAACAACCGCCTGGATCTGTGGAATTAGGAATCCGTTTCTATTGCCACAGTTACACTGTGTGACAACCACACAAATCCTCAGAGAAGAGCAGGAAATATTCACTTTTGCTCACGAATCTGTGGGTTGGCTGTGGGTTCTGAGGACTTGCTTGGGCCTGTGAATCCGTGGCCGGCTCTGGGTCTCCCTGGACTTGGCCATGTTCACCCGTGAATCTGTGGGCCCTGTGGGTCCCCCTGGACTTGGCTGGGCTCACCCGTGAATCGGTGGCTGGCTGTGGGTTTGTTGGTGGCTCTGCTGCCCCTGCCTGGCTCTTCTGTGTCTGGGCGTCCATTGAGATGATCCCACTCTCTGCTGGTGGGCTGGCAGATCACCACAGATTTCCGAGGTGATCATGGGGTCAGAGAAGACACGAAGATACTCAAGTGCCGTTCCGAGCCCCGCGTGCACCCTGGTGGTCGCTGTTCCAGGCAGCAGAAGTCCATTTGGTCGCACCTGTGACCTGGGCACAGCCGTCCGCACCCCCAGCCTCCGCCTGGTACACCTTGGATTCCTTGCATTCTGATGCTGTGGTGGTGTCGGGGTGGCCCCTGGCTGCCCTTCAAGGTTGGGGGGGGACACTTACAGGCTTCTGTGTCCTGGACACCCACACTGGGGACACGCCTGAGCTCAGGTCTGGCTCCGTGACCTCAAGCAAGTTACCCCGCCTTCCCGTGCCTCAGCCCAACCTCGCTTCACCTGTCAAACACCAACAGCCACCTGACCCTGGCAGAGTCATGCAGGGAGCGTGCAGGGCGCTGACCCCATAGCAATGCCCACACAGCGTGAGCCCCACCCGAGCCCCGCTGCTGAGTTCATTTCATGACAGACACCTGGGAGAGCCATGAGTCCCCATCCCGACACAGAGGAGCCGGGGCCAGGGAGGCGGAGGCTGGAACTGGTCACCGGTGTTCAGTTCAGGGCCCGCCGCGGAGTCCACGTGCCAGGCGGCCTAACAAGCCTTGCTGGCCATGCGCCTCCACCTGCAAACACGTCCCCTCTTATGGCTCTGGAGGCCAGGGCCCACGCAGCTGCTTCATTCTGAGGTGGGAGCTGCAGTCCGTCTCCGCCTTTCTCCAGGGCGGCTGGTGTTCTCCACCTTTCCTGACTCTAGGTGTGTCTCCCGGTCTCTGGCTTCATCTCCCGTGGCCTCCTCCCTGTGTGCCTGTTTCTGTGCCTGTATCTCCCCTTTTCATCAGGGCACAGTCTGTGGGGTTCGGCCCATCCCACTCCAGTGTGGCCTCATCTTAACCCCTCACGGCTGCCACAGCCCCAGGTCCAACCAAGGTCACGCACACAGGTCCTGGGAGGTCGGGGCTCCCACAGTGAATGTGGGGAAATGCAAGTGAACCTGGGATAACCGGTGAAGAGCATGCAGCCTCGGACAAGTCCCTTCAGCTCTCTGGGCCGTCCCATCCTGTCTGTGTCTGCAAGGTGACCATGCTGTTCCACCCGGGCCACGAGAAGGACTGAAGAGGAAATGCGTGTTGAAGGCAAGGCACGGACCAGCCACGAGCAGCTCAGGCCGCACCAGCCACAGTTACAGCCACGAGCCACGAGCAGCTCAGCCACAGTTACCATCAGCCAGAGCAAGGAGGCCGCCCCGACCCAGAACCCAGTCTCCACCACCTCTTTCCCTCCATCTCTTTCTCTCTGATTTTCTCCTCTGTCCCAGAATCCTTTTCTGCCCCGGTGGCCAAGGTCCAGAGAAAAGGCCTTTCCTCCTGGTCAGAGCTCTGTCTCCTTCATCGGCCCTTTGAGGAGCTGGGAGGGGCCTCTCAGAGCCCCTCATGAGGAAATTCCCAAGGTTTCCTCTTAACTGCAGCAATAAAGTTTTTGTTAATTCTCCATAAGTGTAAATGTTCCCACAGGTTCCAATTACAGGCCTCCGCGGAAGTGAGTTTTCCCAAACACCATTCTAATTTGAATGTCAAACACGTTACACAACAGGGCTGCTACGGTTCCCATGGAGCCAGGCCCCGGGACAGCCCTGGGATCCCCCCTTCAGTCAGCCCCCACTTGCTTTCTCTAAGGAGGTACCCCTGGGACCCAGGACTCCCCAGGCCTCAGAAGTGGAGGGAAGACAGATTTGGAGGAACTTGGAGTCCCCTGGGGGATGGAGGCCTGGGAGGGACCCTGGCCCACCTTCCTGGAATGCAGCGGGCAGAGGGCAAGGGTCTTGCTCCCAAGGCCCTTGATTTCTGTCTCTTCTTCACTTCACCTGCACTCTAAAAAGAGGCTTTCAGTGTTTCCAGTGAATACGTCTTCTGTGGCACGCCAACACTGCTTTAAGTTTCTGAGTTATTGGCCAATATTTGCAAAGCAGAATATTTTGCAGGATTTCTGGTGTCTGTAGAAGTATTAGAAAATGTGGCTGCGTAGAGCTCCTGTTTCCTCACCACAGAAAGTGGTGGACCTCAGTAAGTGCTGCTGCTTTTAGAAGAATGCACAAAATCCAATTTCCCACAATTCCCATCCAGCCCGTATCAGCCATTTATTTTACATCCCTGGCTTGTGGACTTTCACTTTTGGAATCACTTTTACAGAGATCCCTGACCTCTCTTCAGATCTCCTGTTTCAGGACAAAGTTTTGCCATCATTACCATAATCTCCACCACTACCTACTCCACCACCAACACCACCATCACCATAATTATCATCATCATCATTATCATTATCACCATCACCATCACTATTATCACCATCATTATCACACCATTATCACCACCATCACCATCACCATCATCACATCACCATTATCACCATCACCATCACTATCATCACCATCACCATCATCATCACCATCACCACCACCATCATCACCATTATCATATCACCATTATCCTCATTGTCACCATCACCATCATCATCACCATCATCACCATCACCATTATCATCACCATCATCATCACCATCACTATCATCACCATCAGCATCACCATCAGCATCATCACCATCACCATCATCGTCACCATCATCACCATCACCATCATCACCATCACCATCACCATCATCAGTCACCATTATCACCATCACTGACACCATCACCATCATCACCATCACCATCATCATCATCACCATCACTATCATCACCATCATCATCACCATCATCATCACCATCATCACCATCACTATCACCATCATCACCATTGCCATCATCACCATCATCACCATCACTATCACCATCATCACCATCACCACCATCATCATCACTATCATCATGGTCTCCACCTCCATCACTACCAACTTCCCTGCTACTATCACCACCATCACTGCATATACACACAGAGACTCTGTCTCATCAGATTCTTTGGTACCTCTGACCCCTCTGGGAGCTCTCTCAATACATCCAGTCCACACAAGTTAGTAAAATTGGGTCAGAGCTGGGGGTGGGGGATTAGGCGGATTATGTTGAGAATGCCTTTCTGGCATAGTCCTGAAGAAGTTGGTGAAACTTGCTCGTGCTGTGCGGCTAGCTTTGGCTCCATGTCTAGCTGAGGAAGGATGCTCATGCCATGGTTCTCTGGCTGGCATGTCACTGTCCTCCAATTTTTCCCTCCTTGTGTAACTGTCCTCCAAAATGTCATTGAAAAGCTGCCCTTTTTTTTTCTTTTTGAGACAGAGTTTCGCTCTTGTTGCCCACGCCAGAGTGCAATGGTGCGATCTTGGCTCACCGCAACCTCTGCCTCCTGGGTTCAAGTGATTCTCCTGCCTCAGCCTCCCGAGTAGCTGGGATTACAGGCACGCATCACCACACCTGGCTAATTTTTTGTATTTTTAGTAGAGATGGGGTTTCTCCATGTTGGTCAGGCTGGTCTGAAACTCCTGACCTCAGGTGATCCACCCGCCTTGGCCTCCCAAAGTGCCAGGATTACAGGCATGAACCACTGTGCCTGGCCTTGCCCTCTCTTAATCTATTGGTTGGGATGAGGTTGACCCAACTCCCAGCTCCAGAAATGGCCCATGACTTGTCTGTCCTGTTAACATATTCCGAGCCCTCAGCCCAAGGATTGGGTCAGGGTTAGGCATGTGGCCCCAGCCAGGCCAATGAGACTCGATTCTTAGACTTTGTTTGTAGACGACCGACAACTGGTGCCTCTTTTCCGTGGGGTAGGCACGTCTGGTGGGATGTGGTGAGCAGCTGCTGGGATCATCTTTACCAGCAACGGGGAGCCTGGTTGGGACTGCAGGGCTTGGGGAGGGAAGCAGAGTGAGAGCTGGAGGCAGAGCCAGGGTCCCCGGGATGCCCTCTGCCTCTGTGCTCAGCTGCGCCTGAATCCAGCTGCATCACCTGAATCCAGCTGCGAACCTGAATCCAGCTGCGTCACCTCCCTTCGCTCTTTCTGCCACCTTGAGTTGGGTTCTGCTGCTTGTCATCAGCTGCATCAGCTCCCTTCACCCTTTTTGCCACCTTGGGTTGGGTTCTGCTTTTGTCATCAAAATAGCCTGGGCACACCCATGCCCTTCCCTGGCTGACCTGTCTGGAAATGCCCCAGCCCAGCCTGTCTCCTCTGGGGCTGAAAGGTCACTTTATGCTCTCAGCTTCCATTTCCCTCTCCAGGAAGCAGGGTGAGCACACTGTCCTCGGTGAGCACACAGGCAGCAGCTAGACACAGGCTGCTTGCCAACCGAGGTGCCTCCTTGGAATCACCAGAAAGTGGACCCTCGGGGGCTGGGCCCTGCACTTCCCCACCCACCCAGCCTGGCCTCGTCCCTTAGGTTGGATTCTTAGGCAACGGAATGGCCCCTGTCCCCCTATCTGTGTCCCCATCTCACCAGGCATCTGTCCTTTGAGATTCTGAGCTGAGCACAGCCGTGGCCCTCTGGGGACAGGAGGGATGGACACTAAGAGTTAAAGCTGGGAGAGCCTGGTGGCCTCTTTAGACATCCTGGCACAGCCCTAGAGGCCGGCATGAGGACCAAGGCCACGGGGCTACCCAGCCCCTGCCCCAGGAACTCATGAAGGACCCAAGGGCTCCTGGACCTCTGGCCTGGCTGAGCAAGTCCCTGGGCTCTGGGCCGGGCTCTGAGCTGAGATGCAGGGTTGGGTGCAGCAGGCCAGGTGCTCCCATCCCCGTTCCTGCAGCTCTGCAGGGAGCTCTGCCTAATCCCCCTCCCTCAGCCCAGGCTCACCCAGCTGTCAACTAACCATGGTCGCGACCCCCCAGGGACGGCTTTTCTTGTTGTTTCAAAAGTGCAGGCCTGGGATCCCCCTGTTGCCAGCGTGGGACTTCCCACAGGTATCAGGTTTTCTCATCTGCAAAATAGGCAGAAAAATCTGAAGGTGGTTCTTTCCCTCCAAGTCACAAGGAGGCCGAGGCGGAGCTCGGTGGGCTGAGCGAAGGCGATGTGAGTGGTGGTCGTGTCTGTGTCTCCTGTGCTCCAGACTTGGCACCACCGGTCACCCCCACACCCCCTGCACGGCCGCGGCTGCTGGTGTCCTGGACGCTGCACTGCTTTGCCAGAGGCCAGAGCCCCCCCTCATCCAGAACGCCCTCGTGGGGCATTCGCAGAGCTGCCACCGCCATAGACAAGCATGGAGACCCCTCTTGTGAGCCTGCAGCTCCCTGTGATGGGGCACATAGGTCACTATGGCAGAGGGCCCTGTGCTGACCTCCGAATAACCTAATTAAGGCTGATGACAGAAAGACACCGGGGGAAGGGCGGCCTCTATGAAAACCCCGGGAAGGGGCTGGCTGCAGCAGTGTGGAAGCGAAGGACCACGGCAGAGACTCAGGCCGAAGAGCTTGGCTCATGCTCCTAAAAAGAAAACAGAAAAAAAAAGCGGGGCATGGTGGCGCACACCTGTGGCCCCAGCTACTTGGGAAGAGGCTGAGGTGGGAGGATGGCTTGAGCCCGGGAGGTCGAGGCTGCTGGGAGCCGTGATGGCACTGGTGAACAGCCACTGCCCTCCAGCCCGGGCATACAGCCAGGCATGGGGCTTTGCTTTCACGGAATAACAGCCCCGTGTTCTGGTCACACAGGACCTTGCAGCTGCCACAAGCTGCAAGCTGTGTTGCGTTTCTGCAACTCTGGGCAAGTAGGGAGCAATGGAATCTTGGTGCCTTCTCTGGGTTTCCGGGAATTCATCTAGGGGCTGGGCCTTCCCATGGAATGCGCACGTGCTCCCCAGCTGCAAGCCCTCCCTCTTCTCGGAACCCCACGGACCATGCGCCTTCCACTCAGATGAACATCCACTGCACACAGTGGCGTCCCAGGCCGGGCGTGACTCAGTGGACACAGGGCCTCCACCTCAAGGAACCTGGCCTGCCAGGGGGCCCCAAACCCCGACACCCCCCGAGGCGACGGTGGCTCAGGAGGCTCTGAGGGAGGCCCCTGTCCCACCCTTGTCCCGGGTTTGTTCTCGTGTTTATTTTTTCTCCACATCTCTGTTTGCATCCTTCTGCTTTTCTCCTGCATTTGGAAAAGAGGCGCCCGGTATCCACACCAACCACAGCTCTGAGCTCGCCCGTGCGGGCAACGCAGGAGGCCTCAACAGGGCACCCACTGCCCAGCTGGCCGTGAGTGACGCCTGCACAGCTCAGGAAGGCAGAGACTATGGCAGGTGTATAGGTGAAGCCGGCACTAAAAGACGGACAGCCCTACAGAGACCGCCAATCCCCAGAAGCAGCCGAGGCAACCGCGTCCACCCCCTGCCGGGGGCCCTTCCTGCACAGCTCGGGGATCCCAGCCCTCGGCTGCCACTCCCGACCCAGAGCCCAGGCCCAGCCTCTGCCCCAACCCCGCCAAGCCTGTGTGCACGCCTGCCAGGCCCCTCCCCCACCGTCCCTTCCTTCGAGGCCCTGAGCGCTCGCTCACTGCAGGCTTCTGGCAGGAGATGCTGCAAGTGGCGGGGATGGGCAGGCACCACATTTCCCCCACCCTGGAAGAAACCGCTTCTCAGTGGACGGGCTCAAACCCCCTCCTCCTGCCACCATCCCCTCACTGAAGGTCCCAGTGCTTTTTGGAAGGAGGGAAGAGTCGGGGGCAGAAAAGGAGTCAATCAGTGAATGCACACCTGCAAGAAGGCATGACGGGCTGGGCGCTGGGGGCTGGCGCAGACCCACCTGTGTTGTTCTGATTAATCTCCTCCACAGCTCAACATCATCTGGAGAGACAGGAAGGATTACAGAAAATTGGCTTTTCTGTCTGGCTTCCCCCAAGGGAGGCGGTCATGGGCAGGGTCCGTGGCCCCGTTCCACCAGCAGTGATTACAGCAGTAATCCCGAATTTTGATCAGGAAGTGGCCCTGGCCCTGAAATGACTTTTTGCTAAGCCTCCCTCCCGTGTCCGGGGCAGCTGCACGCATGGCACCTCGCCGTTGCACTGAGACGTGATTGGTCCATTAGCACGGGGGTAGGAACGGCTTCCCCTGTGTCTGCCTCAAATGTCTCGTGAAGAGTGTGGCGGGACTTTCCTGGCACCGCCACTGCCTCCGTCAGTCCACAGAGAGTTGCGGGGGTCAGAATATGGCGTGACAAGGGCTGGGCAGGGGTGGTCGGGGCCCAGCTGTCTCCAGGTTGCAGAGGGGCAGACGGTGTCCCGCGAGGAGGCTTCCAGCTCCGCCATCAGCACAGCAGTGAACACGAAGCCAGCAGTGAAGGAATGGCCAGGCAGCCGGGAGGCCTTGCCTCTGCAGTTCCACGTGGGTGTGCAGCGGGACTGTATTCCCACGGGGCTGGGCCCTGACAGGCGTGGGCGTCCCTGAAGGCCTGGCGCTCCAGAATTCTTTCCACCTGTCTTCACGCCCTGCTCCCAGCCTCTGGCTGAGTGACGAGGATTCAGAGGGTCAGAAGGGGACACACGACAGAGGAGGAGGCTGGTCACTCAGAGACCCCTGGGCCACCAGGGACCGCGCCCTGCCCCCGCCGACCAGCCACGTGGCTGTGCTGGATGACGACGTGGCCTCTTGATGCCGAGGGCGAACATTTTGTATGAAGTTGCTGAGATTAGCAGCGGCGTCCGCCCCAGCAGCTAGCGTTTCCCCCACGTGCCGGCGATGTCGTCCTCCGACTCAATACTTGGCAGCTTGCTCAGGGCTTTTTGTAGCAAGTAACAGGAAACTCAGCTCTCGGGGCTGGAGCAGAGCCCGTGGGATTCACAGCCCCTGAGTGCAGGTGCAGGGTGGTGAGATGGCGGCACAGCTTGCTCAAGGCCCCAGAGCCTGGGGAGCCTGGTCTCTGGTCTCTCCCTCCTTCCGCAGAGGCCCCTCTGGCGGGTGCCTCGTCCGCCAGGCCCACCTGCATGGGGTGGAAGGGTGCACCTGGCGGAGACCCGTGGGGCCGTCCCTTCCCCGGCCGGAGCTCGCAGGGAGGCCCTGGCACCATGGGCTCTGGTGTGCCCAGGGGACAGGAGCTCTTACTGTCCAGGCCAAGGCACACAGACCCTTCAGCTCAGCCAGCGTCATATGAGGGAGGCAGCGGTGTCTCCAAGCCAAGGTGGGGTCTCTCACTGGAGAACAATGGGGGGATCTTGGCTGGTTCCCTGAACATGGGGTGCCAGAGCCAGGGATGCGGGTACCGTGGAGAACTGAGCTTCTGCAGCTGCTGCGACCTTGCCCAGCCCTCGCACCCTCTTCCTTAGGGACCCCACCCTTTGGGAAAACACCCACCCCTGCTCCACCGCACGCCGGGGGGCAGCCTCCACGTGGAATCAGCACGCCTGCGGACCAGCCAGCCGGCCAGGACAGGGAATGAGGCGATACTCCAGTGACAGATCCCATGAGCACGGGGACCACAGAGCTGCCGGCCTTTCCCGCCTGGGGAGGGAAAAGCTCGTAGGACCCGGCGCTGGGGAGCTCGTGGACCCCTTCGAGTCTGGAGCTGGGCCACGGGCTCCTGCCCTTGATTGCATGACACCCTTCTAGCACATTCCTCCTTTCGCCAAAGTGAGTTCAGATAGATTTTCTGTCACTTGCAACCAAAGCAAACCTGAAAAATGCAGCGTTGTCTGGAGCCTGAGTCGCTTCCTTCTCCTTTGTGAGGAACTTCAGGTTTATCCGAAGTGACTTAGACACGACCAGGCTCCAGCCTCCCGCGTGGTTTGAAGCCAGGCCCAGGCCCAGGGACTCCTGAGGTCTGGTCTCAGTGGTGCTGTCGCGGCCTCCAGACCCTCCCACCCTGAGCCCACCAGTCCCCACCCATTGAAGTGGCGGCCAGTGGAAAACCACAGAGGCGGCAGCCCTCAGTCCGTCTCACGTAAACTTCTTCAGTTGCTTCAGGAAGCACAGCAACTGAAGTCTAACGTATCCTCACCAGGGGCAGATACTGTCGGAATGTCCCCTCTTCTCCTGAGTATTCAAAAGCAGATGGAAGCCGGTGCCGCCCCCCGCCCCTACCACCTCAGAGACTCTGGAGTCCCCACTGCTCAGGGCTCCAAGTCCCCTGTACCCACCAGGGCCTTCTCCAACCCAGCTGAGGTTCTGAGACAGGTGTGGCTGCCTTTGACAGACATGGGGATTGGGTTGCAATCTGGGCGGTGGCCCCACATGCAGAACATCCGCTTTGGGAGTAGATTTGGGAGTGCTATCTGTTCTGCAGCCCCCCAGTGGGGCAGCTCCCTCCTCCATCCATGCGTGAGCCAGCCCTGGTGCGAATCCACCCAAGACCCCTGCCCGGCCCCAGCAGAAGGACAGTCTTGGCCCAACCTCATCTCTGCCGGGCCCCAAACTGTGCGGGAGGCTGGAGCCTGGTCGTGTCTAAGTCACTTCGGATAAACCTGAAGTTCCTCACAAAGGAGAAGGAAGCGACTCGGGCTCCAGACAACGCTGCATTTTTCAGGTTTGCTTTGGTTGCAAGTGACAGAAAATCTACCTGAACTCACTTTGGCGAAACGAGGAATGCACTTGGGCCCAGGCAGGGCTCCAGATGCTGCCCGGCTGAGTGTGCCCGTTTCACACCCTGTGCAGAAGAAGGGATGCTGGCGGCTTGACGTGAGCTCTGCCATCATCCTCCCCTCCTTCTGGGTTCCTGGGAGGCACCTGAGTCGGAGGAGGGAGGCAGCAGCTTCCTGGCCCTGCAGAGAGTGACTCACGCAGCTCGGCGGGGGACGCACCCGCCTCCGAGGAGCTGGCTCCGCCGTCCCAGCCCCACCATCTGGCGCTTCTGACTCGGATCTGTTGGTGTTTACTTCCTGAAACTTTGCATTCCCAGGGTCTGTGCCCGGGAGCAACTGTGTGTGGAGGATCACACTTCCTTTCATATGTTCCAGCGACACAGAACAGCTTGCTTTCAGGCCGTTGCAAAACACAAACCAGAAAAAGAAAAAGAGTCTTCCAAGCCCTCTTCCCATGAAGGCAGAAAGCCGAGACACTCGGGGCAAAAAGCCGAGACACTCAGGGGGCAAAAAGCCGAGACACTCGGGGGGCAGAAAGTGCTCTGCGAGGTGGGGCACCTATGGCAGGTGTGGTCCTGGGAATGCCAGGCAGGTGCAGGGCAGGTAGCAGGTGCAGAACCTTCCATGTAGCGTGAGCCAGGCCCAGGCTGGCAGAGCCCACTCCTGGAACCCCCACGGCCGTCGGACTTGGGTCCCTGCTCCGTGCATCTGGGTAGCCCAGACCTCCTGGAATTCTTGAGGCAGGGTGAGCTGGGGTGAGTGTGGGAAAGAATCAACTCTCGTGCAGAAGAAACACTACGCAGGAGCCCATGGGAACCAAATGAACGGGGGATTCGAGGCCTTCAGCGCAAGTAGAGGACGTGGCAATGGTCACGGCTCCCTCTGGCCCCATGCGCTGTCAGGGTGTTGGTGAGTGGTAGGAACCCACCTGAACCTGCCTAATTAGGAGGCGCGTATAAACCCTCAAGATCTAACTCTGGGGAGATGGCAGTGGAAGCTGGAAGCTCGCGTCCCACCTGGCTGCTCTCTCCCTTTGCCAGCCCCATCCGCTCCCTGCTGCCTCTGTGCCCTGCTGCAGGAATTGCGGCTGCAGGAAGCCCCCCGCCCTGCGCTCAGTGAGGGGACCTCTGTGGCACCGTCTGAGGGCCGTCCTCCCACACCCACCCACCTGCTCTTCACCTTCCTGGCAGTGATGTGGCCCAGGCACGGGGCTCCCAGAATGAAGACAGCATTTCCACCCTCCCGTGCAGCGAGGGGTGGCTGTGTGACTGCACCCAGCCATCGGACTTGAGGAGTGGGAGGAGGCTGCCGGCGATGCTGGCTCTGGCTGGAGCCACCAGGGGGGAGCCGCCCAGACGCGTCCACGGGCAGCCGGGAGAGCTGGGTGCAGGCGGCAGGGGCTGGTGCCATACAGAGCAGAGCCCCCACGTGGCCACAGAGATGACGGCTGCCTGGGAATCTGTATTTTAACCAAATCGTCTCTGGTTCCAAGGGAAGAGGCCCCAGAGGGCACTGACTGGCCTCGCTTGGGTTGGCGCCCTGTGAGGTCAGGCCCCATGGTCAGGAACTCAACGTGGTCCCTCAGAGCAGCAACAGCAAGGGGACTGCACAGTGGAGGCTGCGCAGCGTGGGGCGGACTTGGCGAGGAGGCTCTCGGGCAAGTTTCTGGCCTGAGAAATGGAGAAGCTGGAGAAATGGTCATCTTAGTCTTCATCCCCCTCCACGCTCACAGCAGCCAAGGCCTCCAGGCTCTGGACTGAACCTGGCCGCACCTGCAACCCCTCTCTCTGGGAGCTCCGTCCCGCACTGCCTGCCTCATGCAGGGCCCGGCTGTCTACGGGGATGTTTGGGGGAAGCTGCCAGGTTTCGCATCACCCCTGAGTGAGCCAGGGATGCTTCGTCTATAGTAGGAGCCACGGGAGGCAGGTGGTCAGCCCAGGTGTGGCCGTCAGGCACTGAAACCCACTGTGTTCCCTCAGGGTCTCTGTCCCTGCCCCCAGCAGCAGAACCGCATCCATCCTGTGGCCTCCACAGCCGCCTCTGAGAGTCTCATGGACGTGGACAGCAGCTTGTCCTCAGCCTCCACAGCCACCTCTGCAAGTTCCGTGGACGTGGACAGCAGCCACCTCTGTGAGTCCCGTGGACGTGGACAGCAGCCGTCTCTGTGAGTCCCGTGGACGTGGACAGCAGCCATCTCTGTGAGTCCCGTGCACGTGGACAGCAGCCGCCTCTGTGAGTCTCATCTGCGAGTCCTGTGGATGTGGACAGCAGCCGCCTCTGCGAGTCCCGTGGACGTGGACAGCAGCCGTCTCTGCGAGTCCCGTGGATGTGGACAGCAGCCGCCTCTGCGAGTCCCGTGGACGTGGACAGCAGCCGCCTCTGTGAGTCCCGTGGACGTGGACAGCAGCCGCCTCTGTGAGTCCCGTGGACGTGGACAGCAGCCGCCTCTGTGAGTCTCATCTGCGAGTCCCGTGGATGTGGACAGCAGCCGCCTCTGCGAGTCCCGTGGACGTGGACAGCAGCCGTCTCTGCGAGTCCCGTGGATGTGGACAGCAGCCGCCTCTGTGAGTCCCGTGGATGTGGACAGCAGCCGCCTCTGTGAGTCCCGTGGACGTGGACAGCAGCCGTCTCTGTGAGTCCCGTGGATGTGGACAGCAGCCGCCTCTGTGAGTCTCATCTGCGAGTCCCGTGGACGTGGACAGCAGCCGCCTCTGCGAGTCCCGTGGACGTGGACAGCAGCCGCCTCTGCGAGTCCCGTGGACGTGGACAGCAGCCGCCTCTGCGAGTCCCGTGGACGTGGACAGCAGCCGCCTCTGCGAGTCCCGTGGACGTGGACAGCAGCCGCCTCTGTGAGTCTCGTGGACATGGACAGCAGCTCGTTCTCGGCCCAGTGTGCTCAGGCTTCACTGTCATGGGTGGACGTGGGCCCTGTGCAGCCTCACACTCAGCTGCCCTCACCCTAAGCCCCCTCTGTCCTCGAGGGACCCCCAACAGTCCTAGCGGCCTCTGCAGCTTTGGGAATAAAGGCCTGCCCTCGCCTGTATCCATGAAGCCCCTGCCACATCTGCGGCTCACAGCCTCCTTCTCCCCCCCGTCTCACCACGTTCTAACCTCTGGTCCTCTCCGAGTTTCTCGGACGGGCCAGTCCCTCTCCCCCCTTGGGGTTTGCTGTCCCCTCCATCGGGGTCACTGCCCTCATCTTCCCAACCTCAGCCCCCACCCCAGGATGGGTCAGGATGGCCTGGCTTTCTCTTGGCCACCGTGTTCCTTCTTTCACACTCAGCTGAGTTTGCAGAAATGCCATGGTGTGATGACGTGATTCACGTCTGTCTTTCCGTCTAGACTGGAAACCCCCTGGGGGACTGAGATGTACGTCAACCATGGTGTCCCCAGAGGAGAAGGGCCGTCAACCAGGGTGTCCCCAGAGGAGAAGGGCCGTCAACCACAGTGTCCCCAGAGGAGAAGGGCGGCCAGGTCCCCTGGGGACTGAGATGTGTGTCAACCACGGTGTCTTCAGAGGAGAAGGGCGGCCGGGTCCCCGGAGGACACGGGTAATGCAGAGGCATCTCCCCAGCTCGCCCAGAAACTGGTCCAGCACCATGATCTGCACCCACATCAGAGGCACGTGGGGTAGGGAGTACAGTGCTGCCCGGAGCTCCATCCACAGCCTGCTCTGGGCTGGGTGTACGGCTGTTTTCCATTCAACCCAAATGGACCCTCGGAGGAGCCAGAAGGCCGGACTTGAGGAGGATTTGTCAGACCAGACAGCTTTAGTGTCACCTAAGACAAAGTACTTTATTTGTTTCCATTATCTTTGAGCTTTTGTCCTTCTGGCTATTGATCTTCCCTTGTAATGAAGCCCATAATTAAGCTACTAGGATGCTGCGGCCAGGCTTAATGAACAGACTACTGCACAGCTCAGCCAAGGAGCCCACTGCATGAAGGAGACACACCGCCACCTCCATTTCCTGACTGTCTGTGACCCGTGTGGTCTGAAGGACAAAGGCGGGAAGGGCTGGGATGCAGAGGGGCCCTCGGGGCCTCCCTGGGATGTCCTCATCGGCCTCAGGCAGGAGCCACCCCCATCCCAGAGCCAGACACACAGAAGGGCCTGGCCCCACCCCTCCCGAGCTTATGGAAAGGGGAGATTTGGACGTAGAGGTTGGTGCAGGGAGATGGAGATGGCCCAGGAGGGAGGCCTGGGGCAGACTCCCCACCCCGACAGCCTCCGAGGAACCAGTGACACCTTGATCGTGGCTTTGCTGCCTCCGGAACGGTGAGAAAATACGTCTGCGTGAATGGCAGCCTGTAATCATCCTCACGGCCTCCACAGAAAGGGGGTCCTGCCACAGCTGACACTGGGAACACGCTGCGCCACGGCCTCCGACGCGCTGGCCTCAGGAGGGAAAGGTGTAGAGCAGGTGCAGGGAACGCGCTGGAAGGGGCTGCACAGCCCTGGGGGTCAGGCTGGGCCAGGGCTGGGGGGGTGGCGGGGATGCCACAGCTGGAATGCCACAATGGCCACGCAGTTCCCGGCCCGATGCTCCCTCCTTCCACAGCGCCCTCCACAGCCCCTCCGCGGCGTTTCTTGGGATGGGCGGCCTCTGTGATGCCCTGAGCGGCTGGGATTCTGAGGAAGCGCCGGAGATGCTCCCAGCATGACCTTCCCCACCCTCCCTCCTAGTCCCAGCTACACACACGCCACCTCTCCCCACGAGGCGTTCTGAAGGCCGTGCTCCCCAAGGCGGCCCTGTTGGACCGTTGCCGGGCCTTTGGGCACCCACATCTCACATTTGCAAGCCCACAGCTACAGAGGCTTCCCTCCGCCCCACGGGGAGACCTGGGCACCCCCCACTGCGACACGACCTTCTGTGTAGCGGGCGTCGGGTCACTCAGTGTGCGGGTGAAGGCAGCCCAGGGGAGAGGAGCCAGCAGGGAGCTTGGCCAGGTGGGAACAGGTCCGGGCGGGGCTGCGTGGGTTGGGCCAAAGTCCAGACCTGAGCTGTCCCCAGGACACAGCCCAGGAGAGCAGCTTGTGCAGTGAACCCACCCCAGGCAGCGGGGACGCTCCGCCGCCCGCACCAGCGGCCCGCACACTCACGCCTCGCTGTGCTGTCTGCGCCCTCCATCACCCACACCAGCGGCCCGCACACTCACGCCTCGCTGTGCTGTCTGCCCTCCATCACCCACACCAGCGGCCCGCACACTCACGCCTCGCTGTGCTGTCTGCCCTCCATCACCCGCACCAGCGGCCCGCACACTCACGCCTCGCTGTGCTGTCTGCCCTCCATCACCCACACCAGCGGCCCGCACACTCACGCCTCGCTGTGCTGTCTGCGCCCTCCATCACCCACACCAGCGGCCCGCACACTCACGCCTCGCTGTGCTGTCTGCGCCCTCCGCCCGCACCAATGGCCCGCACACTCACGCCTCGCTGTGCTGTCTGCCCTCCATCACCCGCACCAGCGGCCCGCACACTCACGCCTCGCTGTGCTGTCTGCCCTCCATCACCCGCACCAGCGGCCCGCACACTCACGCCTCGCTGTGCTGTCTGCCCTCCATCACCCGCACCAGCGGCCCGCACACTCACGCCTCGCTGTGCTGTCTGCGCCCTCCGCCCGCACCAATGGCCCGCACACTCACGCCTCGCTGTGCTGTCTGCCCTCCATCACCCGCACCAGCGGCCCGCACACTCACGCCTCGCTGTGCTGTCTGCCCTCCATCACCCGCACCAGCGGCCCGCACACTCACGCCTCGCTGTGCTGTCTGCCCTCCATCACCCGCACCAGCGGCCCGCACACTCACGCCTCGCTGTGCTGTCTGCCCTCCATCACCCGCACCAGCGGCCCGCACACTCACGCCTCGCTGTGCTGTCTGCCCTCCATCACCCGCACCAGCGGCCCGCACACTCACACCTCGCTGTGCTGTCTGCGCTCTGCAGATTCTTCAAGGGTTCCGGAGCTTTCCGCAGGAAGAGGCAGCACATCAGTCTAAGGTGCGACTGCAAATTACAAGGTAAATACATGACCGCTTTCCTCCTCAAATTATGGGTAATTACACCTGGACTAAGTGTAATAATTACAGACAAAACGCTGAGGATGTGAACCCCACTCCTTTGAGAGCTCAGACTGGGACCAGTCCCGTGTGCTGTCCAATGCGGGCTCTGCTCCCTGGGGAGAATTCACACCAGGACCAGTCACACATGATGTCCAATGCCAGCTCCACTCCCCAGGGAATGAGGTTAGTGGATTGATGCCTCAGTTTCCTTTTCTGTAGAATGTCTGCAATAATCCAAGCTTCCTCGAGGTGGGTGGTGAGGATTAAATAAATGCAGAGCTGGTACCCACACAGAGGACTCTGGGAGCATTGAAACGCCGCTGTGTGATGCACGATGGATGCCCGTCGTTACGTGTCTTCACACGATCGCGTGTCATTATGCATTTGTCAAAACCCACAGGATGTGCAGCACGGGGGCCCCGACACGAATGTGGACTTTAGTTACTGAACGCGTGTGATGGCCCGCCTGTGGTAAGAGGTGCGCCTCGCCAGCATAACGTGTTAATTACAGGGGACGCTGGCGGTGGGGGAGGGGCTCTGCACTTTCTGCTCGATTTCCTGTAACCTAAACCGCTCTAAAAAACAAACACGTGTCATAACTTTTTTAATGAACTCAAAATGGCCATTTTCACTTGTGTGCAGCCGCCTTCTCCACCCGGGCGTGTCTCGTGCCCTCCCTGCCTGGCCCTTGTGATGGAGGGCTGGGCAGCTTGACCTCTTGACCTCTTGACCTCTTGGCCCCTTGCTCCCTTGGTCCCTTGACCTCTTGACCTGTCCCCTCTGCTCTGTTCTCTCCCCGGGCTGTGGCAGTAGCCATCAGCAGTCCACTGGGCCCACCCTCCCCTTTGCTTCCTAGCAGATCCGATTTGGTGTGGAGTTTAGCAGGACAGCTTTAGAAACCACACTCCCCAGATGCCCTTGCAGTGACGTGTGACCTTGTGTCGACGCATGACCTCGTGTCAAGTCCCTGGGGATTTCTGGGAGAGGCTCAGGCTTTCTGACTTAGCCATTGCCCCGTTCCCTCTCCCTGTTGGAATGTGGGTGTGATGCTTGGAGGGGTGGCAGCCACTTTGTGGCCGTGAGGTCAAGCGACAGATGGTCGGGCGGGGGTGAGTCTGAGATCCCACTGACGTCCTCAGGAGTTGCTTCTTCCCAACGCTGCCTCTCTGTCCCCCTGTTTGTTTAAATTGCCAAAGTTGGGCTTCTGTTAGATGCAGTTGACCATAATCCCAAATGATGGGTGCTGCTTTGGGGACCAGCCCCCACAGGTCCACGAGGTGCATTACGTGGGCAGATCTCCCTGTCCCCATGCTGTGGCCTCAGTGTCCCAGTTCCTGGCCAGCAGCCAGATCAGTGACAAAGGACCCAATGACTCAGACTCCAGCCATACCTGAGCCACCGTCAGGACAGGCTTTGGCCAGGATGGAGAGGAAGGAGCCACCCGTTGCAGCCTGGCCTGGAAACTGCCCGGCTCAGCCCGAGGCCACCATCTCTGCTCATCCAAGAGGCATTCAGGGGTCGGGAGGTCCACAGAGTGGGAGAGGGTCCCACGTCTCAGAGCGGCGCCTGGCACCACCAGGCTCATCCTTGCCTCGGGCAATGGGGCAGGGTGAGCGGCTTCTGTGGCCACCACATCTGTGCAAATGGTGCCCACAGACGGAATTCAGGCCACTTCCTCTTAATTTGCTTAATTTAAACAAGAGGGAACCTTTGTATTTCTCTACATGTGTGCCTCTCAGCCTCCTGCTGGCCCAGAAGCCCAGTGACATCACAAGTTCCTGGCTCAGCTGCCTCCCTTGTTGTCAGATGAAATCTCTTTTTCCAAAGCAGCTCATGGGGGTGCTTTGACCTTGAGCCTTTGAGGCCAGTTCTGCAAAGAGGACTTCCAAAAACAGTGGCCAGTGAGGAACTAGGCTCAGAAGGTACCGTTGGCAGGGGTGAGGCCCTCCTACCTTCTTCCGCAGCAGGCAGGGACAGGGGCGGCGTCCAGGATCACTCACAGGCAGGGACGAGGGCAGTGTCCAGGGTCACTCACAGGCGGGGGCGAGGGCAGTGTCCAGGGTCACTCACAGGCGGGGACGAGGGCAGTGTCCAGGGCCACTCACAGGCGGGGGCGAGGGCAGTGTCCAGGGCCACTCACAGGCGGGGGCGAGGGCAGTGTCCAGGGTCACTCACAGGCGGGGGCGAGGGCAGTGTCCAGGGTCACTCACAGGCGGGGGCGAGGGCAGTGTCCAGGGTCACTCACAGGCGGGGGCGAGGGCAGTGTCCAGGGTCACTCACAGGCGGGGGCGAGGGCAGTGTCCAGGGTCACTCACAGGCGGGGGCGAGGGCAGTGTCCAGGGCCACTCACAGGCGGGGGCGAGGGCAGTGTCCAGGGTCACTCACAGGCTGAGGACAAGGCGGTGTCCAGGGTCACTCACAGGCTGAGGACAAGGCGGTGTCCAGGGTCACTCACAGGCTGAGGACAAGGCGGTGTCCAGGGTCACTCACAGGCTGAGGACAAGGTGGTGTCCAGGGTCACTCACAGGCAGTGGCATAGCCAAACCCTAATGCCAGGAGCTGTTAGGACTGAGGGAAGAATTTGCAAGTGAGTCTGTGGAGGGGCCCAGAAAGCCTCCGGCAGTGCCTGGGATTCCACCGTGTTTGCCGTATTCTTTGTGGATGCCCAAAGCATTGCCTGCAAAGGCTGAGATATGGGTCTTGTGCCAGCCACTCCTGGAGAGGGAGGAAGGAGAGCTCTGGCTTTGTTTGCTGAGGCCCATGGCACCTTGACCGAAAAGCCGACCCAGGCACCACACGGCCATTCTCCCTTTAGATAATAAGCCTCAGTTCCCAGTTTCTGGCTCGGGTGCCACGCAGCCACGCACCACGTAAATAATAAGCCTCAGCCCTGGGTTTCTGGCCCAGGTGCCACGTGGCCACGCGCCCTGTAGATAAGAAGCCTCAGCTCTGGGTTTCTGGCCCAGGTGCCACGGAGCCACGCGCCCTGTAGATAATAACCCTTAGCTCTGGGTTTCTAGCCCAGGTGCCACGCGGCCACGCGCCCTGTAGATAAGAAGCCTCAGCTCTGGGTTTCTGGCCCAGGTGCCACGGAGCCACGCGCCCTGTAGATAATAACCCTTAGCTCTGGGTTTCTGGCCCAGGTGCCACGCGGCCACGCGCCCTGTAGATAAGAAGCCTCAGCTCTGGGTTTCTGGCCCAGGTGCCACGGAGCCACGCGCCCTGTAGATAATAACCCTTAGCTCTGGGTTTCTAGCCCAGGTGCCACGCGGCCATGTGCCCTGTAGATAATAAGCCTCAGCCCTGGGTTTCTGGCCCAGGTGCCACGTGGCCACGCGCCCTGTAGATAATAACCCTTAGCTCTGGGTTTCTAGCCCAGGTGCCACGCGGCCATGTGCCCTGTAGATAAGAAGTCTCGGCTCTGGGCTGAGTGTAAAAATCACCGATGAATGCTCGGTCCCTGCACCCGTCCGGATGCTATCAGCTGTAACAGAAAACCCAGCTGAAAAGCAACTGAAAGGATAAGAGGCAGCTCATTCCTCATAGGGACTCCATGGCAGCTGCCCACCCCACAGCCCCCTCCTGTGTCACCATCCCAGAGCCCCAGGACCCAGCCCTTCCTCGTGTTCCTTTGTGAGAGTGAGGACAACTCCCTGCAGCCCCTCAGACCCTCCCAGGGTCCCGCTGTCAGGGCGGCCTGGCTGGTTCAGGTCTCTCCAACCATGGTAAGGCTGACTGAATTCCACCGTGGGCTGAGGCCAATGGGGCGTCACGCAGGGGCTGGGGAGGGGCCGCCTTCCCTAAGCACACGGCTGCTGCCCGGAGCCTGAACAAATCTGGCCTTGGTGAGCCAGGGAGGGGTTGCCTAGGCAACCAGCAGTGTCGGCCCCTTCTCAAGCAACTGCTGCTCTGCTTGGCTGGACACAGCCTCACAGGTGCGAGAGCAGGAGGGAATCGCCCCGTGGAAGGGGACTGGGCGAGCCTGTAGTTGTGCCATGAGGGCAGGTGCCTTCCTGGGCACCCAGGGCCAAGCCCCGCCAGCCAGCACTGCTACCAGGCACTCTTTCCATCTCAAACACCAGAATCTGCACAAGCTCCTGGTGGCAGGCCCCGGGGGGTGGCGTCCACTTTCCCTGGATGCCCAGCACACTCAATTTCCACCATCTGCGACCAAGAAGAATGAGGGCAGGACATCCTGTTTGTTCACCCTGGTCTGCCCAGGAATACAGCAAGGAGTGATTAGAGAAGAGTTTGCTTGTAAATACCCACTGAACAGGTGCACACATGCACACTCACGCATATCCACGCACACACACTCATGCAACACACAATGCATGCACACGTGTGCACGCACACACATGCCTACATATATGAGCACAGGCCTGCATGCGTATCCTTGTACACATACCTGTAAACAGCTCATGCACCACACCACATTTAGATCCAGCCCCACAAAAGAAGAAGCTGATTTATGTGTCCAATTATAAATATAATTACATCTCTGACGCCATTAGCACGGCCATTCTGTGAATGCACAGCGCACCGCATGGCAGGCAGGGATGAGGTTCATGAGCGCAGATGAACCAGCACTGGGAATTTTAATTTTTATTTTACTTGAAATTCAACACCAGATATAACAGCGACGCCTGGATGGAACGCGCTTCCACATTCCATCACAACAGAAGCGATCATTTTTAGCAGACGCCCCGTAGGCGGCAGGCCCAAAGGTTGTGCAACTGAGGGAGGGGAAAGAGGCCACAAGCCCAGTCCTCCGGCACAGCCCCTGGCGGGAGATCCTAGGAACGCAGAGGGAAGTTGTCAGACCCAGGGCAAAGGCGGGAGCGGACAGGCTGAGCAATGGTCGAGAGATGTTTCTGGACTTGGCCGCATCCACCAGCTCCCAGCAGAGGGAGGAGGAGGAGCTGAGCCTCTCGGGCACCACCCCAGGATGCCTAGAACCGTGTCCCGTGGCTCAACAGAGTGGACTCCAGGAGTCAGGGCCACGGCCATGAGGTCTCATCGAGGTCTCAGCCCTCCTCAGAGCAGCCATGACCTCCGACCCCACAGCCCCCCACCTTCCCACTCCCTGTTCTCCCGTCACGGGGTTGCTCTGTTTCCTGCCTGAGTTCTGGGGTGACAAGGACAGGAGGGGATGCTGTGTCAGCACGCAAGCCCTTTACTCCATTCTCCCCGGTCACAGCAGAGAAAACCGACCAGGCGTTGGGAGAAACAGCAATGCCCAGCGACTCCCAGTGACCCCAGCAACGCCCAGAGACCCCCAGCGACTCCCAGTGACCCCAGCAACGCCCAGAGACCCCCAGCGACCCCAGCGACCCCCAGTGACCCCGAGCACGGACCCGGCACGGCTCTTCCATCCACCGCTGGCTTTGTCTGCTCAGCACCCGTCTCTCCTCTCTTGGAAACTAAACTCGATTCTAGATTTCCCTCCCTAGAATCTATCCCTCCCTCCTCAGCCCTCGATTTCAGTATAAGATGGTTAATTTTAGATGTCAATTTGGCCAGGCCATGGTTTTTGGCTAAGACCAGTCTAAATGTTATGAAGGTAAGTTTTAGATGCAATTAATTTTTTTTTTTTTTTTTGAGATGGAGTCTTGCTCTGTCACCCAGGCTGGAGGGCAATAGCACAGTCTTGGCTCACTGCAGCCTCCACCTCCCAGGTTCAAGCAATTCTTCTGCCTCAGCCTCCTGAGTAGCTGGGTTTACAGGCGCCCACCACCACACCCAGATAATTTTTTGTATTTTTGGTAGAGACGGGGTTTCACTATTTGGCCAGGATGGTCTCGATCTTTTGACCTTGTGATCTGCCCACCTCGGCCTCCTAAAGTGCCGGGATAACAGGCGTGAGCCACCGCACCCGGCAGCAATTAATTATTTTTAATTGTGGCAAAACATGCGTGACATAAGGTTTGCAGTTTTAACCATTTTTAACCATTCTTAAAACTGCATCTTCAGCAGCAGGAGGCACATTCACGTTGCTGTGCAGCCATCACCAGCACCCACCTCCAGAACCTTCCCATCTTCCCAAACGGAAACCCTGTCCCCATGAAGCGCAAACTCCCCACTGCCCTCCCCCGGCTCTGGCAACCTCTGTTCTACTTTCTCTAAATCTGATGACTCTGGGGACCTCATGTAAGTGGAATCACTGGCTCAGTTCACTTCGCCTAACGTCCTTGAGGTCCATCCACCTTGCAGCCTGCATTAGAATTTCCTTCCTTTTTAAGGCGGAATAATGTCCCATTGTATGGGTAGACTGCATTGTGTTTATCTGTTCACGTCAATGGACATCTGGGCTGTGTTCACCTGTTGTCTGTTGTGAATAATGTTGTATGAACATGGCCGTGCAAATATCTCTTTGAGACCTTGCCTTCAATTTTTTTTTTCTTGAGACAGAGACTTGCTCTGTTGCCCAGGCTGGAGTGCAGTGGTGTGATCTCAGATCACTGCAACCTCCGCCTCCCGGGTTCAAGCCATTCTCCTGCCTCAGCCTCCTGAGTAGCTGGGATTACAGGAGCCCGCCACCATGACCGGCTAATTTTTTTGTATTTTTATAGAGACGGGGTTTCACCATGTTGGCCAGGCTAGTCTCGAACTCCTGACCTCAGGTGATCCGCCCGCCTCGGCCTCTCACGGTGCTGGGATTACAGGCGTGAGCCTCCGCACCCGGCCGTTGCCTTTAACTATTTAGGGTGTCTACCCAGAGAGGAATTGCTGATCCTACAGTAGCTCTAGTTTTAATTTTTCGAGGACCTTCCACACTCTCTTCCGCAGTAGCTACGCCACTCTCCTTCCCACCAGCAACGCACGAGGATTCCAGCTTCTCCGCATCTTCACCAGCACTTGTACTTCCTGGTTTTCGGCAGTCATCTGACTAGGTGTGCGAGGTGGTTTCTCACTGCGGTTTGATCTGCACGCCCCTAACGATGAGTGATGTGGAGCATCTTTCCATGGGTTTGTTGGCTTTGCAGAGCTTCTTTGGAGAAGATGTCTATGTCTCCATTTCCTCTTTGGAGTAATTTGTATTTTCCCAATTTTTAAATGTTTTGACATAGAATAATTGTATAATATTCAAGGGTTACATAGTGCTCTTTTGATACATATAACCCACACTGATCAGATTAATTAGCATATCCATTGTTGAATCAAGTTTGGCCTAAAGCTGCAACCTTACACATTTTAAGTTCGGCCTGAAGGTTTCTCCGTACATGGTGAACTGTAGCCTACATGGAGGTGCAAACAGACCGTCACCTACTCTCATGCCAATCACTGAGCTTTGGCCAGTCGCAGGTGGTCAACTGTTCAAACCGTGTTCAAATAAGACAAATGCCGAGCTGCCGCCAATCCAGCCATTTCTGTCCCTCGCTTCTGTTTTCTGTACATCACTTGCCTTTTCCCGTCCATAAATCTTCTTCTGCCACGTGGCTGCGCGGGAGTCTCCATACCTACTCTATTTGCAAATTGTTCTTTGCTCAATTACACTCTTTTAGATTTAATTTGGCTGAAGTTTCTTTTTTTAAACACCATTGTCTCAAACACTTATCATTTATTTCTGTTAGGAACATTAAATGTCCTTCCAGCTGTTTGAAACTATATAACATATGAACTCTGGTCATCCTGTAGTGCCATAGACACTCACACCTCCCCCCCACTGACTGGTAATTTTGTTTCCTTTAACAAATCTTTCCCTCTCCTTTCCCCTCCCCTTCCCACCATCCAGTATGTTCTGTTCTAATTTTTACTTCTTTGAGGTCAACATTTTTTAGCTTCCCCATGTGAGAACATGTGATATTTGTCTTTCTGTTCCTGGCTTATTTCATTTAACCTAATGTCCTCCAGTTCCATCCATGTTGCCACCAGTGACAGGACTCATTGTTTTTCATGGCTGAATAGTATTCTGCGGTGTGTGTGCCACACTTTCTTCATCAGTCATCTGCTGTCGGACACCCAGGTTGGTTCCATATCGTGGCTGCTGTGAATGGTGCCGCAGTCAACACAGGGTGAGGATGTCTCTCTGATGCACTGACTTCCTTCCCTTTGGATAAACACCTAGAAGTGGTTTCTGGATCGTGTCTGCAGTTTGTTTCCCGAGTAGCCTCCGTGCTGTTCTCCACAGCAGCTGTGTTCGTTCACCTTCCCACCAACAGGGCGGATTCCCTTTTCTCTGCATCCCTGCCAGCATTTGTTACTTCTTGTCGTTTTGATAATAGACCAGTTCTGACTGGTATAAGATGGTATCTCCTCATGGTTTTGATTTGCAGTTCCCTGATGGTTAGTGATGTTGAGCATTTTTTTATAGATCTGTTGACCATTTGCATGTCTTCTTTTGAGAAATATCTGTTCAGATCATTCGCCAATGTTTAAATCAAATTGTTGCTGTTTAATCTGGTTTTTTGCTGTTGAGTTGTTTGAGTTTCTTGTATGTTCTGGACATTAGCCCCTTGTCAGATGAGTAGTTGGCAAATATCTTCTCCCATTTGGTAGGTTGGCTTTTCACTCTCTTGATTGTTTCCCTCACTGTGCAGAAGCTTTTTAGTTTGACACAAACTCCCTCGCTGTGCAGAAGCTTTTTAGTTTGACATAAACTCCATGTGTTTATTTTTGCTTGTGTTGCCTGTGCTTTTGTGATCTTACTGATAAAATATTTTCCGGGCCAATGTCCTAAGGCATTCCCCCTTTGTTTCGTACTTTTGGGTCTTCTACTTATGTTTTTTATCCGTTTTGAGTTGATTTTTGTGTAGGGTGAGAGGTGGGGGTCTAGCTTCATTCTTCTGCACATGGATATCCAGGTTTTCCAGCACCTTTTATTGAAGAGGCTGTCCTTTCCCCCAATGGGTGCTCTTAGCACCTTTGTTAAAAATCAGTTAGTGCTAGATAGAGGGATTAATTTCTAGGTTATCTACTCTGTTGCATTGGTCTATGTATCTGTTTTTTTAACGCCAGTACCATGCTGTTTTGGTTACCACAGCTTTGTCATATATTCTGAGGTCTGGTTATGTGATTCCTCCAGCAGGCTTTTTTTTTTTTTCTTTTTAGATGGAGTTTCACTCTGTGGCCCAGGCTGGAGTGCAGTGGCACAATCTCAGCTCACTGCAACCTCTGCCTCTTAGGTTCAAGTGATTCTCCTGCCTCAGCTTCCTGAGCAGCTAGAATTGCAGGTGTGTGCCACCACATCCAACTAATTTTTGTACCAGCTTTGTTCTTTTTGCTGGGAATTGCTTGGGCTATTCTGTGTCCTTTGTGGTTAAGAATGTTAATATTAAGATTATTAAGATCTTTTTAATGTTAAGATTTTTTTTTCTATTTCTGTGAATAATGTCATGGGTATTTTGATAGGAATTGCATTGAATCTGTAGACTGCTTTGGGTAGTATGGCCATTTTAACAATATTAATTCTGACCCATGAGCATGGGATGTCTTTCCATTTGTTTGTATCGTCTTCAATTTCTTTTACATGATTATAGAGACTGAGAAGTCCCACAGGCTGTCTGCACGCTGGAGAAACAAGGAAGCTGGTATCATGTCTCAGTCCAAGTCTGAAGTCCTCGGAACCGGGGAAGGTAATGGTGTGACTCTGAGTCCAAGGCTGAAGGCGTGAGAACAAGGGGTGGCGGATGCTGGCCAAGCCCTGGGGGCCAAAGGCCAGGGAACCTGGAGTTCTGGTCTCCAAGGGCAGGAGAAGAAGGGCATTCCTGGCTGAGCACGGTGGCTCACGCCTGTAATCCCAGCACTTCGGGAGGCCGAGACAGGCAGATCATGAGGTCAGGAGATTGAGACCACCCTGGCTAACACAGTGAAACCCCGTCTGTACTAAAAATACAAAAATCAGCGGGGCGTGGTGGCGGGTGCCTGTAGTCCCAGCTACTCAGGAGGCTGAGGCAGGAGAATGGCGTGAACCCGGGAGGCGGAGCTTGCAGTGAGCTGAGATCGCACCACCACACTCCAGCCTGGGCGACAGAGCAAGACTCTGTCTCTAAAAATAAAAAATAAAATAAGAAGGGCATTCCTGCTCCAGGAGAGAGAGAGAGAAAGAGAGGGTGAGAGAGAGAGAAAGAGAGGGCGAGAAAGAGAGACAGGAAGGAGGAGGCAGGGAGAGGAGGAGAGAGAGAGAGAGAGAGAGAGAGAGAGAGAGGGAATTCACCTTTCCTCCACCTTTTCGTTCTATCTGGGCCCCCAGCCGACTGGATGGGCTAGGGTGGAGCTTCTCCACTGGATGGGCGAGGGTGGAGCTTCTCCACTGGATGGGCGAGGGTGGAGCTTCTCCACTGGATGGGCGAGGGTGGAGCTTCTCCACTGGATGGGCGAGGGTGGAGCTTCTCCACTGGATGGGCGAGGGTGGAGCTTCTCCACTCTGTCCACCAACTCAGGCATCACGCAGACACATGCAGTAAGAATGCTTCACCAGCGTTCGAGGTATCCCTTAACCCAGGCAAGTTGATACCCAAAATTAACCATCACAGCCACTGAGGTTTGGCAGTAGCTTTTCCCTGCAGCGACCCCCAGCCTAGGTTGACTCGTACCCTGAAACAGCGAGGGAAGAGCTCCACATCCAGCAGGAGGAGACTGGCTGGATAAATGCGGTGTGTTTAAACAATGGCTACCCCTCCGGCATTTAAATCATGTTATAAAAAGTATAATGTATACAGAATCTATTACGTTTTTAAAATGTTACAAACTCATGCCCAGTATGTGCTCGGTTTTGTAAAATCGAGGCGAGTTATGTGGAATGCGTAACCGAAATGTAAAGTGTGATTTTCATGGAGCTACAGCTTTAGAGACAACACTTATTTTCTTTTTTATGCTTCAGTTTATTTTACAAGTTATCTACAATAAACATCAATTACTGACATAATCAGAAAAAGTTTGCTTTATTTTTCTACATGCGAAAGCACAAAGAACAATAAACATGTCACAGATGTGGCACATTTGCGCACAACCCCATTTTTAACACCGAGGACACCCCCGTCTCTCTGCTCTGCCCAGCCAGGTCCAGCGTCCTTGAGCCAAATCTCTGCAAATGTTCCAGTCAGGACAGATTAAGTTTCACCATAAACCAGCAGCTCATCTTTATTTCTAGGCAATTTATTTAAGAGCCTCCTAAAATCTACTAACTTCCAGGCCGAAAATCATTTAAAATCAAATGAGTTTCCTCGCCGATAAAACTTGAGATCATCCTTCAGCTTTGGAGATAATAGAACTGAGCGGTCATTTCCTCCCCGCGCTGAGGGAGCTGAGTGATGGAGAGGCGGCATAGGTCCTCCGAGGAGGCCCCGTGAGCCCCATGGCTGTTTCCCAACGCCAGCGGAAGAGGGAGGTTAGAGGCTCCCTCTGCTGTTATCCTGCGGGTGGAGGAAGCCCTGAGCATCCCCTCCAGCCCCTGAGGCCTGAGTCCTGGGGGGCCCCCCGCCCCCGCCAGCCCAGCCTGGCGTCAATCCCGCTTATGCATAGCCCAGACCACCCCCTGCCCAGCGAGCTCCCCTGAGGCTCTTCCTCGTGGCAAAAGAGATTCTCAGAGCCCTCTGCAGAGTGCCAAGTGCGCAGGGAAGTCACAGCTGACCCGTCACCCCAGCCCCAACTGCTCAGTGCCCCAGACCTCTCACTGCGTGTGGCCCAGGCCCTGCAGAGTCTGCCCCACCCCCTCCAGCCTCCTTTCACACTTCCTCACTGCATCAGTTTGCCTTTGTAGCAATAATGCTTAGAAACAAATCACCCGGAAACTCTGGTTTCAACCCGAGTATGTATTTAGCTCACAAGCCGCAGGTCAGGGGTCAGGCTGGGCTCAGCAGGTGGCTCTTCTGTCCTCGCCGGGGTCACTCGGGACTCACTCACTCGTCTAGGGCTGCTTGGCTCTCGGCTGCCATCAGGCAGCTCTGTCCCATCCCTCGAGTGTGTCTCATTCTCCACCGGGGAGCCTAGACACCGCTCGGAGAGGGTGACAGGAAGAGCCAGCAGGTGCCTTCCCAGCCTCCGCCCGTGTCCCATCCCACGGCCAGACACAGAACAAAGGAACGGGAAAGAGACTCTAGTAGGGTGAGCAGCTGAGTCACATCACGGGGGTGGGAGACAGGTGGGTGAGAGCCAGGGGGACGAAGCAACCCCTCCCTCAGCGCCTGGGCTGGGACCCAGTGGCCACTACTGACCGAGGCCCGCCCTCCTCACAGCTCAGCGGGCAGCGCCACTGGCCCAGGCGGCCTCACCTCCCTCCTCTCCAGCCACACCTGCACCCAGGACAGTCGTCCCCTCCAGAGAAGCCCCCAAGAGCACCGCAGCCTGAGTCACAGCCTTTGACACACTCTGACACTTTCCTTCCCACAGCTGTCACAGTTTGGGACAATAAATGATTCCCCAGTGCATCAGCCCAGGATGGAGGCCGCAGGTGGACAGAGACCTTGACCATTGCATTCCGCCAGGTTGGACCTCCTGGCCCAGGGTGTGGCATGGCAGGTGCTCAGTGGACCCTGGCCGGCAGAACAAACAGCAGAGGTGCCATGGGGATGGCCTGGGGGACAGAGCAACCGATGGAATGCAGGCGATTTGCTATACGTGATTTACTCCTCACCTGAGGGGGCCGAGCCGCGGCCCTGGCACTGCTCCCTCCCTCCCTGGTGGAGGGCCCTGTCCTGAGGGTGAGGCCAACGCCTGCCCTCCCCCCACCCACCCAGCCTGGCCCATAGGGTGCACTCACCTCACCCCATCATGAAGGACTCAGGTCCAGGCCCCTGCTCCTATCTCCAGCCCTGCTTGTGAATTCTGCACGGCAAAGAGAGGGCCCTTCCTGACAGCACGGGCTCAGCCTCCAGGAAAACATGCTTGGGAGAAACTGAGTGATGTGGATGAATCTCGCTAGGCAAATCGACCATGATTATTCACTACAGCACCCCAGAGCAGTGCCCTCTGGATTCTCATTGTCATTGTGATACGAAAATACATTATTTTTAAAGACTGTTGAGTGAGTCAAACCCCAGCACTCTCATTAATGTTCCCAGGCTCAGAGAAGCAAACCCTGGAGAGCTTCATCCCCCCAGCTCTGCCTGCCTGAGGCTTAGGAAACGGCCAGGACAGGGGAGAGCCTGGGGGATGCGGATGCTGTGGTTGGCTCTGTCTGGCAGCGGCAAAGGCTCCAGGACTCTGCACAGAGCCCCAGACCTGGGGCCTCCCCAAGGAGTGAGGGACACCCCTCCGATTTCGAGAAATAAAACCTGCAGGGAATTCACACTGTTGTGGGAGACCCAGAGCCCAGCGCCCCGGGCAGGGGCCATACCCAGCTGCGTGTAGCTGAAACCTGATGAAATAGCCGCCCCGGGCAGGATCACACCCGGCTGCGCGTAGCTGAAACCTGATGGAATGGCGGCTGAACACCTGCTCCTCAGAGTGTGGCCCCGACCAGCTGTGTCTGCATCACTCAAGAGGCCCTCGGGAATGCAGAGCCCCAGGCCCCTCCAGAGCTGCTGAGCCTGAATCTTACCAGCGTCTTGTGTGTTTTGTCACAGTCCCCAGAGGATCTCTACTCACAGCAAGAAGACCACGGGGAACCCTGCATGGCTCAAGGCCATCACAGCTGAGTTCTCTGCAAGACGATGCCGCTGGTCTCTTCCTCATGTTGCAGGACGCAGCCCCAGCCATCAAGGTGCCAACAGGAAGAAAGGGGGACAGGGGGCAGGGAGAGGGAGAGCATCTGAGGAGAAACGTCCCTTTAAATCCCCATAGACCAGAATCCGTCCCGTGGCCACATCTAACTGCAAGGGACATTTCCAGCTGGGCACACGGCTGCCCTGAACAGAAGCAAGGTTTGGTAAGAAGCGAGGTAGAGGGGAGTCGCTGTGTGGCAGGCAAGGTCTGCTACACCAATACGCAAAGGGTGCACATGGTGGTTCCCCACCACCCCACGCCCACAGGAGTCCCCACCTGAGGCCGGAAGAGGCGACCAGTCTGTGGCAGACACCCGGAGGGAGGAGTCCAGAGCCACCCACATGACACCAGAGCAAAGGGGGTATCTGGAAAATTACACTCCAAATGCCAAGGTCAAGATCACCTGGACACTACAGGGGGAGTGAGGAAAGAGAGATGGAGAGAGACAAAGAGAGAGACCGAGAGAGAGGGAGACCGAGAGACAGGTAGACAGAGAGAGAGGGAGGGAGACAGAGAGAGAGAGACTGAGAGAGAGGGAGACCGAGAGAGAGGAAGACAGAGAGAGAGGGAGGGAGACAGAGAGAGAGGAAGGGAGACGGAGAGAGAGGGAGACAGAGAGAGAGGGAGGGAGACAGAGAGGAAGGGAGACAGAGAGAGAGGAAGGGAGACAGAGAGAGAGAGAGAGAGAGACAGAGAGAGATACAGAGAGACAGAGAGAGAGGGAGAGAAGGGGGAGAGAGAAAGAGACAGAGAGGAAGAGAGAGACAGAGAGAGAGGGAGGGAGACAGAGAGAGGGAGGGAGACGAGAGGGAGGGAGACAGAGAGAGAGGGAGGGAGACAGAGAGAGAGAGAGAGAGACAGAGAGAGAGGGAGAGAGAGAGAGACCGAGAGAGAGGTAGACAGAGAGACAGGTAGACAGAGAGAGAGGGAGGGAGACAGAGAGGGAGAGAGACAGAGAGAGAGGGAGAGAAGGGGGGAGAGAGAAAGAGACAAAGAGGAAGAGAGAGACAGACAGAGAGAGACAGAGAGAGAGGGAGAGAGAGAGAGAGACAGAGACAGAGAGAGAGAAACAGAGAGAGAGAGAGAGAGAGAGACAGAGACAGAGAGAGAGGGAGACAGGGAGAGAGAGAGAGAGAGACAGACACAGAGAGAGGGAGAGAAGGGGGGAGAGAGAAAGAGCCAGAGAGGAAGAGAGAGACAGAGAGAGGGGGAGAAAGAGAGAAAAAAAACAGAGAGACAGAGAGAGACACAGAGACAAAGAGAGAAGGAGACGAGAGAGACAGAGACAAAGAAGAAGGAGACACAGAGAGAGGGACAGAGAGAGAGGGAGAGAAGGGGGAGAGAGAAAGAGACAGAGAGGAAGAGAGAGACAGAGAGAGGGAGAGATAGGGAGGAAGAGAGAGAGATGGAGGGGGGAGAGATGGAGAGGGAGAGAGAGAGGGAGACAGAGAGGGACAGAGAGGGGGGGAGAGAGAGGGAGAGAAGGAGACAGAGAGAGGGAGAGAGAGAGGGACAGACAGAGAGACAGAAGGAGAGAGAGACAGAGAGAGGGAGAGATAGGGAGGGAGAGAGAGAGAGACAGAGAGATGGAGAGGGAGAGAGACGGGGGAGAGATGGAGAGGGAGAGAGAGAGGGACAGAGAGGGGGGAGAGAGAGGGAGAGAAGGGGGGAGAGAGAAAGAGCCAGAGAGGAAGAGAGAGACAGAGAGAGGGGGAGAAAGAGAGAAAAAAAACAGAGAGACAGAGAGAGACACAGAGACAAAGAGAGAAGGAGACGAGAGAGACAGAGACAAAGAAGAAGGAGACACAGAGAGAGGGACAGAGAGAGAGGGAGAGAAGGGGGAGAGAGAAAGAGACAGAGAGGAAGAGAGAGACAGAGAGAGGGAGAGATAGGGAGGAAGAGAGAGAGATGGAGGGGGGAGAGATGGAGAGGGAGAGAGAGAGGGAGACAGAGAGGGACAGAGAGGGGGGGAGAGAGAGGGAGAGAAGGAGACAGAGAGAGAGGGAGAGAGAGAGGGACAGACAGAGAGACAGAAGGAGAGAGAGACAGAGAGAGGGAGAGATAGGGAGGGAGAGAGAGAGAGACAGAGAGATGGAGAGGGAGAGAGACGGGGGAGAGATGGAGAGGGAGAGAGAGAGGGACAGAGAGGGGGGAGAGAGAGGGAGAGAGGGGGCAGAGATGGAGACGGGGAGAGACAGAGAACACATGCAAAATACAGGCAGAAGACAGAAACACAGGAAACCTAGTTCTAGGACCAAAGGAAGTTTTCTATAATTTTTTCATAGCAAAACAATTTCATAATAACCTCAGTTCAATAAAAATAAGAACTTAAAATAATAAAATGAATTCATATGAAGAGAGAGATTACAGATCTTAGGAAACAAATCAAGGACCAAAATAACACCATTAAGGTCCTAATAAAGAACCTAAAAGTGCTGAGAAATATAATAGCACCATTAAAAATCAATGTTTTAAGAATTCCGTATCCTACTTTTATTTGTAAAACAACCCTTTTCTTATTATAGAGTAATAGATACGCATTGTAGAATATTAGAAAATATAAGCAAAATGAGAAAACACTTGTGGTCAGGAGTTTGAGACCAGCCTGGTCAACATAATGAAACCCCGTCTCTACTAAAAATACATGGCGGGCCGGGCGCAGTGGCTCATGCCTGTTATCCCTGCACTTTGGGAGGCCCAGGCGGGTGGATCACCTGAGGTTAGGAGTTTGAGACCAGCCTGGCCAACATGGTGAAACCCCATCTCTGCTTAAAAAAAAAAAAAATTAGCTGCATGTGGTGTTGTGCACCTGTAATCCCAGCTACGCGGGAGGCTCAGGCAGAAGAATCACTCCAACCCGGGAGGTGGAGGTTGCAGTGAGCCAAGATAGCACCATTGCCCTCCAGCCTGGGGGGCAAGAGCGAAACTCTGTCTCAAAAAAATAAATAGAAAATAAAAATACATGATGGCACATGCCTGTAGTCCCAGCTGCTCAGGAGGCTGAGGCAGAAGAATCACTTGAACCCGGGAGGTGGAGGCTGCAGTGAGCTGAGATCATGCCACTGCACTCTAGCCTGGGAGACAGAGTAAGACTCCGACTAAAAAAAAAAAAAAAAATTCCACGTTTCCACAGTGCAGACCCTTCAGCCTCTTCCTTATGCAAACACACACGCAGGCACACATCTGCATGGACACCTGGCACATGCTTCTCGCTGCTGCCCGCTTAGATCAGTCCGTGGTCCCCTTCGTTCCATTTCACTCTGTTTTGACTCAGTTAACACCCAGACCTGAATTGACCTAAAAATTGTCCCGGGCAGCAGGTCTGTTGAAAGCAGAAGCCATCGAGAGCCACCCGTGGCCCTGGGCTGTCGCGCCCCCGAGCAGAGTCCGGCTTGCTGAGGGGACCCAGGACACCCCCGAGCAGAGTCCAGCTTGCTGAGGGGACCCAGGACGCCCCCGAGCAGAGTCCGCTTGCTGAGGGGACCCAGGACGCCCCCGAGCAGAGTCCGGCTTGCTGAGGAGACCCAGGACGCCCCCGAGCAGAGTCCGGAATGCTGAGGGGACCCAGGACGCCCCCGAGCAGAGTTCGGATTGATTGCTGAGGGGACCCAGGACGCTTGTTGTGCAGGTGCCTCGATGGTCCGGTTGCTCCGCCTGGTGTTCTTAGCTTGTCCACCTCTGGCATTATCTGGAAACTGCAGGTTACGTTAAAGGCTTTCTGAAATCATGTGAAGAGTCTGGCGTGTCCGCTCTCCACAGGTCGCGTTGTGTATGTGGAGTTGCGTCACACCAATGACATCTGGCTGCGCCGCTGTGAGCGACGGTGAGATCAGCCTGGAAGGGAGGACCACGCTCTGCCTCCTGCATTTCCAGCCGCCTCTCCACGCCCACATCCGGAAGATCATCTTCATGGCGTTGCACGGGCGCCCTGTGGATGTGTCTCCGCGTCCGTCATTCCCGGAATTGTTTTAATGCTAGTTAATAATTATTGCCTGGAGCCACAGTGTCACCAGCATTTACTAAGTTATATTTTTCTAATTCTATTATCATTTCTATATGTATTATCTGCCACTGAAAATCAAATATTGCCAAAGGAGAAAAGCTTGAAATAAGCAGAGTAAATGTAGATGAAAAAGACGACTGAGAGAGAAGCTAATCAATGTAAGGAAAATGGGTTTCCCTGAAGTCAACAGCCAGAAAGTGGAAGATTTAGTGTATCCAAAGACAAATTTCTCTAAAATAATAATAATAATAAACACATTGGACTACCAGATCTGAAGAGGGTATTGTTTTCCAGAACATGTTGAAAGAAAACACCCAACCCTGAATGGATGTTAGTTCAGCCCCTGAACCCTGAAGGTAAAGAAAACTCTTTATGCAACAAAAAGGAAAACATTAACAAGAAAAAATGAGCCACGCTGGCCTCAGATGTTCCCATCAATCTTTGGAGCCAAAAGACACATGAAAACCGCTGTTGGGTATGGAGGGAACAGCTGCAGGGCCACAGAAGACATACCCAGCTAAGGCTGCACCCGGCACACAGGAGACAGAAAACATACTCAGCTAAGGCAGCACCCAATACACACAAGACAGAACACATACTCAGCTAAGACAGAACCTGGTGCAAAGAAGACAGAAGAGATACCAGCTAAGGCAGCACCCAATACACAGAAGAAAGAAGACATACTCAGCTGAGGCAGCACCTGCTACACAGAAGACAGAAGAGATACTCAGCTAAGGTAGCACCTGGTACACAGAAGACAGAAGACATACTCAGCTAAGGCAGCACCCGATACACAGAAGAAAGAAGACGTACTCAGCTAAGGCTGCACCGGATACACAGAAGACAGAAGACATACTTAGGTAAGGCTGCACCTGGTACACAGAAGACAGAAGACATACTCAGCTAAGGCAGCACCCGATACACAGAAGAAAGAAGACATACTCAGCTAAGGCTGCACCTGGGACACAGAAGACAGAAGACATACTCACCTAAGGCTGCACCTGATACACAGAAGACAGAAGACATACTCAGCTAAGGCAGCACCCGATACACAGAAGAAAGAAGACGTACTCAGCTAAGGCAGCACCCAATACACAGAAGACAGAAGACATACTCAGCTGAGGCAGCACCTGGTGCACAGAAGACAGAAGAGATACTCAGCTAAGGCTGCACCCGATACACAGAAGACAGAAGACATACTCAGCTAAGGCAGCACCTGGTACACAGAAGACAGAAGACATACTCAGCTAAGGCAGCACCTGGTACACAGAAGACAGAAGAGATACGAGCTAAGGCTGCACCCGATACACAGAAGACAGAAGACATACTCAGCTAAGGCAGCACCCGGTACACAGAAGAGAGAAGAGATACTCAGCTAAGGCACCACCCGATACACAGAAGACAGAACACATAGTCAGCTAAGGCAGCACCCGATACACAGAAGACAGAAGACATACGCAACTAAGACTGCACCTGGCACACAGCAGACAGAAGCCATACTCAGCTAAGGCAGCACCCAGTACAAAGGACACAGAAGACGTACTCAGCTACGGCTGCACCTGGTGTACAGAAGACAGAAGACATACTCAGCTAAGGCTGCACCCGGTACACAGGAGACAGAAGACGTACTCAGCTACGGCTGCACCTGGTGCACAGAAGACAGAAGACATACTCAGCTGAGGCAGCACCCGGTACACAGAAGACAGAAGACATACTCAGCTAAGGCAGCACCCGATACACAGAAGACAGAAGACATACTCAGCTAAGGCAGCACCTGCTACACAGAAGACAGAAGACATACTCAGCTAAGGCAGCACCCGATACACAGAAGACAGAAGACATACTCAGCTAAGGCAGCACCCGATACACAGAAGACAGAAGACATACTCAGCTAAGACAGCACCTGGTACACAGCAGACAGAAGACATACTTAGCTAAGGCAGCACCTGGTACACAGAACAAAGAAGACATACTCAGCTAAGGCAGTACCCGGTACACAGAAGACAGAAGACATACTCAGCTAAGGCAGCACCCGATACACAGAAGACAGAAGACATACTCAGCTAAGGCAGCACCCAGTACACAGAAGACAGAAGACATACTCAGCTAAGGCTGCACCCGATACAGAGAAGACAGAAGACATACTCAGCTAAGGCAGCACCCAATATACAGTAGACAGAAGACATACTCAGCTAAGGCTGCACCCGATACACAGAGGACAGAAGACCTACTCAGCTAAGGCAGCACCCGGTACACAGAAGACAGAAGAGATACTCACCTAAGGCTGCACCTGATACACAGAAGACAGAAGACATACTCAGCTAAGGCTGCACCCGATACACAGAAGAAAGAAGACGTACTCAGCTAACGCAGCACCCGATACACAGAAGACAGAAGAGATACTCAGCTAAGGCAGCACCCGATACACAGAAGAAAGAAGACATACTCAGCTGAGGCAGCACCTGGTGCACAGAAGACAGAAGAGATACTCAGCTAAGGCTGCACCCGATACACAGAAGACAGAAGACATACTCAGCTGAGGCAGCACCTGGTGCACAGAAGACAGAAGAGATACTCAGCTAAGGCTGCACCCGATACACAGAAGACAGAAGACATACTCAGCTAAGCCTGCACCCCATACACAGCAGACAGAAGACATACTCAGCTAAGGCAGCACCTGGTACACAGAAGACAGAAGACATACTCAGCTAAGGCAGCACCTGGTACACAGAAGACAGAAGACATACTCAGCTAAGGCAGTACCTGATACACAGAAGACAGAAGACATACTCAGCTAAGGCAGCACCCGGTACACAGAAGACAGAAGACATACTCAGCTAAGGCAGCACCTGGTACACATGAGACAGAAGACATACTCAGCTAAGGCTGCATCCGATACGCAGAAGACAGAAGACATACTCAGCTAAGGCAGCACCCGATACACAGAAGACAGAAGACATACTCAGCTAAGGCAGCACCCGATACACAGAAGACAGAAGACATACTCAGCTAAGGCAGCACCCGGTACACAGAAGACAGAAGACATACTTAGCTAAGGCAGCACCTGGTACACATGAGACAGAAGACATACTCAGCTAAGGCAGCACCCGGTACACAGAAGACAGAAGACATACTCAGCTAAGGCAGCACCTGGTACACATGAGACAGAAGACATACTCAGCTAAGGCAGCACCCGATACACAGAAGACAGAAGACGTACTCAGCTAAGGCAGCACCTGATACACAGAAGACAGAAGACATACTCAGGCAAGGCAGCACCCGATACACAGAAGACAGAAGACATATTCAGCTGAGGCTGCACCTGATACGCAGAAGACAGAAGACATACTCAGGTAAGGCTGCACCCGATACACAGCAGACAGAAGACATACTCAGCTAAGGCTGCACCCGATACACAGAAGACATACTCAGCTAAGGCAGCACCTGATACACAGAAGACAGAAGACATACTCAGCTAAGGCAGCACCTGGTACACAGAAGACAGAAGACATACTCAGCTAAGGCTGCACTTGGTACACAGAAGACAGAATACATACTGAGCTAGGGCTGCATCCGATACACAGAAGACAGAAGACATACTCAGCTAAGGCAGCACCTGATACACAGAAGACAGAAGACATACTCAGCTAAGGCAGCACCTGATACACAGAAGACAGAAGACATAGTCAGCTAAGGCAGCACCTGATACACAGAAGACAGAAGACATACTCAGCTAAGGCTGCACCCGATACACAGAAGACATACTCAGCTAAGGCAGCACCTGCTACCCAGAAGACAGAAGACATACTCAGCTAAGGCAGCACCTGGTACACAGAAGACAGAAGACATACTCAGCTAAGGCTGCACTTGGTACACAGAAGACAGAATACATACTGAGCTAGGGCTGCATCCGATACACAGAAGACAGAAGACATACTCAGCTAAGGCAGCACCTGATACACAGAAGACAGAAGACATACTCAGCTAAGGCAGCACCCGGTACACAGAAGACAGAAGACATACTCAGCTAAGGCAGCACCTGGTACACATGAGACAGAAGACATACTCAGCTAAGGCTGCATCCGATACGCAGAAGACAGAAGACATACTCAGCTAAGGCAGCACCCGATACACAGAAGACAGAAGACATACTCAGCTAAGGCAGCACCCGATACACAGAAGACAGAAGACATACTCAGCTAAGGCAGCACCCGGTACACAGAAGACAGAAGACATACTTAGCTAAGGCTGCACCCGATACACAGAAGACATACTCAGCTAAGGCAGCACCTGCTACCCAGAAGACAGAAGACATACTCAGCTAAGGCAGCACCTGGTACACAGAAGACAGAAGACATACTCAGCTAAGGCTGCACTTGGTACACAGAAGACAGAATACATACTGAGCTAAGGCTGCATCCGATACACAGAAGACAGAAGACATACTCAGCTAAGGCAGCACCTGGTACACAGAAGACAGAAGACATACTCAGCTAAGGTAGCACCCGATACACAGAAGACAGAAGACATACTCAGCTAAGGCAGCACCTGGTACACAGAAGACAGAAGACATACTCAGCTAAGGCAGCACCTGGTACACAGAAGACAGAAGACATACTCAGCTAAGGCAGCACCTGGTGCACAGGCAGAGGTGCTCACCCTCCAGCACGAAGGAACGTCAGCGCACAAGAGCCCTTCCTGAAAACACAGATTCCAGCCGGCAAAGCAATCCAGAGTGGATTCCGACTTCAGGAATAGAGAAGTGGCGGCCACTGTGTTTACTGGGAGCACCGGGTGGTGGAAAGACGGCCCATACCCAGTGGCGTAGGAATTATCGTCACAGAGTGCAAACCCACGTTGCAAAGCAAGACATTCTAAAAGGAAGGATTTAACCAACAACCGTCAGAACGTGGGAGGAAAAGAGACAGGCGGAAGAATCAACACACGAATTCTTCACGTTTTACAGCCATGTCTAAAAGTGTCATATATCCTTAAAAGATGACTCGCAGCTTGCAACGCTTTGTAAACTTTTTACAACAGCCTTAGAGAGTGCTCTCAGAAATAAGTTGACAGAGAACTACGCATTTGCAATTCAAAACTCCTTGAGTTTTCTCATCTGAAGCTCAAGTGAATGAAACATAACTCTGACTGAAAATAGCACCTGCAGCGTGTTCACATTCGAAGAGTGTTTCTGCTTCTCCGTTACTCACCTGGAGTCACAGTCACCGGAGGCCAGTGCCAGCTTTTCCTGGGCGAAGGCATCTTTTCTTGGCACATTTCTGCATGGATTAAATTCTTTGTAATGAGCATGTGTTATTTTTACAGAAACAATCAGGTACCTTAAACAGGGAAAACACAGAGAGGCTGGAAGCGAGCCTGCAGGATTTTACGCATTTTTAATGCTGGGTCATGACCAAAGGAACATTTCCACACTGTTCAGTTTTTAAAAATCTTTTTAAAGGAGAGGAACGCGGCTCCACCTTTCATACTGTATTTTCCTTTGTCTGTTTCTCATCTGATGAATTTCATCACAGTCCATGGATCCAACACAGCAAGGCGGCCTCACCGCCCTCAGGAGAGGGCCCCTCTGTCCTGGCTGTCCTTCAGGTGCAAAGTGATTCCCAGGGCTCCGGGAACATCCGCGTGCCTGGACGGCCCAGGTGGCATTGAACCAGCCACTGAGGTCACAAATGTCCCACAAGGAGAACAAAGGCCAAGAAGGGGTCAGCCGTTGGCCCCGGGCCAGGGGGTTCCTCCTGGTGGGCAAACTCAAGATTTCAGCCACTGCAGTGCAATCCCTGAATTGGGGCTAGAGGCACACGGGCAGGGATTGGAGCTAAGGGGGTGTTGGGGATGTGAGCGAGGCTCCTGCCGCCCCCAGAACGCAGAGATCAAAGACCCCAGAGCAAGCCTGGATTCCTGGAGCCCCGGCCTCGGAGCCGCAGCCGCCCTGTCGATGAGATCGTGTCCCTCCTCCACCTCTGCCCTCCCTTCCTCCTCACAGTTCCCACGATGCCGCAGATGTCCACCGGTCACCCCACCCGGGGCTGCAGCAAATTAATCCACAGCAGGGGCCCCTGTGCCCCAGGGCTCTGAGCCGGCCTCACGCCCTGTACCCCCGCCCGTCACCCCAAAACCTCAGCAGCTTTTCCCTCCTCGGGCAACTGGCTCCCTTCGGGCCTAGGCTGTCACCCTCCCTCCGGCCTCGGCGCCTCAGTGCCTCAGTGCGAGGAGAGAGAGTCGCCTGTGTGGAGCCCTGCACTGCAGGGGAGGGCGTGGGGAAGACAGGGGTCTGGGTCAGGGAGCCTGGCCTGCCGCACAGGGGCCCCCCTCCTGGGCTAGAACGCCAGAGACAGGCACTGCCCAGCCACCAGGAGCTGCTCGCTCTGGACGGGAGATTGTGTTTCTGAGGGCAAGGAAGACGAAGAGGTTCCCCACGGCCCTCCCTTCTCAGCCACCCGCACCCCAGCACACACCAATGTCTCGGAATGATCTCGAAGGACGTGGTTAGTCGCCAGGACATAGGGCCTAGAAATTCTGCCACAAGACGCTCGCACCTCCCACCCCTCATGGGGCAAGGGGCTCGCCAGGCCCTCTCAGAGCGGGAGAAAAGCACAGGCCAGGTCCTAGGGAAGGGGGTGGCCGTGATCCGGGGTGAAAATCCCTGTGGAGAGGCCGTCACAGCTGGGGTCTGGAACCAGCACGTCCTCCTGGGATGGGGAGAGGGCTCTGGCCCACGCACCGCCCATGTGCAAACTCTCAGCTCAGGGAAACTCGCTTGCCCACTCAACAGGCTTCCTGAGACGGCACCGTGGACAGAAGGCATGTGGACCGAGGGCACAGCTCAGGATAAATACGCCGCGTCCCTGCCCTCCAGTTGACCTGGCAGTGGGTGAGGTGTGTTAATGTCAGAAAGAAATGAGCTCCATAAAGGAAAACGAGTAGCAAAGGAGGAGGCGTCGCTTGAGTGGGTGGCGGGGACGGTCCGGGCCACTGCACTTCCCCCGAATGAGGAGTGGGGCGAGTGGGCGGAAGGGAGGCCCCCAGAACCACTGACCACGCCCACGCCCACGCCCCAGGGCCTGCAATGGGGCCTTGTTTGGAAATCGATGTCATTGCAGATGTACTGGGTTAGGGATCCAGAGATGACACCATCCCGGATTTAGAGGGATCCTACATCCAATGACAAGCATCCTATACATAAGAGAGAAAGGGGAGGGAGATGCGGGCTCAGAGAGAGGGGAGGGAGATGCGGGCTCAGAGAGGGGAGGGAGATGCGGGCTCATAGAGAGGGGAGGGAGATGCGGGCTCAGAGAGGGGAGGGAGATGCGGGCTCAGAGAGAGGGGAGGGAGATGCGGGCTCAGAGAGAGGGGAGGGAGATGCGGGCTCAGAGAGAGGGGAGGGAGATGCGGGCTCAGAGAGAGGGGAGGGAGATGCGGGCTCAGAGAGAGGGGAGGGAGATGCGGGCTCAGAGAGGGGAGGGAGATGCGGGCTCAGAGAGGGGAGGGAGATGCGGGCTCAGAGAGGGGAGAGAGATGCGGGCTCAGAGAGAGGGAAGGGAGATGCGGGCTCAGTGAGAGGGGAGGGAGATGCAGGCTCAGAGAGAGGGGAGGGAGATTCGAGCTCAGAGAGAGGGGAGGGAGATGCGGGCTCAGAGAGAGGGGAGGGAGATGGGGGCTCAGAGAGGGGAGCGAGATGTGAGCTCAGAAAGAGAGGATGGAGATGCGGGCTCAGAGAGAGGGGAGGGAGATGCAGGCTCAGAGAGGGGAGGGAGATGCAGGCTCAGAGAGAGGGGAGGGAGATGTGAGCTCAGAAAGAGAGGATGGAGATGCGGGCTCAGAGAGACGGGAGGGAGATGGGGGCTCAGAGAGGGGAGGGAGATGTGATCTCAGAAAGAGAGGATGGAGATGCGGGCTCAGAGAGAGGGGAGGGAGATGCGGGCTCAGAGAGAGGGGAGGGAGATGCGGGCTCAGAGAGAGAGGGAGATGTGGGCTCAGAGAGAGGGGAGGGAGATGCGGGCTCAGAGAGAGGGGAGGGAGATGTGAGCTCAGAGAGGGAGGCCATGGTAGGCAGCAGCCGAGGCTGGAGGTCCCACCACAGGCTCAGAGCCACAGGCGGCGTCAGAGGCAGAGAGGCCTGGAGTGGGGGGACTCTCGCTCAGCGCCTCCAAGAGCGTAGCCAGCACTCCTCGGCCTCAGCCCTCAGGCCTCCGGAATAGAGGGAAGGCAAGGTTCTGTGGATTCCAATGGCCCCGTGTGTGCTGTTCTAGGACAGCTGCTGCAGGAAACACATTTGAGGATAAAGAAGCAGCTGTGGGCAAGAGTTCTGGGCAGAAGGAGGAGCAGGTGCAAAGGCCCTGGGGCAGGGGCGGCATCAGGGCTGGAGGCTGAGGGATGGACCTGCAAATCCTGCACAACTTCCAGTGCAGAGGAGGCTGCTGCAGGTTCCCCGGCAGAGAAACAATGCTGGAGGCCTCTGTGTGAGGTGAGATGCACAGTGTGGCCAGCAGAACAAGAACTAGATGGGGACAAACACAGAGGCCGAGATGCAGGGCAGGGGTGGCACAAACCCCCACAGATCCAACCCTACAGACCCAACCCTGCAGACCATCCCCTAACCATCCCCCACAACTCCATCCCCAACAGGCCCATCCCCCACAGACCCATCCCATGCAGACCCAACCCTACAGACCCCACAAGTCCATCCCCTAAAATCCATCCCCCACAGGCCCATCCCCACTGGGAAGGGTGCAGGAGGACAGGCCACAGCTGCTCCTGAGAAGACACCAAAGGCAGGAAGGAAGCGTCGGTGCATGCAAGAGAACATTGGAAAAAAGCCACAGAGTCGTTTTCCAGAACTGCGAGCGGGTCAGAGGCATCGGCGTCGATGCCCCACGACGGCTGCAACGAGGCTTCTGCAGATCTGAGTTCACGGAAAGGACCATGAGGAGACACTCCCTCACCCCGAGCTGAGCCCACGCCCTCAGCTTCTGCGGGAAAATCATTTTCGAGTTCTGCATGTGTCCAGGTGGCCACAGCTCAGGGCTCGGAGAGGGCTCCGCCCTGCGGTTCTGAAACCCAGCAGCCACGTTAATTGCCTCTTAACGCGCGCTGCATGTTGCTGTATGAAAACAATCGGCATCCAGGCACTGTCCTCTGTCCACAGGTTGAGATTTGATTACTTTTTTATCTCTAAATTAAATTCCTTCTCGTGCTTGTCTTGTTACATCAAATCTCTTTAAATCTTAATAGACTGCAGCTCCTCCCTGCAGCTCAGGCCCCTGATAACAGCGTCTGGTACTCACGGGGCCCTGGGCCTCAAGGCAAGGATGAGGGAAGGGGATCGCCAGGGATGCAGCTGGATCCGGGGACCCGGACGCTGAGGCAGAGGAGAGAGAGTCCTGGGACCCAGGGAAGGTTCTTGCTCCTCAGAACTGCTGCAGACACCAGCAACAACCCAGGCCTCCCAGCACCTTAGAGGGGCCTCCCAGGGCAGGAACAGCACCAGCACCTGCAGAAACGGTTCGCCAGGCTCCTCCCCACTTCCCAGGCTCCTCCGCCCTTCCAGACCCAGCTCCAATCTCGCCCAAAGCTCCCCGAGCCCTGCCCCCACCCCCGCCCCCGCCCCCCACCTGGGCTCAGTCCAGCCAGGCCGACCCCAGCCCCGTCCTCTGCACACAGGGCCACCTAGCACAAAGGCCTTGGCACTCCTGTGCCTGCACCAAGTTTTGGCCTTTCCCCCAACCCCGTCTAGCTGGGAGTGGGGGTCTCAGGCCTGTGGCAGGCAGGAGGGCACAGCCATGGGCCGATGGGAAATGCAGTGGCTGACAGAAAGTGTCACTCTGGCAGGTGACAGGGTGGGCGGGGCAGGGCCGGGACGGGAGGTGGGCTTGCCCCTCAGCTCTCATCCATGCACTCTTCTGAAATTATGCTTGGAACTTGTACTGCGTCAATGACAATCACGGGCTGCCTGTCTCGGGTGTGCGGATGGGGCCTGGAACATGGCCTGCGTTCATCTTCTGAAACCAAGGACCCCACGCTCCCTGGCACAAAAGGGCTCTGGGGAGGCACAAATGGCCCCTGGTGGCCGCTGTGGCGACTGTGGCCTCGGGGCCTCCTTACCTGGGCCAGGTTAACCACCCTGTAAGCTGCACTGCACGGAGTACCAGGCACCACGTGAGCTGAGCTGGAGCTGGGGACGCAGGAGGTGCCGCAGCCCCAGCTCACAGGCGTGTCCCAATTCAAGGCCCCCGCAAACTGTCACAAAAGCAGGAGGAGGCACCAGGGAGAGAAGGGCAGGGCTGGAGATCCACAGCCGGCCGAGGGCACGGGTGTGGGCAAGGCCCTGTCCACCCAACAAGGGCCACCCTGCAGCCTCTGGCTAGCCTCCCCGTGCCCAGGGCTGCTGCCTCTGCTTTCAGGAGGAGCCACATCACCTGACTGAGGTGAAAGTAATTCTAAGTAACCACAGACTGAAAAAGAGGAGGACGGCTGTGTGGAGAGAATTTTGGTTAAGGGGTCCCAAGGCCCCCTATTCAGCTGACCCCACTCCTGACCCTCCCCTGTCCAGGCCCTAACACAGCCGTCACCCCTCTCTGCTTATGAAGAACCTCATATGGGAACACGGGTGCTCCTGGTTTCTCTGGCTGCAAATTCACGCCTGCACTCTGAGAAGAAAAGCAGATGGGAGATGTGTGATAGGTGCCTTCCAAAGCTGTGTGTGACAGGCGCACTCGAGCACAGCCGGACGTGGTCAGGGATGCAGCCACACCAGGATGTGCTTTCAGAAATCCTCCTTAATGCTTGCTCAGATGGCTGGGATC